>NC_000006.12:33696363-33999393 GCF_000001405.40 Homo sapiens
ATGGACGATCTTGCTCCCAGGACCTGCCTCTTCCCAGGCTTCCTGGGGAAGAGTTGTACGCCCAGGCAACAAGGGCTGAGCTGCGCTTGCGTGGCTGTTTCATGACCGCTTGTTTTTCTCCTTTTGGTGTAATGTTTTACAAATCCTTTGGCCTGAGAACTAATATGTTAATTGCCTTAAATAAATTAATAGAAATCTAGTCCGTTAAAAAGGGATGTGTTTCCTGCACTCCCCCGGGGGCTGTGGGGATTAACAGGACACACTGGCAGAAGACAGGAACAAGAGCCCCTCCCTGCTGGCCTGGCCTCTCAGGCTCTCAGGAGATACGCTGAGTGACATCCTGTCTCAAGGGTCCTCCCCTGAGATTTGCCTACCCAGAACTGCATTTCGGCATAACTGGTTTCTACGGCAGTCCTGTCGATTTTATTTTATGCATTTCAGAACATCCTGAGGAGTCTAGACACAGACGAGGTTAAGAACCCACTTCCACTTTGTACCCACCAGGGCCGCTGTGGGCCCAGCCCTGTCCCTCACGGTTCCAGAGAGAAGGATGCTCAATATCAGTAAGAGCCAAGGTTCCATGGAATAATGAGGTGACCCTGTGTGTGTCCTCAGCCAGCAGGGCCTCTGACTTGTGGCCACCTACAGAACCTGCCCACAGTGCTGAAGCCAACTGCAGCTGAGGCCCCGCTTGGCCAAGGCCTGTCTATAGCTTCCCTGTCCCTTAAGCCAACTGGGCAATGTGGGTTTTTGCAAGGTCAGGGATAGAGGCCTAAGGTCCATCCTTCTCTGAGTCAGTGGGGATGAGGGCCAAGCAGGCTTTTTGCCTCTCTCGGCCTCACACCTCCCTACTGCTTTCTGTTTGCAACAGGATGCCCTTTTCAGTATTTACTGCTATTTTTGGCTTCCTCCCAGGAGCTCCTACAACAAAAGGGAGCCTGAGTATCTTGCCAGGAGACACCAGACCCGTGCCAGAGGGGCGGGGGCTCCCGTGGCAATGCAGGAAGCACCTTGTGCCGAGGCCCCATTACCCTCATCAGGCCCAGAGGGAAACCTGCATTTCCTCTCCCCAGGAGATTTCCCTACCCTGAGCAGCAGTCACAGCAGATAGCTCAATCACCATCCCTTCTCAGGCTGAAACTTTCTTTAGAGCAGCAAGGGCTTCCTTTCTGGGAAAGCTAGAGGAGATTCCCAAACCGTAAGGTCAAGGGGAAACTGGGGCAGTTTTATTGACGATGGCAATGTACAAGACTCCACACCTAGGTATGTGCACGAGGTAAGGCCTGAGCTCAGGCCTTATGATCCTCCTCAGGACCCTTGGGGGCAAACTTCTCCTGCAGTTTCTTCCACATGCCTTTATCTATTTCCTTAAGCTCTTCCAAGGTGTCTGCAAAAGGGGAAGACAAAAAGAGAGAGGGACTGAAGTCTAAAACTTGATGACATAGATTGGACCCACTGGGCTTTCCCGACACAAGCATGGCTTGCTTTTCACACAGTGTGTTCCTGAAAAAGGTGGAGACCCAGCTCCTGAAGAGCAGATCAAACAGGTAACAGAAGTGACCGCTTGCGGGGACTGAGCACTGTGTGCCAGACTCTGTGCCCAGCACGCTGTCAGTGGTCTCCTGCCCTCTCCTCACCCTCGGCATCAAAGCGGGATGTGCTGCTCGTTGCCCTGCTCCGTATGAGGGCAAAGAAATGGCCCTGCGCTGTCCGCTGTGCAACCCACAGACCCAGATGCTTCATCGCAAAATTTGGCCTGCTCCACACAGCCCTTCCTGTCCCCAGTTTTCAGGTGTGGAAACTGAGGCAGGAGGCAGTGAAGTAACTTGCTCAGGTTGCACAGCTGGGAAGTGGAGCAGGGATTTGAATCCTGGTGTGTGGACTCAGCACATGCTGTGGAGTTGAGCAGGCACTGGGAGGGGGATGGCCTTGGGCCTGAATCCGAGCCCATCATCTCCCACTCTGGGTCCCCTCAAGCAAATTACTTAACCCTCTACGCTTCGGGTTCCTCATCTGTAAAATGAAGATAAAAACACACATCTGCAGACAACTTGGGGAGAGGTGAAAAAGTAAGAAAAAAAAAACCACACGTACCTCAAAAGTTGTAAGGATTAAAGAAAAGCATGGAGGTAACTCGCTTGGCACACAGCCCGCACTCAATGAAAAGGCAGCCATCATCCACCACAATGCAGGCGGGAGGGGCTCTTGTTTAAGAACATACACGTCCCTACACCCAGGAACCAAAGCAGGGTTTCTTGGCCTTGGCACTACCAACACTTTGGGCCAGATAATTTTTCGTCGTGGGCTGGCCTGTGCATCACTGAAGGCTGTTTCAAAGCATCCTGGCCTCTACCCACTAATGCCAGTAGCACCGCTGCCCGCACCACCAGTTGTGACAACTAAAAATGTCTCCAGACATTGCCACATGTCCCCTGGGGGGCAAAACCATCCCCCCAGTACGGAACCATTTGTCTAAAGTCTCTAGGGCTAATGTTCCATGAAATCTAATTTTACGTGCATGTTAAATTTTAGATATTCTTATAATATTGTTTTGCTTTACCAGCCTAAATTTTCACGTTAACAAAACTACTGGAGAAAAAAAGAGTATCTTTTCTGACCAAAAAAGGTAACAGAAAAAAGCCCCTGCTCTGGAGCTTTTCCAGAAGTCCATGTTTCCAGTGTCCAGGTGGACACTGAGGCCTCCCTTAGGCGCTTTCCATGACCCCAATCCCAGGGTGGACACACACATAACCCAGAACACAGCACATTTCAGACTTGCCAGGCCCTCAAAGCCTCTCACTACAAGGTGCTGCAGGTCTTTTCTTGTCCTGTCAGAGGAAACATTTGGTAAGCTTACGCCACACAATTTGCAACAAAAATATGAGGCTTGCTGTGAAAACAAATTCTCAGCAAATTTCCTGAACTAAACTCGCTGCCAGAACAAGCTGCAGCGCGGACCAATGGCGGGACTATCTCCCAGCCTTCGTTGCTGCCTGTTTTCCACTTGCAGAGGCTGCCCTGAGGTGAACAAAACAGAGGGCAGAGGCAGGGCCTCTGGAACTTACTTCCGCCCTCACTTCAAGTTCAAACTTTGCTCAAACTGTCCAGGGCCCTCACAATAATGTGCATCAATGCTGCTAATTACACGGACCCAGGGATATAGGAGTAAATTTACACATTAAAAAAAATTGCCAATAAAGTGATTCTGCCTGGCCAAAATATCTTCACCACAGTTTCCCAGAGAGTACTGGAATAAAAATAGGGTTAGAGTTGACATGTAATAGCAGGTGACACCACCAGGTTTTAATCTCAGAAGAGAGTTTTCTAGAAGCCCAAATCCTCAAAACTTAAGTTGCTGAAGGCTGCCAGAAGAAGAGGAAAGACACATTTCTAGAATACCAGAAGGAAATGTGTCAGGGCCATGCCCTCCCAGAAAAGGTTAACCTATTTTTGTATATAATATACTTGGCAACAAAAATAGTAATTTTCCAGTACCTGCCTACTTCATCCCTGGCTCTCCGGCCCCCCTCCTTAGGGACAATGGAGATAGGGAAGTAAGGAAAGGACGGGCTTGGCAGGATGTTTCCTTTCTTGATAATCAGAGTCTATCAATGACTCTAAAACATACCTAGTTAAACTCATATCTAACCCACAGACCACGTCCCCTGGGTCACATAACTCTTAGGCGGATATCCCCAAACACGTTTATTGAATGGTTTTTTGTTTTAATTAAAACCTTCATTGTTTATAAAGCCCTCTTAAGACCATAAAAATAAAATTATTTTCCTTCCATCCTGATTTCAACTACTTCCATTTGGCAAATAGGTATTCCTCTGTTCCCTGATGCCCAGCCTTGAATTTAAAAGCCCTAAAGATAGATTTTCTTTTTTAAATAACGCCTTTGACCTTCTCCACAGTATATGGTCAAAATGCATGCGCCCTGTAGCTTCAGAATTTCCTCTGGGCTGTTCTACAAGACTTTCCATCAAGCAAAACTGTCTTCTTAGACAATTCCCCTTGGCCACTCAAACTCAGAATCATTTGCAAACCAATGAGAAAAGGCAGCTGTGCTTTCATTACCTGTGGACAGGATCAGCTTGTACTCTTCCAACGACAGGCCACTGAAGCTGGTGTCTCTGGGGCGAGGGTACTGGTCACCGGGGCAGAAAGGAAGTGAAGGGAGGGGAGAGATCAGCACACAAGCCCTGCTCTCTAACTGCATTTCACCTAGGCCCTGGGCAACCAGAGGCCAGGAGGCCTAGCAAGGAGAAGAGCAGCGCCACCTCGAGGTCAAGACTTGGCCTCGCAAGAACCAGTACAGTCTCCAGGAGGCAGCTCCAACTATAATGTACCCGTGAGTCCTCCCTGGAAAACGCAGGTATGGGTGGGGCCCCTGATTCTGCATTTCTAACCAGTTCCCAGGTGATGCCCATGCTGCTGCTCATGGATCACATGTTAGCAGGGAGGATTTAGAAAAAATCAATTTTCCACATAGGCATATGGCCACAAATGTTTGTGGAGTTAATGAGCATATTTTTCAAGTATGGGAAAAACCACTCTAAATGGAATTTGACAGTAATCATGTTGGGCCCAGCTCCGTAAAAGGAGGGCACTTTCCCAATCATCCCATCTTTATCACCAGAATGTGGGGAGGTGTCAGTTCCGTCAGAGTGGATGGGAAAATAGGTATAAATCCAATGGCTGTCAGACATTCCCAGGAGCACACACTGGCATATCAAATACATGGCTTCTATTCATAATTGGTTTTGTTTCTTCCCTATATTCACAATTTTAAATAGCTTTTATTTAGGTGGCCTAAAAGCCTCTACCAGGCACCTCTGTTGGCTTGGTTGAAATTACTGGTTTCATTTGAACGCAGCAAAGCCAAGTCTTTACAAAACATTACCTAATCAGATTTTCACTCATTCTTATTAGTTGTCCCGTCAGAAAGCTGGGTATATAAAAGACTGTGGCCCACTCACCTTGTGTTTGTAGTAGTTTGAATGGAGTCGCGCTAAGCTCTCGTACATCTGATCACAGGCCTCAGGCTCTGCAACCTGAAAAGCAAAGAATCCCAAAGGAGGTGAGCAAAGGAGTCCTGCCTCCCACAGTGTCTGTACCTTGAGGAAAGACCATACTTAATAAAGCGTTCACATGAAGCAGGCCTGCAGCTAGCACTGGCTTCTCCACTCTGCGGGAAGCAAACCTGGACTACAGCTCTGCTATTAGAAACTACTTTTTGGAGGCATAGCTCTGCCTCATCAACTCCCCAACCTACAGAAAAATCAGATCAATTAATCAGCAAACAAGCATTTGTTGAGCATCTGTGACTTGTGAGCCACGACACCAGCTGCAGTGGGAGATGCCACAATAGAAATGTAAGGTTGGAAAGGCGTGCCTAACAAAGGGGGTGCTGGGCAGAGTGGGCTACAGGGACTCAGTGGGGGAGTCCCCGCATGCTCAAGTGGTCAGTGCATGATGGAAGTGAGACAATGCTAGGTTCTGAAGGAAGCACAGCAGAAGGTCAGCAAGCAGAAGGTCAGCAAGCAGAAGGGAGAAGGGCAGGCCTTCCTGGGGGAGGAGATGCCGTCAGCAAGGAAGAGGAGGCAGGAATCCTGTGGGATGCTTCAGGCCAGACCAGTAGATTCTTTTGTTTTTTTTGAGACAGTCTCTCACTCTATTGCCCAGGCTGGAGTGCAGTGGCGCAATCTTGGCTCACTGCAACCTCCGCCTCCTGGGTTCAAGCAATTCTCCAGCCTCAGCCTCCTGAGTAACTGGGATTAAAGGCATGTGCCACCACACCCAGCTAATTTTTGTATTTTTTAGTAGAGACAGGGTTTCACCATGCTGGCCAGGCTGGTTTCGAACTCCTGACCTCAAGCGATCCACCTGCCTCAGCCTCCCAGAGTGTTGGGGTTACAGGCATGAGCCACCATGCCCGGCCTCAGACCAACAGATTCTTTTAGCAAAGGCAAAAAAAAAAAAAATCATCTGAGTTCTCAATCTATGATAAGTGGGGAGCTGCTGAAACTCTACAAGAAGGAAAGAAACATGAAGAAGGCAACATTTAAGATAAAATGTGTAAACTGAGGAGAACCAAGCCAGGACCACAGTTAGGTCCTGCTAGAAAGGAGATGGCCCAGAACACTGAGGCCTTGCCATAGAAAGGGTGATGTAAGTCAATTCTCTGGTGCCAGAGACAGCAGTGCCCCTGCTGGACCTTCTCAGGGAGACAGGCAGCATACAGAGGAGGTGTGGTCTTTTCTCTTGCACCTCTTCTAACTTTCCCTTTACTCTGTCCTTCCTATTATTTATGTATAGTTCTTTATATTTTTCTGCCAAGAATTTTGAAAAGCTCCCCAGAACAAAACTTTCTCTTTTATATTTTTTCCCCCAGAATTCAAATGATGGATTTTTTCCTAACTTAAATCCTTCCTTGGAGAAGGCAGAGCATAAATAAATCAGTAGTAAAGTGGTTTAATAGGCAGCTCCACTGCTGCCTCTCTGTGCATGTCAAATGAGGTCCCTACTTTACAGCAAACAAAAAAGACAATCCATCATTTAGTTCTACCTGACCCATTCCTGCGTTCAGGCTACTCATCATGAGAATGTACACCCAGATACATCAGAAGAGGAAGGATTATGGCCTGAGGAGGTGGCCAGCGTTTGCTGAATAATAAAGTCATTATCTGAGTGGACAGAATGAATGGAAAATATGAGGCTGTGGTCTCCCTGCTGCTGGTCAGCTTGTCCAGGGAAAGTCCCATTAGAATGGAATTCTGCACACATCTGGGCGAACACATCTGGAACATTTCTTCAGCAGGGCACGCACAGCCAAGAGCTAACGCTGGAGTGCAATGGCGTGATCTCGGCTCACTGCAAACTCCCCTCCTGGGTTCAAGTGATTCTCCTGCTTCAGCCTCCCAAGTAGCTGGGATTACAGGTACCCACCACTACGCCCAGCTAATTTTGTGTATTTTTAGCAGAGACAGGCTTTCACCATGTTGGCCAGGCTGGTCTCGAACTCCTGACCTTGTGATTTGCCCACCTCGGCCTCCCAAAGTGTGCTCACTTATAAATTTAACAGACATTCATCGAGACCCTATAGCATGATTGGCCCATCTATGAGCAGGGGACGCTTGGGTGAATGAGTATCTCCAAGGCTGTAGGGAGCAGGGGAGTCAAACTGCCTGGGTTGACTCCTGGCACCATCCCTTATCAGCTATGTGATGTCAGGCAAACCACTCACTCTTCCCCATGAAATACACTTAAAAAAAAAAAAAGTTGCCACAGTTTATCTTTCTCTGTATCTGTACATACATATCCTTCTTCTGATCCACTTGAAAGTAGGAGCATAATGCCCCTTCACCCCATAATATTTCAGTGTGCATTTCCTAAGAACAAGAACATTCTCTTATATAACCACAGTTCAATGATCAAATTCAGGCCACTTAACACCGATACAACACTATTATCTAATGCACAGTCCATATTCCAATTCTGTCAATTGTCTCAATAATAATCTATGGAAAAACAGGATGTCCTGCTGCATTTAACAGTCATGTATCTTTTAGTCTCCTTTAATCCGGGACCGTTCCTCGGCCTTTGTCTTTCATGCACTGAACATTTTTAAAGCATACTGGCCAACTTAACCTTTCTTTTAAAAGAAAATATAATAATAGCCCCTACGTCCCCGGTGGTGTGAGGATAAATGAGGTGACGCTTGGGCTGCTCTGAATTCCGGGCCTGGAACGCCGATAAATGTGAGCGATTAGTTTTTCTCACAGTTATTAGTAGTAAAGAGTTGTAGTAAACACAGGCCCCTGTCTCATAAAATAAGAGGGGAAAGGACAGAACAGTTCAGAACCACCCTGGTGGGAGTGGAATGAAGGGGCATGTACAAGGTGCTATGGGCCTATGGGGCCAGGCAGGAAGTGCTGGACAATGAGTGGCTGAGGATGGGCGCATGTACCGGCAAGGGAGTGGGGTGCTCCAGGCACAGGACCAGGTGGAGCCCGTGCCCAGGGAATGGGTCAGCATGTTACCAGTGGATCAGCATGGCTGGTGTGCACTGCCGAGGGTGGCGCTGGAAACGGAAGTGAGGAAGGATGAAAAACTGCTGAGGCTTCACTCCTGACTGACCCTGGTGGCTCTCAGCAGTCACTGAGCTCTCCATGGTCTGCCGAGAGAGCAGCTGTTTGCTGTACCTGGTCTTCACCTGATGGCCGCTTATCTGGACCTTCCCGTCCTGCCACCATCCCCACCACCTTCCCAACCAAGCTCTTAGGAAAGGAGTCCACAAGCTGATCTGCCTTCCTCCCATAGCCTCTGCCTCTCTCCTGGGCTCCTAACACTGCTTCCTGATAAACCTGCATTCTGACCAGATCCCCACCCTCAAATACCTTTCAACTCAAGTTCCCTTCCTGCTCCAACTTCTCTAGCAGTGAGAAGTCACCAGTAGGTTGCTCAGCAACCTTGTATCACACCCTCAAGCAGGTGTGGTATAAGGTGCTGTCCTTCCTTGCCACGTAGTCCCATCCCTGATGAGCAGCAGGACAGACAGGAGGGGCATGGGGGGCGGGTCACCCTTGCAGAGTGCTGCTCCTATAAGAGCAAAATGTACAAAGTCTAAGTGCAAAAAGCAAAGTGACCCTCAGGTACTCTCACTTCTTTTTTTTTTTTTTTTTAGATGGAGTCTCACTCTGTCGCCCAGGCTGGAGTGCACTGGCACAATCTTGGCTCACTGCAAGCTCCGCCTCCCGGGTTCATGCCATTCTCCTGCCTCAGCCTCCCAAGTAGCTGGAACTATAGGCGCCCGCTACCACGCCTGGCTAATTTTTTGTATTTTTAGTAGAGATGGGGTTTCACCGTGTTAGCCAGGATGGTCTCAATCTCCTGACCTTGTGATCCGCCCACCTCGGCCTCCCAAAGTGCTGGGATTACAGGCTTGAGCCACCGCACCCGACCACTCTCACTTCTGAAACTTCCTGTGTGAAAGAGACAGTCTCCTAGAGAGTTCCCAGAATTCCTGGACTCAGCTGTAACCTGAGAAAGAAAACCAAACACCTGAGTCCTAAAACAGACTTGCCATCCAGTTTCCCGTCTGAGGTCAGAAGGTGTCTAACTGAGGCTGTAAAAGCAGCTCAGTGGAGGTGACAGGAGTTTGAGACATGCCCATTTCTAGCCAAGTTCTTACTGCTTGAGGAGTGATGAAGCCTTGGTCAATGCTGGGTTCCTAGCCACAGATAACTCAAGCTCAGCAATTAAAAAAGTCATGCTTACTACTTAAAAGGATGTCAGTGGAGACATCTGTCGAATTCCAGAAGCCTCACCACGTTCCTATAGCTTACACTTTATTCACAGACTCCAGCACTAACATTCCTGAGCTCTGAAATGCAGTTTTTCTGATGAAATGGACGGTGCATTTTTAGAAATATTCTTAATACATGCTTTAAATTACCTGATTTTGCATTCACACCTAATGAGATCACAGACGTTTTAGGACTAATAGCAGTGCTGGGTTTGAAAAGGCAGCAGTGGGGACATTATGAAAAATTCAGCACTGCTCCCCAAATGTGAATAAAATAGATGTTCATCTGACGAGTGTCCTTTATAGCTCTATTTTTGCTCCTTTTGCATTTCCCCTGTTCAGTCGTCAGTAAATTTCTCTTTACCATATTAAACTTTTATACATACAAATCTACATCAGTGCTGCAGGCACTGATTTCGATTTTGCAAATTGAATTTTGGGTGGTGACAGCAATTGGTACAGCGGCCCCTATTCTAGTCACACAAAGGGACGCATAAGCACTTTTGGGAAAGGGTGTTGCAAATTGCTTTGCTAATTAAGGTAGAGCTGGATTCGGTCCAGGAGGATCTATAAAAAAAGGTTTTCAAGACTTGGTAATGAACTTCTGAAATGAGTTCATTCTGTTATGGGAGCCTATTCCCTTCAATTGAGTTGAAAATGTATTTCTTGAGCACCTACTATAGAAAGAGTGCTCCACTAGGGGACGGTGAGGGGCCACAAAGACGACGACCCAGGCCAGCTGTGGAGAAGCTGGCAGGCACACTACAGAGACAAGATACACATGAATTAGAAACCAACCCTGCCCGGGGCAATGTGTAAGTGAGAGCCAGATCTGCGGAGCACGGGCCGCTGCACGAGACCCGAGGTGGGAGTTGGGCACCTGGCTGTGCTGATGGGGAGGTGTGGCAGGAAAGGGCTGAGTTTCACTGCAGCGACAGTGCAGAGAGTGAGGAGTGCCAACCTGGGCATGAGTGACACAGGGACCAGAAATGACTGGGAGGATGAGGCATGAAGAGGCACAGGACAAGAGTGTTTTAGGCAGACAGGGCTTTTAAGGGGAACCCAGGGAGGGCTCCAAGAGCCTGGGAAGCCACCAAATTCTTGACAAACTCTGTGTTTGGGTTTTTTGCGGTTGTAGGGGTGCAGTGATCCACAGCGCACTTAAGTCTCAAAGGATCAGAATTGCTTGTACCATGGCCAGTTTGGGAGACCATGAGAAGACACCCTTGCTGAGCCTGGGGCTCATGTTAGGGTGGTGCGAGGCAAGGTTGGAAACACAGGCTGGGACCAAGGATCAGAGGCACTGCAGGTCTCACAAAGTTGCCTGCCACCTGCCCAGGAGGCAATGGGCAGACCCCAAACATCTTTGAATAAAGTAGTGACCCACCAGAAGTGGCCAAGAATTTATCCCTTCAGGTGGAGCACTGCAGCTTTACATATGCAGAGATAAACGCCACCCCTTGGTGTGAATACTACCCTAGCTCACACTGGCGCCATTCAGAATTGGGAGAGAAAAAAAGATGGAGATGTTTGTATTCCCTCTTAGAGATGATTCTCCTTACAACTCCAGGTTTTCGATGGGCTCAATACATAATTAAAAATAGGATAATCTGTTCTTAGGACACTCTTCAAAAGCATAACTTCAGGGGGCCCACAAGTGGGGGTGAGCAACGTTGAGATGGCTTCACCGTGGCCAGCATATGCCAGGTGGCTTGGGAGCTAGCTCCCTGCCACACTGAGGAATGCCAAGGACCAGGCCTCAAATGGATGACTGAGAAAACAGAATCAAAAAAACCTTTGAATTCTCCTCTGAGAAGGTGGAAATACCATTTACCTTATTAGAAACCCAAGAAAAAGTTTAACTTCTTTCAAACTGGGCCAATATTATTATACTTAAACTTGCATACAATACAGTTAGAACTCCCTGGTGGGCGAAGAGCAGCAGCTCTTCTAGGACGCCCCTCGGAGTTGCACCTTGTGCTACATAAGTGGGTGCTGGTGTGCAGTCCGGGATCTTTTAGGAAGCACCTAATGAACTCATTAGAAAGATCTGCTCCTTTCTCTGTTGTTAGGTCAACAATTACATTTGTTGTGCCACCTTCCCCCACGTTGCAATTCTTTTATTAAGCTCTCAGCGCTGTAGGAAACACGTGTTCTTAGACAAACTGTATTCAAAATTGGCAAAGCCCATAAACACTGACTTTTTAAAACTACACAATAGGATATGGGGTGTAAGAGGAGTTACATGTGTTCCCGCTCCCACCACCACCTCCCCACTTGGTGGGTTTAGGGTGGACCACAAGACTCCCCAGAGGGCAATTTGAGGTGGAATAAATGGAGGCAGTGGTTTTTGTACTCTGGTTTTGTGTATGAATTATTGATTTGCCCTTTAGTTAACCCAGCTTTTCTCCGCCTGGTGTCCCACCCAGGACCATCTTTCTTCCCATCTGGACTGGTAGTGGCTGGGGCAAAGAATAGGTGGGTAAACACAGGGAGTTCCATTTGCTGCCCAAACTATCTATGGCCCAAAAAGGTTTGAACGGGCAACCAGGGGAAGGAAGTGGTTTGACGTTCATGGAATAAGAGGTTGTTCTAACAATAACTTGGAACAGCAGCTGAGGAAAGGCCAGGCACCCAGGAGACGATGCACACTAGGGCCAGAGGGGCTGGGTCTGTTTCTCACTTGGCTTGTCTCTTATGGCTACGGAACCCCCAGTGCGTTGTCTTGTTTTTCTGATGTTTCCTCATCTGTAAAATGGGAACAGTAATGGCTACCACTCAGCTGTACTAAGGATTAAATGAGATCACGCCGGCAAAGGTGCACTGTGCACCTTTCAGGGTGATCATTAGGACGAAGGAAGCCAAGAGGCTGAGAGGAGGACTGACTGCCTCTCTCCTCTACGGAAATGGAAAGACGGCATGAGCAGAGCTACTTTCCCCTCCAGTTCTGTCTTCTGGCAACCGGCTTAACCAAGGAGGAGCTCCATACTAGTCAGTCAACTGGATCTAAGCCCCACCTCCTGCTGCCAGTTTAATGAAGAGCCTACCAGAATCATCTTGCTTTCTCAAGGTCTTTATAAATGATCTGGGGGTGTCAGTAGGAGTGACTCACAATAGTGTTTTCAATTCCAGCAAGGAATTGCGCCCTTCAAAAATTACCACAAAGATTTACTAAGGCCAGGTGCATTCTCAGGTGACATTAGGATGAGGTACCGCAACAGTGGTCCTGAGTAATGCACCTGCTGCCATTGTGCACTGGTTCACTCTACCAGGAATGCATTCATCAGCTGCTACAGAATCACTAACACAGCCATGAGTTGCATCTGCAGCTGGGACTCAAACCTGTGTGGGCCTTTGACTGATCAGAAACGATTGCCCTAGGTGATGACAACTCCGAAAGAGAAAACTCTTTCCTCCTTTGCTGGCTCCTCTTACACTAACAATCAAGCAAGTGAATGTTACGCTCTCTCACCTCCCCAAGGATGGAGCCGCTGACTGCTCAACTGTAAGCTCCTCAGTGGTGAAGGCCAGGTTATGGCCTTCCTCCATAGATCCTGCAATTTCCCAAACATGGTAAGCTCTCAAATCAATTCTCACCACTCAGGACACACAAATATTCCTTTCTCACTCTTCACAACTTCTCTTCATCTAGTTCTGCTACATCTGAAACTATATTCAAATTATCTTTGTCTCATGAGCCACAACCAATTATTTACTTATCCATTCAGACATTTACTGAGTGTTTTTTTATGGGCCAAGAACTAGCTAGACACTCGTAGGGGAGAGAGGGAAAGATAAAAATGGCATCATCTCTATTTTCAGGAAGCTCATACTAAAAATATGCAGGGAGTACAGCTTTAGAAAGTTCACGGGTTTGTAGAATTGGGACTAGATAAGATTCTTGCCTTAAAGATCTTTACACTTTGGGCCAGTGAAGACCACCATGAATAATGTGAGGGCCCTGGGTATCGTATAACCTGGGCCAGACACTCCCCAGGCTGCCAGCCAATCAGCAGTACAGTCACAATGATGCCACTGGGCGTGCTCCTGCTCCTTTAGGTGGGCTGGCTTGGCTCTGTTTCGGGCTAAGCTGAAAAAAAAAAAACCCATGTTCCTTCTGTAACAAGTCTTGGCCAAGTTTCACAAGTCATTTCTTCAGACTGTGTGTATATGCATCTCATTATCTCATTTCATTTCTGGTCTCTTGCCCGAGCCCCAGGCTCAAATATAGCACTGCCTACTTGACATTGCCACTTGGAAATCAGTGTACTTGGCATCTCAGGTTTAACCTGCTTAACACCGAACTCGAGATATTCTTCCTACACTTCACCTATTCCTACCTCAGTAAATGGCACCATCTTAGACCTAGATGCCCAGGCCAAAAAATATCTAGGTGCTATCTTTGGTTCCTCTCTTTTCCTTTATCCCACATCCCATATATCAGCAAGTCCTGCTGACTCAACCTGCGCATAACCTGAATCCAACCACTTCCATCTTCTGTGCTGCCGTCCTCATCCAACCCCCCACCATCTGTCGCTTATAGTACCATAATCGGCTTCTCTCCAGCCTCTTTTTTTGTTATTGCCCCCTATAGCCCACTCACCACATACAACCAGAATAGTCTTTTAAAAAGTAAATTAGGGCACATCAGTCCCCTCACTAAACATCCCCAGTGACTTCTCACTGGCCTTATAATGAGGTCTAAAGCTAATCAGAACAGATAATATCCTACTGTGCCTGGCTCCGGACCTTCACCTTAGCAAACTCCACCTTACTTACTACCCTGCAGCCATTCTGGCTTTCTTTCTGTCCTCAAACATGTCAATCTGCCTCCTGCCTCTGGACATGTGCAGTGTCTGGAATGTCCTTCCCGCCAAGTGTACATGGCTGGCTCATCCTCTTGCCTTAGGTCTCACCTATGTGTCATCTCCTCAGAAAGGCCCCACTAATAACATTACCCTTTTATCACGCTACCCTATTTTCTATCGATCACAGTACTTATCTGTCTTACGTACACTTACCTGCTTATTGTGTCCTGAACTACAATGTAAAACTTCATGCGGGCAGGACTTCACCTGTTTAACACTGCTGTTTCCCTAGCACCGTTCCAGGCATATGGTAGGTGCTCAATAAATACGAGCTATATGAATGAATGAATCCCAGAGCTGCAGCGCCAACCTGGAGGAAAGCAAGAACATAGGCCTACTACTCACACACAGCTGCGTGAGCTGAGGACCCAAACCTGCTGCACAGGCTTACAGGGGCTCAGGAAGAACGCAAACGCTTAGCGGGGACCTGCAGAGTTAACTGGGGATTAGCTCAGTCAATACACAACACTGCGAAATAATGAGGTAATGCTACCGTGACAAGGAAGCAAAAAGCTGAGGCTGTCACCAGCTGCCACTGGTGGTGTGGGTCTCAACTCTCTCTGCACCTTGAATCACCTGGAGAGCTTTTAAAACTCTGAGGTCAAGACCCCACCCCTAGAGATTCTGCATTTGAAGTTTTTGTTTGTTTTTTGATTTGTAGAGACGGAGTCCCACTATGTTGCCCAGGAGGTCATCCTGGGCTCAAGCGATCCTCCCGCCTCGGCCTCTCAAAGAGTGCTGGAATTATAGGTGTGAACCGCCGCACCCGGCCCATCTGGAGTTTAAAAAAAGCTTCTTCGGCAATTCCAAGGTGCAGCCGGGGGAGAGCGCTGAATACAACGGGCGTCGCTATCAGTAGCTCCCTGGGGGAAAAAGGGGGTCCGCGCTCACGTGCTGCCTGGAAAGAGGGCGCGCGCATGCGCAGATCCCCCTGCTAGCGCGCTCGTTGGCCCCGCCCCTGCCTCGTCCTTTCCTCCCCTCGTCCCAGCCGCCTCCCCGCCGGTCACCTGGGTATTCTCTCCCTCCCGAAAGGCCTGTGCTACCCGCTGTCGCAGGTAAGCGCCCAAGTCCCGGCCCCGTTTGGTCTCGTCCACTGGCCATTCCTCACAGAGCTTAAGAAAACGCCGGTACCGGCTGGCCGCCATCTTGGGCCCCGCGTGTTCCCGCCTTAGCGGGAGGAGTCGGCGCCGACGAATGGCGCTTGCGCACTAAGCCTCGCCGCCTGCCTTAGGAGTGGAGCGGGAGGCCGGAGTGGGCATGCGCGACTTTGTAGGCGCACCGCTACTCTCCGTGTAGGGGCGCTGCTCGCCTTTCTCTGCAAGCCGAGCTAATTCAGTCTTCGTCCTCCTGGAACCGGCCCAGCTCCCAGGGGCAAGGCGGACGTGGAGTACCCCAGAGACAGCTTTGCGTCTCTTTTTCAATGACTGCACAAGCTTGAGACTAAAAAACCCTCCCCCGAGGCCTCCGCTGTTTTGCATAAACCAATATATTTGCATGTAAATACAGGTTACTGGATGAAAATATGTTTGAACGTTGTTCGTGGGTGCCCCCGTACCTGTCACTATCCCTTGGTACTCGGCCTCAATTCCTTCTTTAGTGCTTCCTAGTTCTTGTTCTTCTCTGCCCAGTCCCTGTTAGTATCCCTTCTGTTCCCCCCTTCCTACCCCTCATAAGCCAGACATTTTTCTCTGGGAGGCGCAGGTTTTCTAGCATGAGCAATGCCAACTGTGTTGATTCAGACTAGAAAAACTTTTTTTTTCTTTACAATTTATTATTTTGTATTGTGGTAAAATACACATAACAAAATTTACTATCTTAACCATTTTTTTTAGACAAGGTCTTGCTATGTGGCCCATGCTGGTCTCAAACTCCTGGGCTCAAGTGATCCTCCCACCTTGGCCTCCCAAAGTGCTGGGATTACAGGTGTGAGCCACCACACCTGGCCTTAACCTTTTATTTATTTATTTATTTATTTTGAGATGGAGTCTTGCTCTGTGGCTCTGTCGCCCAGGCTGGTGTTCAGTGAATGGCGCAACCTCCGCCTCCCGGGTTCAAGTGATTCTCCTGCCTCAGCCTCCCAAGTAGCTGGGACTACAGGCGCCCGCCATCATGCCTGGCTATGTTTTGTATTTTTAGTAGGGACAGGGTTTTACCATGTTGGCCAGGCTGATCTCGAACTCCTGACCTCAGGCGATCCACCTGCCTCGGCCTCCCAAAATGCTGGGATTACAGGCGTGAGCCACGGTGCCCAGCCAGCCATTTTTAAGTGTACAGTTCATGGGTATGAAATAGCACTGAATAATGTTGTGCAGCCATCGCACCATCTCCGTAACTCTTGTAAAACTGAAACTCCATACTCATTAAACAATAAATCCCCATTTCCCCCTCTCCCCCCAGCCCCTGGCAACGACCATTCTATTTTGTCTGTATGATTTTGACTACTCTAGGTACCTCATGTAAGTGGAATCCTGCAGTATTTTTGCAACTGGCTTATTTTGCTTAGCATAATATTTTCACTTCAAGGTTCATTCATTTTGTAGCATATGTCAGAATTTCCTTCCTTTTTAAGGCTGAGTAATATTCCGTTGCATGTATATACCACATTTTGTTTACACATCCATTGATAGACACTTAGGTTGCCTCCATGTTTTAGCTCTTGTGAATAATGCTGCTATGAACATGGATGTACAGACATCTCAAGACCTTGCTTTCAATTCTTTTGGTATATACCCAGAAGCGGAATTGCTGGATCATATGGTAATTCTATTTTAAGTTTTTTGAGGAACTGCCATACTGTCTTCCACAGCAGCTGCACCATTTTGCACTCCCACCACCGGTGCACAAGGGTTCCAATTTCTCCACATCCTTACCAACATTTGTTATTTTCTGGTTTTTTGATAGTAACCATCATAATGGGTGAGGGCTGTATCTCAATGTAGCTTTGACTTGCATTTGTCTAATGATTAGTGATATTGAGTATCTTTTTATGTGCTTATCAGCCATTTGTATATCTTCAGAGAAATATCTATTCAAGTCCTTTACCTGTTTTTAATCGGGTTTTTTTTTTGTTGTTGTTGTTATTGAGTTTTAGGAGTTCTCTGTATATTCCAGATATTACTCCCTTCACAGCTATGTGATTTCAGAATATTTTCTCCCATTAAAATGTGTTTGTTTTATCAAGTCTTCTCTTATATGTCTCTAGCTACATCACCATGTGGACTAATTTTTGTTCTCAAAAGACTGTCCCACCATCTGCATTTTTCATAAGAAAGCCTCAGCCCCCCGTATATCTCCACTATCCTGTATTTAGCCAAGACCATCCAATGTGTACAAAACTTTGCTTCCTCCAAACCTTTTCCTTCTTGCCTTACCTACATTTTAAAGGTGAATCTAGGAGAGTCCTGCCTTCAAGAAGTTGATGGCCAAGTCTGGGAATGTGTACATAACCAGGACACAAAGTTACAGATGACGAGAGCTTTAACTGAAGTGTTAGACAATGCTAGAGAGTTTGGAGAAACAGATGTCTGCTGTTCAGGGGAGAGTGGGAGAAGATCAAGGATGGCTCCAAGAACAGCCAGAGGCAGGCCTGGGGTGGCAATGGGAAAGAGAGGGAGGAGTTTAATTTGAGGAAAGATCAATGGGTGATTTTAACTGGAATGGCTTTAACTGTTCCGAAGATGTTAGGAGTCAAGACCATTAAAGGAAAACCTCTGGGGACCAGAATGTGTGATGCCCGCTGAGGTAAGGAGAGTTCAGGGGGAGTGGAAAATGAGGCGCCCAAGGGCACCTTCTCCAGAAAGCTCCCCTGATTAACCCCACCAGGTTCCCAGCCCAGCAGTCCCTCCTTGCTCCATCCTCACCTCATAGCCATGTAGTTTTGATGACACCCCTAAGGCACAAAGGGCAAGGATTGTATCTATTTACTTACCAAGGTCCAGGCACCTAGGGCTGTGCTGGGTGCCCCGAGGCGCTGTCATAGCCGTGGCTTTGAAGAGCACCTGACTGGTCCACATCTGTCCCAGGAGGCAGAGCCAAGGTCCCTCTGTCTTAGGCAACCAAAAAGTAACATTAGGTGGCAGCAAATGGTTTTCATGCTGCTTGAGGTACAAGGACAATGAGAGGTTGAGAAGAATGCTGGGCTCCAGAGGAAGCGCAAACAGATGCTTCCTCCTAAGGTGCTCCCTTCCCCTGTACCCTAGCTTCTCCGTCAGGCTGTGGTTGTCCCTGGTTCTGACTGCCCTGCCCACCTCTCTTCCTCCATATGGAGGTTGTTTGGCATGGTAGTTAAGTAGTAGGGTTATGGAGTCTGAGAGACCTGTTTGGAATGTAGGCTTGCTCATTCATTCATTCATTCATTCATTCATTCATTCACTTACTCACTGATCTATAGCCCTGATCACTCTATCAGTATAATTTTCTGGGGCCCAGTGCAAAATGAAAATGTAAAGCCCTTTGTTAAAAAATTGTTAAGGCCGGGCGTGGTGGCTTGTGCCTATAATCACAGCTACTTGGAGGCGGGAGGATCACTTGAGCCCAGGAGTTCGAGACCAGCCTGGGCCACATAGCGAGACCCGCATCTCCCCAAAAATTTAAAAAATTAGCTGAATGTGGTGGTGCACACCTATAGTCTTAGCTGTGTGGGAGGATGGCTTGACTGCTTTGAACCTAGGAGTCAGAGGCTGTAGTGAGCTGTGATTACACCACTGCACTCTAGCCTGGGTGACAGAGTGAGACCTTGTCTCTAAAAAAATTGTTAAGAATTTCAAGACAATAA
The DNA here is from genome assembly GCF_000001405.40 of Homo sapiens. Classification (NCBI taxonomy): domain Eukaryota; kingdom Metazoa; phylum Chordata; class Mammalia; order Primates; family Hominidae; genus Homo; species Homo sapiens. Next base: position 33,715,316 of record NC_000006.12, read on the forward strand.
CAGCAGAGCATTAAAGCAAATGTAGCCCCTTCTGAGTGCAGGGCCCTGGGCGACTGTGCAGGCCACACACCCATGAAGCTGGCTCTGAGTTCCTGTCATGTGGTAGACAAGACAGGTGAGGGCCCTGCCCCTATGAGGACAGACAGCAACCAAGCAAACATATAATAATAATAGTGCTCTATATGTATTAGCTCATTTGCTGAATGAACAAGATAATTTCAGATGTGATAAGTGCGAAGGAGAGATCAAGGCAGAGTGCTGGGTCCACAGTGATTGGGGCAGGGGAGGGGTCAGTGGTCTGGAGGCCATCCCTGAGCAGCTTGTGAGTCACCTGAGGGGGCAGCCACGGGAAGATGGGCATGAGAGGCTTCCAGGAACAGGGCAGCAAAGGCAAAGGTCTTCAGAGCAGCCAACCCCAGGCGGGTTATTTAATTGCTGTAAGCTTCAGTTTCTTCATCTTAAAATGAGAACTATGATGATAAATTAACACCGAGTATTTACTATGTGCCAGCACAATTTTTTTTATTTTAATTTTTTATTTTTATTTTTTCTTTTTTAGAGACAGGGTCTCACTCTGTCACCCAGGCTGGAGTGTAGGAGCACAATCATAGCTCACTGCAGCCTCGAATTCCTGGGCTCAAGCGATCTTCCTGCTTCAGCCTCAGCCTCCTGAGTAGCTGGGACTGCAGGTGGCCACCACGATGCCCAGTTAATTGTTTTATTTTTTGTGGAGATGGGGTCTCGCTATGTTGCCCAGGCTGATCTCGAATCCTGGACTCAAGTAATCCTCTGGGCTTGGCCTCCCAAAGTGTTGGGATTATAGGCATGAGCCACTGTGCCCAGCCCAGGCACAATTCTAAATGCCTTACATGTATGGACTCATTTAGTCCTCACAATGGCTCTCAGATTTATGTACTACTGTTATCCTGCCATTTTTACAGAAACTGAGGAAACTGAGGCACAGAGAGGATAAGGTCACCAGCTGGTAAGTGGCAGAGCCAGGACTTGAGCCCAGGCTGGGTGGCTCAGAGCCGTGCTCTTGGCCACTCCCTCAGGCACCTCTTCAGGCCCCCTTGCAGCATTATCATCGTAAACCATGTGCGTGGTGTGTTTATACACCTGGTGTAGCCTTGGCCAGTGCCAGCACAAAGTAAGCCAACACATCGCAGTGGCTCTTATTGATCATTTTCTAGGCCCTTTTCCTTTCCCTGTGCCTGAAGATGGTTTCAGCCAGTCTGGACTGACCCGCTTGTCAATCACCCAGCGCCATTCCTAGCACATTAATAGGCACTGCCTGGAATGCAGCTGGGTGGTGCCAGCACCTTGGGGAGTTGATGACCATTTTAACACCTACCTGCCGGCTGTCACTCATTCCACACTGAATGCCTCATTGAAAACCCCCACCAGGGCCTCACCTCCCAAGTCATTTGGAATGGGTATTTGGGCTTTATGGAACGCTGATTGCTCTTTATAGAAACTAGGCACCATCAGGGGGAGGAGAGAGGAGGGAGGGAGCACTTCTTCGGTTTTTCAAGTTATAATGATCCCAGTAATCGAGACACCGAATTGCACATTTAAATCGCTTGCAAGTAAAAAATATCGTTTTGTAATGCTGGTGTTAATAATGTAAACATTAAAAAGGAATTAAATACTTAGCTTCATTGTGGAGCACAACTGCGTGAGTTTTCTTCTTTCACCTTATTCAACTGGAGGAAACGATTGGCTGCAATACCCAGATATGTTACCCAAAAAGTGGGTCTGGACTTGCATCAGAATAGTGAGTCATTTCATGCCTCCTGTTAAAGGTAGCTGGAAGGGTCACTCTGGTAATAGACTGCTGCCTTATTCTGGAGGTGAGCTTTTTTTAAAGACATGTAAGTGTTTGAGGTGTGCTGGGATAGGCTCAATGGGGACCTGAAGTGCAGCCGAATATATCCAAAGCCCCTCAGTTCTGCTGAGATGCCTGTCATCTGCCCCAGGGATCTGCTGCCTCTCTGCATCTGTTCCGTAGTAGATGTCACCTGAGAGCAGGTTTCCTGACCCTCATCTAAAGTAGCAGCCTCTTCTCTCTTGTTTGCTTTTGCCTCAAAGCACTGGTCACTGTTTGACAGCAGGGCCTGGTACCCACTCATCTGTAAATATTTGTTGAGTAAAAGAATCTGAAGAGAATGAACGACCTGAGAATATAAGCCCAGGTCATCTGGCACCCCCACCACCCTGTCCCCAGCCTCAGCCCTTCCCCTTTAAGTTGCCCATCTTCGAGGGCTGGGGGAGAAAGGCTAAGGGAAATTGGGAGCAGGTAGATTTCCAGGTTTTGCTCTGGGATTTTTTTTTTTTTTTTTTTTTTTTTAAGACAGAGTCTCACTCTTTCACCCAGGCTGGAGTGCAGTGGCGTGATCTCAGCTCACTGCAGTCTCCGTCTCCTGGGTTCAAGCTGTTCTCCTGCCTCAGCCGCCTGAGTAGCTGGGACTACAGGCGTGCATCACCATGCCGGCCAGTTTTTTTATTTTTAGTAGAGACGGGGTTTCACCATGTTGTCCAGGCTGGTCTTGAACTCCTGACCTCAAGTGATCCACCCACCTCGGCCTTCCAAAGTGCCGAGATTACAGATGTAAGCCACCGCGCCTGTCTGCTCTGGGATTGACTCTCAAACTTTCTGTCCCATTTCAGGGCAGTCTAGTAGTGGAAGGGAGAAGTTCTGAGGATGCATAATAAAAATGGCCCGAGCCTGGCTGCAAGTCAGCCTGCCTGGCTGGCGCTCAACTCAGTGTTGTCCCAGGCTGCTTTTCCCCCTCCCTCCCTCCCCTCTAAATCTTGGCACCGCACACTTTCATTTTAGTTCTTTTCCTCATCTTCTGTTTTATGTTTTTGGCCACAGAGGATGCAGATTTAAATCAAAAGTCAGCTTAGATCATTTTGAAGAGCTGCTGATGAGTGGTCTTGCCTTGCCATTTGTTTTATTAGACTGCATCCTGCCCTTCCCTGCGTGGTTTAAAAGCTCTGTGCAGCTGGGAAGAGTGATGGGGCTGCCAGGGTGCTGCCCAGAGGCCCAGGGCTTCCTGATGACATTGCATTATGGAAAAGCTGTAATAACATTCCACTCTTTAGCCTCCTCTTTAATCACACAGGGGACACTGGAGGGATGGGGTGGCGGTGGGGGATGAATATCTCCCAGGCTGCCCTGAGCCCCTGCTCCACAGAGATGGGAAGGATCCATGTTTGCTCTTCCACATCTCCTATCTGGAGGACCAAGTTAGAGTTCCCGTGGGACCGAAGAGGAAACTGAGGTAGGGGAGATGCTTAGGAGATCTACCAGCACTCGGAGCACACTAACCGTATGAGGACATGGGCAGAGGAAGGATCTAGGTCAGAACCTGCAGCCCTGGCACTGCCAGGCCCCTGCCATCCCCTCACGCTCTCCACTTGCTCTGTATGTCTTTGTTTCTCCTTAGGTCAGGTATCAACTTGACTTGAGGTTTATGGAGAAAGAGGTTCTCATCAAACCTATTTCCTCTTTTTAGGCACACAGTTAATTATATGACACATCAGACCCCCTGGCATCTGGGTGGGGCCACATGGCTAGTTCTTGCCCATGGGAGGTAGATGTGCCTTCTCCCTGCTGTCTGACTTTTACCCATCAACAGCAGCCTTGTAGATTGTGTTTGAAGAGGGTGGTGTCACATGATGGAAAGAACCTGGGTTCCTGAATGACTGTGTGGAGCAGGGGGCTCTCCGCTAACCACATTGGATTGTAACATTATGCTGCTGATACTTGGGGATTGTTTGTTAGCAGTTAGCCTAACTCCAACTAATACCTGTGTATTACTAATTCAGTTATTCAATTAGTAATTACTAATACCTGTGTACCTCGATTCAAAAAAGAAGAGGGCTCTTCCCTTACCCAGTTGGGTAAGGGAAGCCAGCCGAGAGGCTCTTACAGTCTTCCAGACAAGAGGGAGCCGTAGAGGTAGAAGTTTCAGAGGTCCTTTTTAGTTTTCATGTTCAGGGGTTTCTCCATTTCCATCTTAATCTCTCAGTGCCCAAGTATATCAACCCCTTGTGGCCACTCCAAACCGTTACTTGCCATTCCCTGGGCAGAATGCTCGATTCCCCTTTCCCATACTTGTTGATACTTTTCCTGGAACACCTGCCCCTCTTCATCACGTTTCAGACTTGACTCTCTTTCAAGTTGCAGCTCAAACACCACCTCCGCAATCACCCCATGAGGCGGTGAGCCCTCGCTGCCGCTCCTCTCTGGGTAGCACTGCACAGCTGAGCAGATGGTCCTCATCCCCTCTTGAAGCACCCGTGAGATTTTCATAAGGAGGTCTGACTCCTCTGTTAAATTATGAGGTTCCTAGCAATAACGATATGATCCTCACGCTTCCTTGTTTCCTGTATAGGCCTTAACACTGTGTTGTTTGTACTGGGCACTCAAGAAGGAAGGGAGGGAGTCAGGGAGGGAGGGAGGGAGGGAGGACTGATTAATGAAATCACAAACAAATGAATGAGCTACTTAGCCAGATTTTCAAGGGCTTAGCACTGTGTTGTATGTACCAGACACTCAGTAAATACTTGGTGAGAAGGAAGGAGGGAGGGAGGGAAGGCAGGAAGGAAAGAAGGAAAGAAGGACAGAATAATGACATCACAAATGAACGATCTACTTGACTAGATTTTCAAGTGTTTCCACCATCTGGGCTCATTCCATTTCTCTTCTACTACTTCCAACCACAAAACCCCCATTCCAAATGGGTTGTTCTGTCTACAGACTCATGGGCATGCTGGACTTTTCCTTTCCCCCACTCTCCACCCGCCCTCCCCTCACCCATCGCCCAGCCCTTCTCCACTCCTGTCACCCTTCAGGGTTCAGATGGAGCTCCACCTCCGTCAACAGTGTTAGTGATGCCCCTGTTCTGAACGAACATCTTCAACTGTAAATGATAGGGTTGATCGTCTGCCCCACACAGGTGATCCTCTGTCTCACTTGGTCCTGTCTTGCATGGTTTGTGTCAGTTCATGTGTGTTATTCTTGCCTCCCTATCTAGAATACAGGCTCCCCAAGAGCTGCATCTTCTCCAGCATGAGCCGGGAGATGAGCAAGGAATAGCTGCTCAGTGTACTCTTGCTGACTGCCAGATTATTTAGGGCTCCCTCACTCTTTTTGCCATTTTCAAGTAAACACAGATTGGAGACCAAAAACATACACACCCCACCATCTCTTCTTTCCATGCCTTTCTCCTCTCCTGCTTCCCAGATTGGAGCAACTGGGTGGGCTCATTCAGTTTCTAAATTCATTGAGTTTCTGAATCTGCAGAGTCATGCGCAAATTTTCAGATCACAGCAACCCCTCGGAGTCTGTTAGTCCAGTAAGAATGCGCTAAAACCAGTAGACAACTTTGTTCCCCCAACTTTTTTTTTTTTAAACAACAAATTACTTTTTTTAGGGACATATTTAGGAGGAGATGGGAACATGGGCTGGGCCTCAAATGATTTGGAGGAAGAAGAAGGCCTCATACATGAGGGGTGCCATGGGGTAAAGGAATAGCTGAGAGAGGGGGCATCACCTGGGCAAGAATTGGGACCCCAGCCACAGAGAATAGTTGTGACACAGCTAATGACCTGGGTGGGCCAGCCCCCAAAGACTTGGATTCCAGCTGATCATCTCTGTGCCATCCTCGGGCAAGTCCCCTCACACTGAGAGCTGAGAACAGGTGGAGAAATGAGAAGCTAAGCAGGGGGTTTGGACTTGGTTGATGTGGTTCCAGATTCTCAAACAAGGAACTGGCCTGGAAAAGGCAGTATTTAGGGCTCTGTTTTGTCATTAGCAAATATTTAGTTTTAGGCTGACTCCCTTTTGTCGCCCAACATGCTCTGACTCAACTCTCCCACCTTGGGCACACAGCATGCAAATGAATCACATCATTGCCTTGGCCAAACATAATTTGGGAAGTGAACCTGCTTAGAAACCCATAGAGTATGTTCTAAAATTAAACAAAAGGTTTTGTTTTGTTTTTTTTGTTTTTGTTTTTTTAATTATCCAGTCCATTCTTTCTTTTTATTAGTGTGGATTTTGGAGTGTGGATAGTAATTATCCATGAGAATAAAAAAATTACTTAATTGTACATTGTATGAGATTCAAATAAAAGGACCACTTCTCAGGTCTGGTGCCTCCCTTGCAGATACATGCAAATATTTTATTAGCCACCATTTCCACCCGAGTTCCCTGAAGGATTGTAGGAAATCAGTGAACTGTTCTTGTGGTATATGCTAGTCGCTCATAAATTGGAACTACCACACAGTGTGATCAGAATAAACAAATGGAAAGGGTAATAAGGCACACCAATAATCACTGGTGACCTCAGCAATTTTATTAACAAATTTATTTCCCTAATTGGGTAACGTATCTCAGTGCTTGACTCAAGGGCATCGTAATAGGTTTCCATACTGCAGAAGAAGGAATTAATTAGAACTGTTTGTTCTTATTCCATATTTACACTTGTCCACCAGTCTTGTAAACATTGCCCCTGGTTTCCTCCGTCCTCCAGGTTCTTCTGACTCCCCAACCCACCCCCAAAATAAATAAATAGAAAGCAGAGAGTAGAGCAGGACGTCAGTGGTCCCTTTTTATGTGCGTTCACCCCCACTGCAAGCCGCGTCTCATGGTCAGAATGTGGCAGAATGGGGAACTCCAAAGTCTGCTAAGAGATTCCTCATTTTAAGAGATTTTGGGGGAAAAAAAGGAAAAAAAAGCCTGTAAAGGGACCCTCCTTTCCACAGGCAAAAATGGAGAATCTGGGGTCTTGCTTTGCCAGAGCTCATGCCTGGGCTTGGCTTTGTCCACTTAGAAGCTGGGTGCAGAGCAGATGAGATGGGTAGATCTCTTCTGCTTCATCCTGTGTCACCTAAAACTCCGCTTAGGAAGATAAGAGGCATTCATGAGCTCTGCCTGCCCTTGGAGCGAGCAGTCCATACAAGGAGAAAAACCATGAGCTCATGAACTCACTCTTCAAGGCTGCTTCAAGTCAAGTTTTCTGCCTCACAGCTTGTGCGGACTGCAGCATGGCAACGAGTAAACATTTTTAGATGCAAATATTCCAGAATGTCAGCAATGCTGGCCTCTAACTTGGGCTGCCCCCTCCAGTGTACTCCAGAAGGTGCCACTTTATCCTGGCTGTCTGTTCTCCGATGAGCAGCATTAGAGCATAATGCCAGGGGATGTGGAATCACCTCCAGAGCTGATTTGTTCAGCAGCTGTTAATATAGTCTGCCATATATAGAGATGGTTTTTGAAGGTAGATAGGACTATTATGAAGACATCTAAGGGGTGTCTGGACTACCCTAGCAACCAACAGGTCTCTATTTGAGATCTATAGCCCAGAAGAATCCAGATAAGCCCAGGAAGTTTCATTCTCCCTCTTGGATATCCTGCAGGATCCTGATGAGGTTTTCCAGGCCAAAAATATAGCCAGGGTCTGGTCCATCGTAGGTGGTGTGCTCATTCCAGTAGCCCTTGTATGTGGTATGAGCAAAGTCAATCATGCGGATGTCAACCTTGGTGAGACCACCGGGAGAGCTACCGTGGGCTGCCTGGGGAGCCTCGTGAGGATGCGGGCTGCCTGGGGCTCTTTCTGGTGGTTCCTGCCCATCATAGATGACAAGGAGAGAGCTGGAATAGAAGCGGTATGAACTCTGGCTCCTAATGACAGAGAGGAGGGCCCGGAGCTGGTGCAGGATGGGCTCCAGGAGCTCCCTCCGGAGGTGGCTTCCATTATGTAGGAACTGATAGAGGGCTTGTCTGAACCCCTCCACTGAGAGTTTTCTTCCATAGTACTTGTCTTTGCAGAGAAAGTACTTCTTATCTGTTTGATAAACCTTACATTAAAAAGAATAAAGAAAATGTGAAGATTGGAAACTTAAACAAATTGTATCTGGTACGGTTGCAGCATCATAAGCTGGGATAATATATGAACAGATTTTTAGGAGATGTAGGGCAAGAGTGACTGAAATGAGCAGAAGATGATCTTCCATCAAGTGCCAGAGTAGCTTTTACATTTTAAAATGCTTTCTGTGCAAGTCTTTAATAGTAATCCAAGGTCTAAAGATCCTTCACCCCACAGAGGTGACCCTCCACCCACGAGGAAAACGTTTGGATCTTCTTTCTTGTGAATTTCCAATGTCAACCTCCAAATCATGATTTAAGCCCTGGCTCCTGGCCCTCTTCAATTCAAATATTAGCAAACCCAAGCTAGAAAGCTTTAATAGGAATCTGAAATCACAGCCAATGGCCTTGGAAAGCCAACTAGATTAAAATTTCCTCAGCAAAGTTTATAAAGTCCTTTCTCTGCAGATTCCAAGGCAACAGTAATGCCTCTTGAAGTGGAGTGGGGTGAATTGTTTGAAGATAAAAAGACAGGCTAGGTCAGGTGTGGACAGGGTTTCTAGGCAGCCAGTGCAGTTGAGGGGAGCCTGGTGGAGGAGGGAGGTTCATGGCAGCTCTGTGGGGCTGGTGGCTCCTCTCCTTGGCACCATCTCTCCTCCCCTCCCCTGTTGTGTCTTGGCCACCAGAAGGGAGCAGATGGAAGAGAGATACTGATGGGGGACAGTGGCAGCAACCCCCATTTCATTCAGATGGCACAGGCAGCAGCTGAGGCTGAACTAAGGCCAGCAGTGGGCATGGCCGGGGGGGGGTGGCACCCCTCTGCCTGGCATACCTAGAAGGGGCAGCCTGTGCCTGGCCAAGACAGTTTCTCAGGTCTTTCCTGCCTTCAGATTACATGATATGTTCATAGAAAACCAGTGTTGAAAAAAATCGGAAAGATATGATAGCCTTAGTGTTGCCTTTGGAGGGCTGCAGATTGGCTGCTAAATCAGCCGTCAAAAATACCTGACAGGCATCACTTTCTAAATAAATCAGATCAATTTCAGAAGATTTGAGGTCCAGAGAGAGATTCCATTTACACCACAAATCATCACACTCCATTCTCTTGAGGACTACATTCCCGGCTTTCCAAAGGACATCTGTGCAACAAATTTATAGACTCAACTTCCAGCTTCAAGGGGTGGCGGTTTCAATTAAGAAAAGCTATAACGTTTACCGTCAAATCAGTGTCTGGTTTTGCTTTGAGCAGACAGACTATAAGAGGGAACGAGTAGAGGAAGTTTATTTTATCCTGTTCTCCTGCAGCCCCTGTCATAAGCCACATCAGAGCCCCAAAAAGGAGGCGTGGAGTCTGAGTTATAGAAAATAACCATTCCTTTGCAGGGTTAGCAGGTTATGAGCTTCCCACTTTATTAACCAGAACTGGTAGCAAAAAGGAGCAGAAAAGGTGGATTAAGAAGGGGAAATGGCTAATAGAAATTTAAAGAGCTGACTGCCATACAGCATCTAAGAAGGAGAGAATTCAGCTTTATCATTCAAGAGAAGGAGGACTCAGGAAGCCACGGGGTGCACCAAGAAGCCCTTTCTCTTAGTCCTTACCCCAGCCCAGCCTCACACACTGCATCAAAGGTCTGCTCACAACATGAGCAGGAGCCACATGGCCACTGTGGAAAGTTTCGGCTGCCAAAGATTGTGAGACAAAGTTCAAATGTGATGGTTTTTGACATCACTATTCTGAAGGGTGCTTTTGGAAAGATCCAGTGTGGGCCGGGCGCAGTGGCTCACACCTGTAGTCCCAGCACTTTGGGAGGCCAAGGCGGGCAGATCACGAGGTCAGGAGATCGAGACCACGGTGAAACCCCATCTCTACTGAAAACACAAAAAATTAGCCAGGCGTGGGGGTGGGCACCTGTAGTCCCAGCTACTCGGGAGGCTGAGGCAGGAGAATGGCATGAACCCGGGAGGCGGAGGTTGCAGTGAGCTGAGATTGTGCCACTGCACTCCAGCCTGGGCGACAGAGCAAGACTCCGTCTCAAAAAAAAAAAAAAAAAATAGAAAAAAGAAAATTTCCAGTGTGTCATAGACCAGGGTATGCATTTCCTTGTTGGAGGCTCCTGGCCTCCTCTGTGGCTCCTCCAGAGTGAAGGGCTCTGCAGGGGGGCAGTGGCATCTGGATGGGAGATATCCTTGCCCCACCGTGGACGTGCCGGGATGTCCCCCCCTGTGGTGGGTCCCCTGCGACCTACCTGCATGCCGCAGATGCGCACACCCAGGCAGGCTGAGGTGCTCTGCGCACACTTCCTCATGTGGCGGGCCTTCTTCTCCTCCGATGCATCATCGCCGTGCTGCCGGGTCCCCATCTTCAGATCCAGGACACAGGGATGCGTGTACTGTGACACTACATTTTCCAGCAACAAGAACCCTAGTCACACTAAGTTAAGGAAGGCTCTGAGGACTTCAGAACTGCTGCTCCGCCAGAGGTCGTTTGCATGCCTCAGAAGCTGCCTGGAAATTCCCTATTCTGGGCACCATTCTTCACTCCCATTGCCTTCCTTACAGACAAGCTCATCCTTGCTATTAAGAATTTGAAGTATTAGCTTTGCAGGCTGCTTTAATAAGTCCATTTATTTAGGGGGAGTTTATGAGTATGTGAGCTTTTTTTTCCTTTTACATTTTGCTCCGAGGTTGAAATTTAAACGCAAGTGTGAAATCCCTAGCAGGCCATGCCCAATTTACATTTTACGGCAGAAAATCATAAGGCTAAAACCTTCAGTCCTGCTGAATGGACCAATACCTTTTGGGAGAAGTGGGTTGATGTTAGCTTTGGAGATGAGTTGCAGGAATATTAATTTCAGTGGAGTAATTATCCTGCAAAAGCTTCTTAGGGATTAGGATTGCAGATGTGTCTTGGTAAATACTATGAAACCAGCCACCCATTTGCAGGAAGGAGCAGAGCAGTGGTGATGAAGGGGTATTTCAAACCTAAATTTTCTTCCTGAAAACTCTGTAGGGGAGGGGGACTTACCTCCTCCCATAGTCTACCCCATGGGTGCTCCACTAAGGGAGGAGCCACACTTCCCTCTCACTGTGTGGGCCCCATGGGAAGACGCCTGCAGGGAGAATTTGGAGGGATGGAAGGGAGGTTGGGGCTGGGGGCCCATCCAGCTTTCTGAGCCCCCTGCTGCCCCCACGCAACATGGCATTCCTTATTCCTGTCTAACCACAGACATGCCCATCCCAACCCATCTTTACTGCCAAGTAGCAAAGACACAGCCAGGGCCCCCCCAGGGCACTGCGCTCAGTATAATTCCATCTGCCTTCCCCATACTGTCTAGCTGTTCTTTTGGAGGCACCTGATTTCTTCTAGGACCCGGGTTTGAGGGCTTGTGCCTTCCAGCTATCCCTCACATCTGTCTCTCCCTGCTACCCTCCATTGGCCCCGTGTTTGTGTGTGTTTCCTCTACCCACCTCTGCCCCTCTGTGTCTCTCTGTCGCCCCGCCCTTGGGACCACATGTGAGGGGGATGGCAAGGATACGATGCCGCTTGTTCTCTGGGTACTCGGAGCACAGGCGGGTCAGGTGGGCCTGGTGGCATTGCAGGCCCCACGGGTTGAAGCTCTTCCTCTCAACCTGGTTTCCGTTGGTGTCTTCCACCAGCGAGAAGGCTGGAGTGTTGAGGTGGGGCTCGGACCTCAGAAGAGCCTTGGCCGGGCTGCGGCGGAGTGGAGCACAGGACGGTCAGAGCAGAGGTCTGGGGAAGGGCGCCGCTGCCTGTGGCTGACTGGGCTCTCTGAGATGGGCTCTGAAAGGGTGGTCCCAGCTGCTCTCCAGGGCAGCCCTCACCAGGCTGGGGCACCCTCCCTGCCCAACTCCGGTTCTAGGGCCAGATTTCACCACACTGCAGCCCTCAAGGGGCTTCTCCAAACCCTGGAGAACTTATTAGAACATGTTGCCCCCTTAGAGGGCTGAGGTGATTTAAACTCACTTGTAAGTGATCTGGATTATTAATGGCCTTATTATTGAGGCGACACACTAAGGGGGCAGTGGCCCTATCCGGAATCACAAGCCTGGGGTTGGACTCTGACAATCCAGCAGGCAGGCCGTCACCTCCCTGAGACCTCAGAAGGGCACAGGAGTGGGGTGGGAGCTGTGGTGAGCGTGGACAGCGGCCGGCCCTCTTCTCCTGCCCTCTTGGCATCTTGGCGTCACCATCTGTGAAATGGAGATAATGCTCCTGCTTCCTGACTCCAAGCCCAGAGGCTTAATGAGATCTGCAGCACTCCTTGGGAAGGGAGATATTTTCATTGTATTAGCTCCCTTTTGTTTCCCATAAATGTTTTAAAAAGCCGTGGGGAGCCTTTTCACCTGAGAAAGGTCAGCTGACATTGTCAAAGGTTTTTGATAGGGACCTCAGGCACCTGAGCCTCCTGCATCTCCAGGGACCCTCTGAGCACCACATTGACCTCCCTCCTGGCCCCTTCCAACTGCTAGGGAAAGAGGTGATTTCTGAGAGCAATTAGCCACACTTTTCCTCTACATACACTATTCTAGGGTTTCTGTTTTGTGTACTTCCTCCCCAGAGACACTTCATGGTCTCAGTGAAACAGATATTTAATTAAACAAATATGTACTGAATACCTACTCAGTAGACAACTCTGCCTGTGCATCAACTTCTGGGATAAAATGCATCGTAATCCTCCCTTCTAGGAGTGACATAAAGAAAATCCATTCCTTTCTTTGGTCACATTGGTTATTCTAGACAGAGCATTCATCTGAATTTCTTTTTCTCAGCACCAGCCTTAATAGGGAGTGGTTGGCCTTGGGCACAGGTGGGAGCAGTGCCGGTCCCTGCCGAGGGACAGGGTTTCTGTCATCCTGCCCAGTGCCCTCACCTCTCCTTGGGTGAGCGTGCCAGCTGGGCATGCGGCCACTGGGCAAGGGTGCAGTCGCTGCCATTGCTGCCGGTGGTCTGCTGGAGCGTCTGCCATATGGCCACCGCCGCCGACTCTGTGGAGACCTTGAAGGGCTCCTGGCTCTCCTTCACTGGGTTGGCAACCAAGCTGAGATGGCCTGTGCTGTCTTTCCAGAGGTGCACTGTGACGGTACCTGCAAACACACAGGGAAGGGGAGGGGAGGAGCCAGTTGAGAGAGCCTCCACACGGACATGCAGGAGTGATGACGAGTTGGGAATTTAGCTTAATGGCCCTGGTCCACCTCCTCCGTTCCCCAGCTCCTCTCTCAAGGAAGAGCTATGGGACTGGCCTGGTTTTGCCTGAACCGATCCTGTCCCAGAATGAGCCCTGGAGCTTGGAGAAAATAGCCTTGGGCTGATCTTGGCACATCCTCTGCTTTATCGCACTTCCCTGCCTCTTTGCGCTTTCAACAAAGTCAACTCCGCACATTTTGTCCTTGCGTTCCAGTTCCTCTGTGCGCAGTCACACCTCCCAGTCACACCACAGCCAACCCAGCTCTGCCTGACCTGGGGGCATTGGAGCTGGTCCTCTGCGAAGGGGCCGCCCACCTCAGAGTGCCAGTGAGGGAAGTTGGGCCCATCCCATCCCTCCTCCGTGCCCTCTGCCTCCTGAGCACCCTTCTTCTCCCTCCCACGTGTCTTTATCGGACCTGCTTCTTCCAGGAAGGCTTCCTCTCACAGCCTTCCAGGGCTCAGGGCTCCCCTTTGCCCCTTCACTTGCCCTCCCCCGTCTGTCTGCCCTTGAGCTGATGGCCTGCCATTTCCTCTGGTTAGATGCATCCACACATGAAGATTATTGGTGGAACATGGTTCTTTGATGAAACAAGCCTTGTGAGATTTCCCCAACTGTGGTACATCCTACCATCGGTGTTGGTCATTGAGGCACAAAAAAACACTGGTTGTGAAAGTGAAGAGTATCTGAAACGCCCTTACCCTACATACTAAGGGGTGTTCTCCTGGACATTGGTCGGGCTTGAGTAATTAGCTGTGGCAGGCACATTAGCAGCTCTGTAGCCACCCTTTAGCGTCCTTCCTCTGGTGGTGGCAGAACCCAGGCCTTCCTCCGTGGAGCTTGGCCTCCAGTGGTGCCTGGCCTCGCCAGAGTCTTGGTAGTAGCACAGGAGATGGCCACCCTTGTGGTTTTGGGAGAAGTGGAGGTGAGAATACATGTCCTCTCTCCTAATGCGCTCACCCTCTCTGTGCCTGCCCTCAGCAGCCCACTCTGCACCCCCTCTGTCCTGCTTTATGCTGAAGGAGTGACCTGATGGAGTATACCAGTGGCTCCCTTGCCCTCTAGTTTCCCAGTGGATTTGCCCAGTGGGGGGCACTGGCAGGAGATGGGAGGGTGGGAGGAGAAAGGATGGGCGTTTATTCCACTGGTTCCCACCCCTCTTCACCATGTTCATACCCTGCTGTGTTCCTCTGTGGCCCTCCTGGCCTGGGGTGGTGACAGCTTTCCAGTGTTGCTGGTCCCTGGGTCCCCCCAGTCCCTGGTTGTACCCCTGAATCCTGCATATATTTCTGCAAACAGTTCCTTTTTTCTTTCTTTCTTTCTTTTTTTTTTTGAGATGGAGTCTCGCTCTGTTGCCCAGGCTGGAGTGCAGTGGCGCAATCTCGGCTCACTGCAACCTCCGCCTCCCGGGTTCAAGCAGTTCTCTTGCCTCAGCCTTCCGAGTAGCTTGGATTACAGGTGCCCGCCACTGCACCCGGCTAATTTTTGTATTTTTAGTAGAGACGGGGTTTCATCATCTTGGCTAGGCTGGTGTCGAACTCCTGACCTTGTGATCCACCCACCCTGGCCTCCCAAAGTGCTGGGATTGCAGGTGTGAGCCACCGTGCCCTGCCAAACAGTTCCTTTTTAAGGTTGTCTTCATTTAATCTCCTTTGAGTGTGCCTTTTGTTTTCTGCTGGGCCCTGACCGAAAGAGGGTAGGCCGCATGTTTTTATGTCCTTCAAGCTGTTTATTTCTCCCCCCAGCCACGTGGTCACCTTCTCAGAGTAAGTGGCAATTTCTGCTGAGCCAGCCGTGAAGGCGGCTCATCTCTCGGCTTGCATGCCTGCCGGGCCCTCCTGGGCTGGTCAGCGTGGACACTCGTTATCAGGGCTGCTCTATAATTTAGCAAGTCACTCTCCAGAGCTGCCTGTGCCTAGCTGAGCGGTCTCCCTGGGCCAGTCCTGTCATCTCAGATTCCCAGTGCCCTAATTTTGCAGCCTGAGAGTGACATTCAGTTCTCTCCATCTCCTAAAAGGTGCTGCCTTTCCTCACACCATCCCAGGCTCCCGTGTCCTGTGAAGTCATCATGATGATAATGATAACGCTGTCCCTGAACCTGGCATTTTACCATTCACCTGCCACTAGCGTCCACCCCTAGGCCAAGCCCACTGTCGCTGTCCTGCTCGTGAGACAGGGGCTGACGGCAGGTTGAGGAAGGAATCACAGAGCATCATAGCCACCCTGTCTTCCACCTGCTGGGTGGCATGTTGCTGCTTTTCCCTTGCTACCACTAAGTCACAGTACGCCTGTAAGGGTTTTGACGGTGGGCGCCTAGGCTCGGAGAGATGGGATAATCTGCCCAAGGTCACATGGTCGGTGTGGGGTGGAGCTCTGGGAGGGCCATGCCAGACGTGGGGATGGAGGAAAGGACAGGCTGTTCCAGAAGGTCTGGTGTTGTCACGCTGTTTACCCCAAGTTTGCATTAGGGACATTCCTGCTGTGTCCCCTGTCATGTTTGTTCTGGTCATTCTGTTCCATAGGAGAGAACAGAGACGCTGTGATTCCCTCCCCTCAGGGAGGGTCGTCAGCGCTGAGGGCTGGGAGCCCAGGCTGCAAGGAGATGGTGTTTACATTTCCAGGCCTGTGTCTTGGGGAAGGAGGATTGGAGTGCTTTGTTCTAGGGAGGAGAACTGACCTTTCAGAAACCAATGACTGTCCCAAGCCCATCTTTCCAGGTGCGAGAAGGGGAGAGAGCCAGCAGCCTCGTGCAGTTCCTGGGGAACCCCGAGGCCTCCTAGCTGCCTGGGGAGCCTGGTGTGCCGGTCCTGTGCAGGGCCCTTTTGGGTCTTGGAAAATTCAAGCTGCCCTCCAGCACTCCCCTGGCCCTGCCACACGTGACCCTGGCCCTGCCACACGTGAGGCTATGGTGACAGGTCTGCCAGAAACCACAGTCTTGGGAGCCCCAGGCCCAGGAGGTCTCCCTGGAGGGACAGGAAGCGTGACCTTCACCCACTCCTCCAGGCTCCAGTACTTGTCTGATCTCATCAGTTCTGAGTGTCTGAGTAAATGGAGGAGAGCAGAGGTGCAAATAACCCAAAACCAATAAAATCCAAAAGTCATTTCCATTTCTCATATTGTCAGAGTTACACAGCCAGGCTCTGCATCTCTGCCTCTCTGTCTTTCTGCGTGCCTCTGACGGGCTGTGTCTGTCTCCAGCTCTTGTCTGTCTTTCCCTGTCACACCCTCTGTGGCTCAGCGCAGCCCTTCCCTCTGAAGTCGGGGACCCCAAGTAGATAGCCCCCTTAAAAACAGTCTCCAGTTGCCTGCCCTTGGCAGAGCAGCATGCCAGTGGAATCCAGGCTTCTCGGTGCTTGACCTGTTCAAGAGCCATGCAAGCTCCAGCCTGGTCTCCAGCTTGCCCTGTGTGTCTGTGGGGACAAGGCCTTGGAGGCCCACGGGTTCCCAGAGCTCTCCTGACCAGGAGAGTGTGGGACCCAGCCAGAGTCTTCCTGCCTGCCCAGCCCTCCCCATGCATCTCAACCCGAGACCATGCCAGCTGGACAGACAAGAGAGCTTACTGCCACAACTGGCATGCCCAGAGCATCTCAGCACTTTTGGTTTGGCCGAGTAGCTTCCTGAGCCTCCGTGAATATTCTATCATGTATTTATTTTTAAGTTTATGAGAGCATTTACTTGCTGCCATCTGTAATATGAATCGGGTCAATTGTTAACCAACTGGACTTACGAGTATGTCCTCATTCCCCAGTGCTGGCCGGCAGCCTGGCAGGAGAGGGATGCAGCCCCAGGGCACCATCATGCCTGCGGAGCCCAGCAAAGGTCCCAGGCGAACTCTGACCCAAGAGGCTGCCCTCTGGAGTGGCATCCCTGCCCATCATCCTCCCTGATGCCATCGTGGCGCAGGGTGGCGAGAAGGGAGAACATGCACTCTGTGGCATGTGGTGGCCACTTCAGAAATGGCCCCTCTCAGTGGGGGCTGTTCCTATAGGGGAGAAAAAGGAGACCCTTGTGGCAGCCTTGTGGGGATTCAAGTGCCCCTGACCTGAGGTCCTAGCTGAATGACCCTGGGCAAGTCACGCCCCCTCCCTCCTTGGGCTAGATGACCCCTGAACACTGACACCCGAGTCCACCCCTTTAGTAACAGTGTAGCTGAGTGGAGCTGGCCCATGTGGCCAAGAGCCCACAGTCAGGAGCCAGACCTCAGGGCTTGGAATCCTGGCTCTGCCTCTCAGTGTCCGTGTTGGCCTCAGGCATGCCAGGTAACCTCTCTGTGCCTCAGCTTCCTCATCTATGACAGGGCGGATAAAGGTCCCTGCCTCAGTGTGCTGCGAGGATTGTGTGAATTAGTGCACGGAAGCTGCTTATAGTTGTGTCAGGCACAGCAGACACGGAGGTTTAGCAGATGTGGCTTTGCTTAGCAGCAGCCTACACCACCCGAGAGCCCTTTCAGGGACTCTTCCCATCTACGAGCAGACCTCAGCCACCTGTCCTCCTTCCCCTACCCCAGGCATCTGAGCACCTGAGTCCTGGTTCTGGGCCTTTTCCTAGAGTCTTCTTAAATGTGCATATTTCATTAGTTAGTGCTTGGGCAGTGGCCCTGTGTGAGTCGTGTTCTGGTCAGTGAGTGAATCAGCATTTCTGCTTCATCAAAACTTCAGCCCACGGGCTCTGTCTGCCTCCACCTGCAGGCAGAGTAGGTGGCCGGCTAGGTGGTTTCTGAAGGGTGTCAGGGGGTGCCCTGACCCAGGTCCCTCCTGGCTTATATAGAAACATCATCTCCTGTGTGAAGCCTGAAGGCAGATGCTGAGGCATCCCCTGTAGCTATGGATACAATTAGCTCTGACGCCTTGGCTCAAATTAATGTACTGAGTTAGCAGAGCCCCAAGGGGGCTGGCCCTGGGATGGGGCTGACCTGAAGGGGAAAGCAGGGTGGAGCAGAGGCCTGAACAGAGATCAGTGCTCAAGGGCACTGAGAGTGGGGCCCTCCTACCCACACTGGCTCATGGCCGTTGCAGATGGGGAGCAGAGGAGGGGATGAGGACAGCCTCCTGAAGGCCAGGCCAGCCTCTCTGCCTCTCCCACTTAGCCTGCGGCTGCCCGGCATCCATCTCAGCCCCAGAGCTGTGTGGAGCAAGCGTGAAATGGTGCTGGCAGGAGGCCGCCCCACACATGATCCTGCCACCCCTCTGCTGGGCTAAGTTTAGTTGTGAAGGAACAGACATTAATTCCAGTGGGTGCTCTGACAAGATGGGAAGTGACCCCACAACCAGCCAGGCAACACCAGCCTGCGGGCCGGGAAGACCCCAGGGAGAGGGAGGCCCACACAGGCAGCCCATGGACCATCTTCCCCTGTCTCTCCGTGTGTGACGCTGATCGGTCTTGTCTTAGACTCTCAGGAGGTCCTGGCAGGCTGGCCTGGAATCCAGGCATGTGTGAAACAGTGCTTGGAAGCAATGCTCAAGGCTCCAGGCCCTGGTCCCCCTACCGGCATTAGGTCTGGACCGTGTTAAATAAGAATTCCTGGCTGGGCGCAGTGGCTCACGCCTGTAATCCCAACACTTTGGGAGGCTGAGGTGGGTGGATCACCTGAGGTTGGGAGTTCGAGACCAGCCTGACCACCATGGAGAAACCCCGTCTCTACTAAAAATACAAAAATTGGCCGAGCATGGTGGCAGGCGCCTGTAATCCCAGTTACTCCGGAGGCTGAGGCAGGAGAATCGCTTGAACCTGGGAGGCGGAAGTTGCAATGAGCCAAGATCGCGCCATTGCACTCCAGCCTGGGCAACAAGACCGAAACTCCGTCTCAAAAAAAAAAAAAAAAAAAAAAGAGAATTCCTGACCCTCACCCCAAGACCCCAGGGGATTCTGATTCACAGGTCTGGCATGGGGCGTGGGGACCTGTGCGCCTTTGTGCACATACACGCCGGATTCTAGTAAAGTGGGTTTCCCAGGCCAGATTGCACTTGAGAAACACCAGGCCCCATCCTTCCCAGTTATCTTAATCATTGAAATGCAAATGTGTTTTTGACTGACTTATTTGGATATTATTGTCACCTTCACCACCAATACTTTGACAATGAGGGCAGCAGCTTGCAGTCATGGGGTCTACCGTCCTCTAAAGAGGTTATTTCTCTGAGCACTCACCTCACTGCTGGGCCGGCTGCCTGGCAGAGTGTGGCTGAGCCCTTTGAGCCTCACTTTCAGAAGGCTGGGTGTGGACAAATCAGCCTGTCCTGGGGAGCCCGACCCCTGCCTGAAGGCCAGCAGGCAGCACCCTCCCCACCCACTTTCTTTCCCCAGAACCCACCTTGTGCTCAGATCCAAGACACATGCTGCCCCATGCAGAAGTTTCCCAGCTACACGCAAGCGGCAGCCCGTATCCCTGGCTTTGCCTCTTCCTGGGTGAGGGCGGGAGTTCTGGCTTCCCAAGCAAGCCACATCGCAGCATCCCAAGCCCTGTCCCAGGCCTGAGGGTCCCGCCATCCTCCTTGGCTTTCAGAGGGAGGTTAAGGAGGCCCCATTTTGCCCTGTGTTTACAGCCAGCATGAGATGGCTGGCTATGGCACCGGGAAGGCACAGACCAGAATGCCGCCTTGGAGACTGGGTGGGACCAGGGTGTTGTTTTATTCTCTCCATCCCTCAAAGCCTGGTGACTTGAGCTAATTTATAAGGAAACCAAACGGCATTACACTCCAGACCTGGAGGCTTGAAGAGTTCAGAGAAACTAGGACAGAGAAGGCCAGCCCCGCTGGGAGAGGGGCGCGTCTCTGTGGCAACCCTTACACACACCCACACCACAGGAGGACGTGGTGGGTGCATTGGATGAGCCGGCCCCCGTGTGGCAGCACCCAGACGTGGCCTGGCTGCCTAGACACTCACCTTTGTACTGTGGGGTGAACCGCTTCATGGCCAGCGGCAGGGATTCATAGAACCTCTGCTCCCGGGAGACGAGGGGCTTGCACACCGTATGCTCGTCATACTTCATCACGCTCATGTGCCCCCCGACCTGGTGCAGGAAGGGCTCCAGCTGCACGCCTGCCCTCATGTCCCCGGCGTCTGCGCTGTTTTGCACAACCATGGCGGCAGATGGTGGTGGTGGGGGGTCCCTGCACAGTCTGCTAGAGGAAGGTTTGAAGTAGAAAGGGCAGCTCCCAACAGCACACGGGGCTGTCAGCGGTCCTCAACTTTCTCCTTCTTGGCCTTTATTGCTGTCATAGCGCAGTTGTCCTCCTGTCTGTGGGTTCTCAGCGGGGTCCTCTGGAAAGCAGGGGAGGAAGGAGGAAGTTATATGAGGGAGGTGGTGGCTGGGGCAGGGCAGCGCTTGGAAGGGCCCACACAGCCTCGACCCCAGAACAGGTTCCTCACTGGTACCTTAAACAGGACTGTAAATATCCATTGATTACTTCTGGAATAATCTGTCATGAGAAACCAGTTACAGTGGTTGCCTCCATGGAGCAGGGATGAGAAGGAGACTTATTTATTTATTTAAGATGTGGTCTTGCTCTGTCGCCCAGGCTGGAGTGCAGTGGCATGATCTTGGCTCACTGCAGGCTTGACCTCCTGGGCTCAAATGATCCTCCCACCTCAGCCTCCAAGTAGCTGGGACTACAGGTGTGTGCCAGCATGCCCAACTAATTTTATATTTTTTGTAGAAACGGGGTCTCACCATGTTGCCTGGGCTGGTCTCAAACTCCTGAGCTCAAGTGATCCACCCACCTTGGCCTCCCAAGTGCTAGGATTATAGGCGTGAGCCACTGTGCCCAGCCAGAGACTTTAAATAATGTTTTGTACTTTTTGAATTTAAATATTAAAACATTTTAAAAATTCAAGCAACATACTAAGCTTCTAGAGTGCAGAGACTGTATCTTAACTTCACCTGACATGTTGCCTGCCTTCATCTGGAACACTCATCCCAGGCCCAACAAGAAGCAAGCTGAGCCACTGCTGCTGGGGCTCTCACTGTCCTGCAGGGGATTATGGGTACGGGAGTGCTTGCTTGCTTGCTTTATTTATTTATTTATTTAGAGACAGAGTCTCACTCTGTTGCCCAGGCTGGAGTGCAGTGGTGTGATCTCGGCTCACTGCAACTTTTGCCTCCCGGGTTCAAGCGATTCTCCTGCCTCAGGCTCCCGAGCAGCTGGGATTACAGGCGCCTGCCACCACATCCGGCTAATTTTTGTATTTTTTAGTAGAGACAGGGTTTCGCCATGTTGGCCAGGCTGGTCTCGAACTCCTGACCTCAGGTGATCCACCCTCCTTGGCCTCCCAAAGTGCTGGGATTACAGGCGTGAGCCACCATGCCCGGCCAGGAGTGCTTTATTTTTGTACAGCATGGGTGTGCATCATTGATTTACATCATGATACCATGACATAATTGCTGTGGGACCTCAGACAAGTTACTGAACTTTTCTGGGCCTCAATTTCTCCTTCTCCCTCTGTAGAACAGGATAATAATGATACCCACCTCATGGAGTTAGGGACATGGTTGAGATAAGGCCCGTGGAAAGGACAGCCCAGCACCCAGAGCAAAGCGTTCAGTAAATCTGATCATTATTTCTAGCATTATTGCCATGCTGGTCCTATTTTCCTCACAGCTCTGGGTTGTAGGACAGGCAGGCCACTTTGCAAATGAGGAGAGTGAGGCCTACAGTACCATGCGCAGGGTTGCGGCTGGCCAGGAGAGTGGGAAGTAAAGCCGGGGCCTGCTCTTCTCTAGGCCTGGCCCCCTCCTCCCCCTCCCACTCCTCTTACTCTCCCTGAGGGTGGGCCTGTGGGTCTCAGGCAAAAGCTGGCGCTCTGGGCTGGAAACACAGCCCCTAAAGACGTCCTGACTTTGTCTCAGGAGAGTGCGAAGGAGACACTGCAAGGGGAGGCTCTTCCTGCCCTGTTCGTCCTGTCCTGAGAGCACATTCCCACAGCGGTGCCCTGAGAGCACATTCCCACAGCGGTGCCCTGAGAGCACATTCCCACAGTGGTGCCTGTCACCACCGAGTTATTAATACTCGCTCCCTCTGCTGGACTCCTGGTCATGGATGCCACCAGGCTGGGCAGTGCTGGGCATGATTAACGCTCTAATTGACCTTCAATCCAGGCCACGAGCACAGCCAGCTGGATTCATGCACAGCAGTGCCCATCAATTTGTTCAGGCCTCTGGCTCAGAGAGGCTCCTGCCAGCCGCCCGGACCTCCAGCTCACTCGGGCATTGAAAACCTCAACACAGCCTGTTCATTCCCCAACACTGGGCCTCTTCCACATTGGCTACTGCCCTACAGGCCAGAAGTGCCTCTATAGGAGGGAGAAGGAGTGTGGCTTTTGGCTGGTACGTAGGATGCGGGGTGAGCCTTCTGTGGCTGGCTGCGTAGCTGGAGTGACTGGGTGAACCGGGGCTGCTCGGGTGGGAGGATGGAGGCCTAATGGTGAGGGGGCTGGGCCTAAGACTCCAGCCTAGGCATTGATCCAGCTCTGCTCCAGTGTGGCACAGAGGTGAGCCCCATCTGGAAGCTGTTTCAGGACCTGAGAAAAGAAGTTGGTGACAGGTATCTGGACACAGAGGAAAATTGGCCCACAAAAAAAGCTGATAACTTCAGTTTGCTAACCCTTTGGTTATGGGACAGGATATGCCAGTTGCCTGTAAACCCAATCCTACTTGCAAATTTGGAGAAGGCAAGAAGGAGTAGAGCAGAGAAGCCAAGGCAGCCTGATGCCTCCCCTCTCGCTGGGCTTGCTGGCATGTCGGCCTTTGCCAGCTGACCTGTCCCCAGGCAGAGAAACTTTTGGTGACCACAGGGACATCTAGTCTGTAAAGTTCATTTATAGCCACTCTTGGAAGGGGCAAGACTCCTGCCCCGCACACTTGTATCCCCAGGGCTGGCCCCACACTAGCCAGACCTGGCCTCAGCGGATGCCAGCCCAGCTCCACAGCCGCGTCCCAGCCAAATCACACCTGGGCCTCGTGCTGCTGCACTGGGAAGTCCACACCCCTCGTCTTTCCCCAGCTCACATTCCCAAAGAGCTCTAAGGACATGGATGTCACCGCGGCAAGGTGTGGCAAGGAAATAATGGCAATAAATGGTTACATGCATACAGCGCTTGCTGTAGCCATGTTCTAGTGCTTTGTATAGAGTAACCTATTTAAGCCTTACAATCCATAATAACCCTATGAGGCAATTCGTGTTACCAGCCCCGTTTTACAGATGAGAAAACGGAGGCACAGAGAGGTTAAGTAGCTTCCCTATCTGCACCTAGCTAGTATAGGAAGAGCAGGGATTTGAACCCAGGCATGGTAGCCCCAGAGTGTGCGTCCCGGCCACACTGCAGGGGGCTGAGGGTTGTTGTTTATATACTTTAAACTTCAGGAAATTGAGCCACAAGGAGGCCAGGACTTGGCCAAAGTCACCTGTAAGTCACTGGCAGTGCTGGGGCAGGTTTTCCTGTCTCCCAGGCCTGGTCTACCCCCTGGCCTGTCCCCTATCCCACTTGATGACATTCAGTACATGGGCTAGGAGTGGGTGGGCTGGAGAGGGGAGCACATCTGTCTCCTACCTCTGCAGAAACCACCACAAGGGATCAGGCTGAAGGCCCATCTAGAGCAGGGGTTGGTATCGACCTTCCCCACAGCCTCCTGGCTGGGGGTATCAGTGAGACCCGAGAGGCACTGTCATTCCCAGCAGGGAACTGGTTCCTGCTGCAACCTTCCCCTCTGATCTCAGATGTTCTCAGGAACCCTGGCTGTACCTCCTCAGAGAGCGCAGTGTGAGCAGGGAAGACCCCTGGGCCTTCAGTGCAGCCTGTGGCACAGCAGTGGAAACTCCCTTGCCCCTGGACTTGGACGGATTGGCAGCGATTGTCTACCAGGTAGCCAGCCTGTGAAAAAAAAAAGAAAACCTGGACTTGGCTGCTAGGGAAACTGAGGCCCTTTCTCTTGGGGGTCAGCCTAGGATGTAGATTAGGTGACATCTGCAGGGCCTCCTGCTCCTGAGCTGTGTGGTCTGCAATTCTGACACAGGTTGGTGGGAAGGGGCAGAAGGAGGAGGGAGGAGCAGTGGCTTCTGCCCCTGGAGCTTCAGCTGGGGCTGGGCAGGGTGGGTTTCGCCGCTGCTCGGGAAGGCAGTCTGTGGCTTCCCCTTGGCACTGATGCTGACCTCAAATTCCCAAGGAAGAGTAGGGTTCTTTATCTGTTTCTGCCTTTGTGTGTGGCCTCCAGCTCTGTGGGATTGAGCTGGGGAAGGCCCCTGTTTTTCCCATTCCTCACGGGCAAGTCCCAATTAAATCATTCAAGTTGGCAGGACCTTTCTCAGCCCAGACCTTCCTTTTGCCACATGCAGGCACTTCTGCCGTTGGCATGGGCCCTGCCTTTGATCAACGCCCTGGGCCTGTTCTGTTTCCTAAGAGCCTTGGGCAAGAGTCAGAAGTCCAGGGTCTACTCCAGGCGCTCCTGGAGCTTGCTGAGGCCTGAGATGAACTGGGGAAGTGCTCTGAGGCTTGGCTTGTCACCCTCTGCCACAGCCTTGTCATGATGCTCGGAAGACAAAGTGAAGACACTCCTTTGTGGAGTCCTCCTTCCAAGCATTGCCACCACGCAGGGTCTGTCACTGCCTGCATTATTCTCAGGACCGACTTCCATGAGTCAACTTGGGTGCTGCATGGCAGGTGAGGTGCCTGCTGCCAAATATCCTTGGCTCTCTTTAGTGCTTTGAAGGGAGACAGTTGTCCCTGTCTTCAGCCCACATCTCCTCCCACATCCCTACAGCTCAGACCCCTTGCCCAGCATCCTTCCCTAGGGCTCCTTGGGGAGGCATAGGGGGAGTAAGAATAAAGCAGGGAAGAGGGTGAGATGCCTCTAGCCAGAAGAGCTCAACTTAAAGGCTGCCTAACTCCTGCCACCACCAGGAAGTGGACAGATGGCCCCAGGTCTCTGTGTCCTCCTGCCCTGTCGTTGCATCATGTCCTGAATGAAGTAACGCTGGGCCTCACTCCAGGAGACTCCAGGGCTAATTTCTGCTGATGGGGCGCAGACACCGAGCTGGTTGTTAAATGAGGCCCTGGGCTGTCTGTGCCAGTACAGACCCTGCTCCGCAGCCCCACAGGGCCTGAGTGACAGCCAGCCTGTGCTAGCCTGTGAGACACTCCCCAGTCAGAAAAGAGGGTCACTGACAGCAGGGCCGTGAGTGGGTTTGGCTTCCAGAGTGGAGACACAGGACAATACCAGTGATTCTAAGACCCCAAGACCTCGCTGATGCCAGACACAATGACAGATGCCACCCATCAAGCCGAGGCGGATAAGGGCATCATAACTTGTCACAACCCGTCGGCACATTTTTATTTCCGGAGAGTCTTTGTATCTTATAACCGCTTTCCACATGCTAAATCTGAGTTCATTAACATTACGGAAGATGCATCTCTTTTAGGACTCACACTCCCATTTTAGGGAAGGTGGCAGACGAAACCACAAATCAAACTTGTAGGGGTTCAAAATAGGAATAGATTAGTCATGGACTATATCTTATCAAAGCCTGCTGGCTTCTTATATCCGCAAACAGACTGGCTGACTGTGGCCATTGTCAGGGCTGTTCACAACATTCTGTTTTTCCCTGTGAGAATGTGGTATGATTGCAGCTGTGAAGGTAAGCGTGGCTCACGTGATTTGCTTTTGCCAGCATCACGTGGGTGGGTGCCATGTGTTACTTCTGGGTGGGAACTTCAAGAGATGTTCCCCCCATTCTCTTTCCCTGGCCATGGTGATCTTGGAAGCACATGCTGAGGTGTGGCCTCTGTCAGTAGGGTCCCTAAGTGACTGTACATACTGGATATATAGCATTATGGAAATAAATCTTCACTCTATGAAGTCACTGAGATTTGGGGGTGGCTTGTTATGCAGCAGGACCTAGTCCATCCTGCCTGATGCACTAACTCACAGCCAGGCACCCAGTATGGAGCTCTTAAGTTGAAAGCAACTTCACTTTGCCTGGCGTGGTGGCTCACGCCTGTAATTCCAGCACTGTAGGAGGCCAAGGCGGGTGAATCACTTGAAGCCAGGAGTTCGAGACTAGCCTAAGCCAACATGGTGAAACCCCCTCTCTACTAAAAATATTTTAAAAAGTAGCCAGGTGTGGTGGCGCATGCCTGTAATCCCAGCTACTCGGGAGGCTGAGGCAGAGGAATTGCTTGAATCTAGGAGGTGGAGGTTGCAGTGAGCCAAGATCATGTCATTGCACTCCAGCTTGGGCAACAGAGCGAGACTCCATCTCAAAAAAAAAAAAAAAAAAAAAAAAAGCCGGGCACAGTGGCTCACGCCTGTAATCCCAGCACTTTGGGAGGCCAAGGTGGGCGGATCACCTGAGGTCAGGAGTTCGAGACCAGCCTGACCAACATGGAGAAACCCTGTCTCTACTAAAAATACAAAATTAGCAGGGCGTGGTGACACGTGCCTGTAATCCCAGCTACTCGGGAGGCTGAGGCAGGAGAATCGCTTGAACCTGGGAGGCGGAGGTTGCGGTGAGCCAAGATCGTGCCATTGCACTCCAGCCTGGGCAACAACAGCAAAACTCCATCTCAGAAAAAAATAAACAAAAACAAGCAAAAAAAAAAAAAACAAAGCAACTTCACTTGAGTCAGGTACTCAAATAGTTCATTGCACAAACATATCCTATATCATAGTCACTCCTAAGGGTCAACTCTGGACCCC
This sequence comes from Homo sapiens, assembly GCF_000001405.40. Classification (NCBI taxonomy): domain Eukaryota; kingdom Metazoa; phylum Chordata; class Mammalia; order Primates; family Hominidae; genus Homo; species Homo sapiens. Next base: position 33,742,083 of record NC_000006.12, read on the forward strand.
TGGCTTTACAATCACACCTCTGTGTCTCCAGCTAGGAATTTTCAGATGGAGACACTGAGGGTCAGAATGGTTGCAGAGTTTTCCCGGGGTCCAGAGCTATCAGGCACCAATGCTGGGACTCGGCCGTGATGAGTCTGTCTCACTCTGAAGTCGACGCCCATTCTGACCACGTGCAGTCTGCTTGGACGGGGAGTGGCTGCTGAGTTGCTCTGGCTGTCTCTGGGAGTCTCGGAGACCCAGGACCAAGACCCAAGTCAGGCTCTTAGGGCCAGGGTGCTGTCTGGGGCCCTCTTTATGCTGTTTGCCTCAGTAACCTGTGTCAGGATAGGGAGCTTTCAGAAGCTGCACCTGACTGGGCAGCAAGAACCGCACACCCAGGGGCAGCATGCTGCTGGTGGGCAGTGTCTAACGAAGTGCTTGGCAGCGTGGATTCTTAGGGCCCTGGGTGAGGGCTCCCACCCGGGGGGCCTGCCAAGACCTTACCCAAATCCTCACCACCACAATCTGCAGAGTAGGAAAGTAATCCCCTAGAGGCACGATAATTCTCAAATGTATGTAAATATGTTGGTAATTAACAAAATACAAATTCATTTAAAGGCATTATTGAATTCCTAGTAGTTTTTGTCATCGTCTATTTTTCTCAATCAACAGATCCTAAAAGTATAATGAGTATTGCATAGGGACTGGTAGGGAAAAAACTGTGTTGACAAATGGGTCCTGGAGAAGAGGTTAGGAGAGGTACTGCTCCTGGCTGAGATCAGGGTGGTTTGAGGGGTCTGGGAAGGAGTCCAGGAGGAGGGGAGATGTTGGCTCAGCCTTGGGGAGCTTGGGGAGGGCCTGCTTTGGGGAGTGTGTGTACAGGGAGCAATAGGGAAGGGCAAGGAGATGGTGGGAGGCGATGGCTGGAGGGGAGTGTTGTGTGGAGGAGGAGGATGCGGGAGTGCTTGGCTGGCCTTGCCAGTGCTGCAGCAGCAGGGCGTCTGCAGAGGCAGCCGGCAGTGGAGGGGGACGGAGAGTGAGCCCAGCCTGGCCAGCCAGAGGAGATGCTGGCCTGGGCCCCAGCTCAGTGCAGGGAGGTGGCACCCTGAGATCACCAAGGTGCTGAAGCCTTCGGGACCACATCCCGATAAATCTTAGGTGGTGGGGAGAGGGCTTTCTGGGTAGAAGATAATTAAGAAACAGCTTGTAGCAAAAGAAAACTGTAATATAAAATGTGGCAGACGGCAAAGCAGCATGGTTTATGGCCTGCCCTCTCACCTCTGAAGCTCTAACTTACATTTCACAGGTCTCTCGGAGCCAGAGGTTTGGTACAAGTACCATTCAATGTCTTTGTGATGCCCGAGGGAGCATTTTTTAATCTATTAGAGATGAGAGGACCCAAAAACCATTTAAAACCACTTAGGTTGTAATGGGCAGGAGAAATTTGGAGTTTCTCACATGGCTGAGGGGTTGTGCATCATCTGGGGCCATCCAGGTTGGAAGGCACAAGCTTATTTTCCAGGGGGAAAAATGGAGTTTTAAAATCCATTCTAAAAATGACTCAAGGGCTGTAGGATGGTGCGCCCTCTGTCCGTGTGGCTCTCCGGCTCGGTGGGATCAATACCTAGTGCTGGGGGACTTCACACATCACTTTCCCAGCCGTGGCTGAAATATGTGGCTTAGGAGAGCATCTCTTCCCTGGAGAAGGCTTGGTTTCTAGAATCACAGAGCAATACTTCATATTCCTCAGTCATAGAAACTTATTTCGGGGCTGATTTTATCCTTTGAGAGGGTTTTTTTTTTCTTTTTTTTTTCTTAACATTTAAAATCTCCCAACATTTCTCCAGCTTGAGGACCAAATACGATTTTAATACAGAGATTATTAGTTTAGAAACCCTTCAGCCACTGACAAATGTACTTAGCAGCACCAACAATGTTCTGATCTTGCTGTCAAGGTGGGAGAAACATGGGGGCAAGATGACTCACGAAGTCAAGTGCCACTGGAAGGGCTGCTCTGGGGGAGGCAGAGGCTGCGAGGGCTTCTCCCTCTTGGCCCCCTAATAGATCCTGACCCCTGGACACGCAGCTCCTCAGCCATGGTTAGCAACTGCTTTGACAGCCCCTCCCAGCCATGCTTTTCTCCTCCGGACTTTGCCTCTTGAAGCTGCACCCAGGATTTTGGATATTGCTAAACACCCAGACCTGCCTACACATTTCCCAGCCTCCAACACCCTGCCCCACACCTGCTGCCTTCCTCTAAGTAATATGATCAGCCACCACCTGTCTTGTGCAAGAGACCTATGAGCCACAGACGTAAGGTGTTGCCAGCGGTTAGCATGGCAGTTTTATGGTTGCAAGATGGAACAGCTCTTTAAGGTCAAAACACAATAATGGGATGGAGTGTGTGTGCGTGCATGTGTTTGTATGTTTGTGTGAGTGTGTGTGAATGCTTGTGCGTGTGTGGGAGTGTGTGGCTGAGGGAGAATGCAGGCAAGGTTTTTCCCCACCAGAGGGCAGCAGCACACACGTTGAGGCCCCAAATGCCTGAGAGGGATTAACTGGAAACTAAAGCCAGCACCCACCTCCTCACCCAGCCACTGGGGGACACATTCTTGGAACTGCCCTAGGTTTGCCTGGCTTTGCCCAGACCTGTCCCAGAGAGCCTCGATGGCAGCTGAAGTTCTGCCTCCACCAGGCAGATGTTTTTGAAAAGCTCAGAAGCCATCATTGAGGTTGGATTCTCCCCATAACGTTCTATAACATCTCTTGCCCTCCCCTCCCACTGCTTAACCAGGGTCAGGGGCTGAAGGGGAGGGGGTGGGAATGGGCTGGGGGTGGTGGGGCACTTGAGAGCCCATCTGGGCAGAGCAGGATGGGGTCTCCAGCGATCTCCACCCCATCTGTCCATCCCGCCCAGGCTGTGGCACCCTGGTGGGTGGGTGAGGCCTCTCAGCTGCCAGCTGGGCCTCCCAGCCCCGGATGAGTTGCAGTAACTATTATTAAGGTAACACACTGCAACTGCAGCCCGCGGGCCAGCACGCGCTGCCACCCTGCGCCTCCCCAGCCAGTGCACGTGCTTTCTTCCCTGAAGGACCTGATGCTCATAAAGTTTATTGCTGTTCCCTGTGGCTGCTAGTGAACAAGAGAGCAACCATCCGGGTTTCTGCCTGGGAAGGATTTATTCAGGCTCTGTGGAGGGCAGGAGAAAGAAGGAGATGCCGCTGGCCAGGGGGTGGGCTTGGCCTGGCCTGTGACCCCCGGAAGCAGCAGAGGACAGGGAGGGCCCCAGAGGCCACAGGAGCATTGAGGGGCAGGGATGCAGGGAAGTGGCCCAGGAGGGGACAGGAGACCTGGTTCTGCCTCAGGCTCCCTGAGCCTGCCTCTCGGGGCCTCAGCTTCCCTATCTGTACTGAGAGCTGTCTGACCCTGCCATGTTCTTACCCTCCTATGGGACAACCCCCCCTTTGATTCAGCAAGGCAAAGTGGTGGGGAAAAATCACCATGGTGGGGGGTCGGGGGGCTGGCAGAGGCTCTTTCTAATTGAAAGAGATTTAAGAGACCTGCTGACCCAATGCCTTTTGACTGGATCCTTTTCTAACAAAACATTAACAGACATGTAGGGCCAGCTGGGGAAAGGAGACTGCAGACAGGATGCAGACGCTCATGGGTAGTTGTTCATTTGTTAGTGGACAGTGGGTTATGTGAGGACCTGCTGAGGACTTTGTGCAGGGGAGAGGCGTGCTGTGATGTCAGAACACTCTAGCTGTAGCGTATTCAATGAAACAAATACGACAAAACTCGGGCCACTGCTGAAATCAGGCGCAGGATGTACAAGTGTGCATGAGATCATTCCCTCTATTTGTATGCTTGAAGTTTTTCATAATAAAAGGTTAAAAAATAAATGGGTAGCTTTTTAAAAATGTAGAAGGCAGAGTCCCTCCCTATGGGATCAGAATTTCAGGGGAAGGGGCCTGGCATGGGGGGTTTAAGGCCCCCAAGGCAAGCTCAGTTCTCAGGTTCACTAGGGTACCTAGAAGAGTCATGGGTGGGGGCCAAGACTCCACCACTGCCCAGGGCATCAGGGACCACCGTTTGGTGGAGACATGTCTCCCACCCCCATGACCGCCATCCCGTGGTCTACCACCACCCTGCACCAGGCCCCAGGCAGCTGCTGTAGATGCTGATGTCATCCAGCCTGGTGCCGGCCTCCTGCCCCCTCCCGTGGAAAGCTGGGGCTGCTGGGCTAGGACATGCTGTTCCTGTGCCCAGGGGATGCTGCCCGCGTTTCTTGGACACCGGCCTCTGTTAAGGGTTAACGCAGCCCCCGGTACTTGCCCCTCCCCCCAGCTTCCTCTGTAGTCCCAGTCCACCCTGAAGTGAGAGGGCTCCAGGCACCCCTGGAAGGGGAGGGGTGGAATTCCCCTGGGAGAAGGGAGAGGGATGAAAGAGGAACAGATGCCAGAATTCCTATACACTGAACTGTCCCAACGCCCTACCCCACCCCCGCCACACACAGATGGACAGACCTCCACGAAGACGCTGGCACCTCCGTGGGGCAGACTCCTGGCCAGCCTGGAATGGAGACAAGACCCCAGGGTACAGACAGGCCCTGTGAACACGAGACCCTCTCTCCCCTCAGTCAGGCCCCGTCAAAGAGGCTGGCCCTGCCCATCCCTGCCTACAAGGCAGCACTCACCAGAGCTTCCTCCGAGATCGTGGGGAGTGTATGGAAGGCAGGGCCCAGGAATCTTGTCTCTCAGTGCCCACCATGTACAGGCATCAGGCAATGGCCCGTCCCAGCGTGGAGCATTTGCTGTTCACCAGAGCCCTGGTGCGGGAGGTCTGCCCGGGAGGGCCGGGCTGCCGTGGCCTGGGGAGGGAAGGGTCACCTGACCCTCTGGGGAAGGGCTGGTGGGGACTGGCATGTCCAGCTGTCAGCTGGGTGTTCTGCTGCTCTGGGGCAGGGCCAGAGGGGCTGGAAGGGAGGGGACAAAGAGGAGGAGAGAGAAGAGGGGAGGAGGAAAGGAGGACTGGTCTGAGGCAGGGGAGAGTTCAGCTCAGCTGCCCACGTAGATGTCAGGACCTGGGCACCAAGGGCCCATCACCCCAAGGCCCTGGTTATTTTTTGATTCCTAATTCAAAAGGAAAGGGGTGAGTCTCGGGTTGGGGGGTTCATGCTCTCCCTTCTGCTGGGCTTCTTGCCCCATCCTCTCTGCAAGAACCTCACTGCAGCTTACCCCATACTGTGGCTGCCAGAGAAGGAAAGTCAGGCGGCAAGACGTTCCATCAGTCAACAGTCAGTTAGACTGAGGACAATCAGGCCATCAACAAGCATTTTTTGAGACCCCCTGCTAGGGCTGACCAAGCACCCCCAGTGTCAGGGGATTACAGCTGGGGGGCTCAGCAAGTCAGAGGGCAACTCCAGGATAAGTGTCTGGTGAGAGAATAGAGGACTTTGCAGAGAGTGAGGAGGGCATCCTGGAGGAGCTGACCGGCTGAGAGCTGAAGGAGAAACAGGGTCATTTGGTTGAGTGGGGGAGGGTGGTGAGAAGGGGGCTCTAGCTACAGGAGAGGCTGTGCAGAGGCCCAGAGGCCCAGAGGCCCAGAGGCAGGTGGGAGCAGGGTCAGGGAGGTGGAAGCTGCAGGGAGTGGGACTGGGGAGAGATGGGGCAGGGACGAGGTGGCCTCACCAGCCTCTGTCCTCAGCCTCTGGGAGGAACTGAGGTGCTTTATGCCAGGAAGAGTCGGCTCAGGCTTGTGTTTAAAACTCTCAAAGGTGGGCAGACAGATGCTGTCCTCTGGGAGAGTCCTAGCCTGGTTGGGAGAGGGGGCAGTGTGGGGAAGGAGACGGCGAGTTCCTGAGATGTTCAGGAATCAGGCTGGTGGACCGGGAGAGAGGGGGTGGGAGCAAAGGACAGGGTTCATCAGGGGACAGGCTTCAGGTCCAAGTAACCCTGGACCAGTATTAGGAAGATCAAGCTACCCTGGACATCTGGCTGAAGTTCCCCTGGGCACTGGTGCCCCACCTGCCTTTCCTGGGCTGCTCCATATGTGGATGAGGGGCTCAGCCTCCTCTCTGGCCAGAGATGCTGCTTGCTCCACTCGGGCCCAGGTTGCCCACTGGTCTGGTTCAGCCTCTCTCGGACTCATCCCCCAGGACCCCCTTACCCATCTTCTGGTCCCTCCAGACCTGTTGGTGTAGTACTTACTCCATTTCCACATGTCCATGGAGAACATGTTCCAGGACGGCCCCTTCTCCCTCACCGCTCATTTCACAGAGGTAAGATGGGGCAGGTGGACTGAACCCATTCTCCTGGCCCTCACCCGCCAGCCATTGTCCATTCAGTGCCCTCTACGCCCACTTCAACGCTCAGCACAGCAGGAGCCGCTCAGCAGATGTGTTAGCGGCAAGAGAACAAGGGGTGGCTGGGCACGGTGGCTCACACCTGTAATCCTAACATTTTGAGAGGCAGAGGCAGAGGCAGGAGGAATGCTTGAGCTCAGAAGGCTGAGGCTGTGGTAAGCCATAATTGATCATGCCACTGCGCTCCAGCTGGGCGACACAGAGAGACCCTGTCTCCAAAAAAAAAAAAAAAAAAAAAAAAAGCCTCCCGTGATGGGGAGGCTGCAGCCTGTGTGGGGCTACCTACCTGCCCAGCTGCCTTCGGGTGGCTGAGCTCCTCTCCCATCTCCACTGTGTGGATGGACGTGGGCCTCCCCACACCCAGAGAGGGAAGAGCCCCACAGAAATAACAGGAATTCCTGGGGTGCCCTGAAGCCTGGTTTAAAGTGGGGTGGGGATCCGATCCTCCCCTCCCTGCCCCCTGACTCCCCCCTGCAGGGTGACTGACTGATCACATTTCACCAGGGAAGGCACATGGCCTCTTGTGTGCTCTGTCCCTCCCCCTGCCCAGCTGTGTGCTGGGCTCCGGTTACCTGGCCCTGGAAGAGGGTATGACCTCCTTTCCCCCCAGCCCTGCGCCACCTCTCCTCTCCCTATCAGGCTGGACTCACATCCCTATTCTGGGAATCCCAGAACCACCACAGGGATGAGCAGGAGGCCCTTCAGGTTCTAGAGGGGGAAGGACTTCCCACTTGAGCAAGATGGCCAGTGAGTGCCCTGGCCCCCAGGTCTCCAGGAGGGCCTGTCCACATTCCACCACCTGCTTTCTGCGTTTGTTTTGCTGCTGTTGTAAAGAGCAAGGTTCCATATTGACTTCTTATTCTTCTATTTATGTAACAACATTTTCGAGCCCTTAATATGTGATCTGAGACATACAGCAGTAAACACACACAGGGCCCCACCGTCCAGAACTGGTACTTTCCTTATGCAATCAAATAGGGCACTTTATTTCTGTTTTCCAACTTCAGCCAATTTCTCTCCATGGTCGTTTCCCCAAAGCTCAGCTTCCCTTCCAAGATGCCTGCTGCTATGCATCTTTCCATAGCCATGTCTGTGACCCACCTTGCTCCCTGCTGCTTCCTAGTCAGTGGGGCAGATGGCCCCACTGACTAGGAAGCAGCAGGGGTGCCACCACTCAGGTCCTCAGGGACAGACAACCTCTGCAGGCCGTGTGTGTGTGTGTGCGCGCGGCCCCGGGAATGGGAGGTGTGAGGGGAGCCACCATGCCCACCCTATGACCATGATCAGTAGAAGCAGGTTAGGGGGAGGGCCGGCCCTGCCCTGAGCTCTTCACACACTTTATCTTGTTTGGTCCTCACAATAGCCTTGTGAGGGAGGGGCCATCATTCCCCTCATTTCACAGTGGAGGAAACAAGAGTGGCCTAGCCTGGTCCTGACTTCTGGAAATCAGTCCTGACCAGCGTGGCACTCACTATTCTGTGGACTGGAGCATCCTAGGCCAGCCCTTAGATGCCACCATTCGGAGGAGAAAACCCCTTGGGCTCATAGGCATGCACTTACTATTTGGTGGGCAGGTCTCTCTCTGGCCAGCTCCCCCTTGGCCTCTCCCTCCCCAGCCTGGACTGACCTTTGAGGACTTCCCACTTCACTGCTGCCTTCCCTGGCTGTTCATCCATCACTATGTCCTGTGGATTTCATGTCCCAAACATTTCTCAAATTAGTCCCCTTTTCTCCATCTCTATGGCCCTGGCCTGGCCCACCATGTGGTCATGGATGACTTCAGTAGCTCCTCATGTTCTCCCACATCTCTTTACAAGCCTGCTCCTACAAGCCATTCTCCCCAGAGTGATGTTTAGAAACAATTCAAGTCACGTCACTTTGCTGCTTAATACTCTTCAGTGGCTCCATCCTTAGAATAAAGTCCAAATTTCACCCCCAGCGTTCAGCCCCTGCCCACCTCCTCAGCCCCACCTCACACCTGGTTAACTCCTCTTCATCCTTCAGATGCCAGCTCCAGCTCCAGTGTCACCACCTCCAGGAAGCCCTCCCCGCCCTTTCTGACACAGTCCACCACCTCGTCCCTTTTTTTAGAAGTGCTTATGCCAGCTGTAGTTGCATATTTATGTGTGTGACTTGCTCCTTGCCTGTCTCTCTTCCTTGGGGATGGTGACTTGGCTCAGTTTGCTCAACGCTATGTCCTCAGCATGTAACCCAGCGCCAGCCTTCCAGTACTTGTTTGGTGAATGAATGAATGAGTGGATAAACACGTGGACACATTCTGGGTCTCTGGCTTTCCCTCCTGGGCTCGCCATGCTCTGGCTTGCACAACAGCGGTTTCCTTTCCTCTCCCTGACCCCAGTTAATGGGGGCCTTTGGCTCGGTTGCTGTGGCTCTGTGGCATCATCCCTCCTCAACAGCTGCCCCTGTCCCTGCTCCCATGACCCAGTGTTCCTGCCCTAGAGACAACAACCTCCACCTCATTCTAGGACATGTCATCACCCCTTCCCACAGTGTAAACATGGGTGGCGGCTACAGACCTGCCCAGGTTCCAGTAAAGCCCCTCCTCCCATGCTGGGCTCCCCTCTCGCTGCACCCCAGCTTGGCATAGCACCTTCCCCTTCCTTCTCCTCCCCGCCGCCCCACTCCCTAGAAAGTGCAGGATGGAGCATGCCCTGAGAGAGGTCACTGTCCAGCCCTTTGCAGCAAGGGGGGGCCTTGTGGCTAGGCGGCTTGTGGCTTCCCTATCATCACATCCCTGCTGGCCTGACCTGGCCCCTAGCTCCCAGCCCCACCTGGGAGCTTCCAGCCTGGGTGTTGGATCCAGTTCAGGTCGTTGCATCAGAGCCTGCCCTGTCGGGCTCCCCAACAGCTGAAGATACTGGGGTAGAAGGGCCGGCCCAGACCACTACAGCCGGGAATGTGGGAGGATGAGCTGTTGAGCCACAGATTGCAAAATCTGGGAGGTGATAAACTCTCTCTGGAAGGCAGATGGCCCCACTGACTGGGAAGCAAGGGTGTTACCACTTAGGTCCTCAGGGACAGACAACCTCTGCAGGCCGTGTGTGTGTGTGTGTGTGTGTGTGTGTGTGTGTGTTTGGCCCCGGGAATGGGAGGTGTGAGGGGAGCCACCATGCCCACCCTATGGCCATGATCAGTAGAAGCAGGTTAGGGGCAGAGGGCCGGCCCTGCCCTGAGCTCTTCACACACTTTATCTCGTTTGGTCCTCACAATAGCCCTGTGAGGGAGGGGCCATCATTCCCCTCATTTCACAGCAGAGGAAACAGAGTGGCCTAGCCGGGATTTGAATCTGGGGCCCCCACTCCTAACACGGATTCATTTTCCGGCAGCCCTCGGTCACACCTTGGTGCAAAGACACGTCTCCACCCAACGGGGAAGGCACGGGTCACCCCTCCACTTCCCCAGCCAAGCCCGGCGCCATGTTTGGGCCTGGAGAAGGCTGGGAGGAGGGGAGGAGATGACTGCCCCTGCATGTGGACACAGGCTGGGGACTTGGCACTGGGCTAGCTCTCCCAGCAGCGCTGGGTCATTCATCCACATCCCCCCAGACCACACCACATCTGGCTGAGGCCCAGGGAAAAGATATCCCTGCTGAGGGTCACATGGGGAGCTGGGACGCAGAGGACCCAAAGCTGCCACCTCCCAGGCCAGGACAGTGCTCAAGAAGTCAGGTTCTTGTGGACTTTTAATCCACGCAAGAGCCAATGTGTGACATTGAGAAGCCAATTACACGCCGTTGATACTCCACCCCGTGTCTCCTTTGTCCCACAAACAATCTGTGTGTAACATTTACAAGGCCTTCACGGTGGCTGACATCAAGGACTGCAGGAGGAAGGTGGCCAGCTGGGGCCCCGCCCTGCCCACTGGTCCTTGGAGAACTTTGCTGCCTTCTCTAGGGTGGAGGGCCTCTTTCCTCAAGAGAACAGGCTGCCACCTGCCTTCCAGGCACGAGGGGGAGACTGGGAGGACCCTGCCCTGAGCATCTCCCCAGGGCATGCCTGAGCCTGCCACTCTTGTTGGTTTGACAGCTTTGTTGGCTCTGCTCAGAGCAGTCCTTTAGAGAAAGAAAGAAAATCCTGAAACACCACAGCTGGAGGGGCCCTGAGAGGCCACCTGATAACAGTCCTTTCATTTTCCAGGAGAGGAGAGACAAAGTTAGGCTGCAAAGAGGTGAGAGGCCCTGCCTGGGGTTGCAGGGTGGCTAGTGGATGAGCCAGAACTAAACCCCAGTCTCAGAATGGCCAGTTCCTTCTGCTGCACAGAATCCAGGCTGGACTGTGGATGTGGACTCACCTGGGCTCCATTCTTCACTCTGCCATTTCCTGGTGATGTGACTATGGCTGGGCGTCTTAACCTCACTGGGCCTCAGTTTCCTTATCTGTAAAATGGGGATAATTTTCTTTGGACTGTTGTGATGTTTCCATGATATAATGCAAGTAAAAAGCATTTAGCACAGTGTATCAAACAGCATTCCCCAAAATCTTGAGTATTGTTATTTTTTAATTTTTTTATATTTTAGAGACAGGCTCATGTTCTGTTGCCCAGGCTGGATTGCAGTGGCACAGTCATGGCTCACTGCAGGGCTCAAGTGATCTTCCTGCCTCAGCCATCTAAGGACACAGGACTGTGGATGTGCACCACTGTGGATTTTTTTGTAGAGTTGGGGGTATCACTATGTTGCCTAGGCTGGTCTGGAACTCCTGGGCTCAAGAGATCTTCCTGCCCTGGCCTCCCAAAGTGCTAGAATTACAGGCATGAGCCACCACGCTTGACCTATTATTTTTAATAACATGGGGCTTGGTCTCTGGAAGTGGAAATGAGGTTGTCATACTTTCTAACTGTGATTTCGGATTATGTCTTGACATGGTTATGTCGTGGCTCAGAATATTTGAATCTGGCATTGTCCCCCAAATCCAAGAGACACGTAAATTGCTGTGGGAGCAGAGGGTAGGAGAGATTAATCTACTTGCCATGGGGGTGGAGTGCAGGCCTCCTAGGGGAGAGGGCATCCAAGCTGGGCCTTGAAGGACTCCTGTAGTAGTCTCCAAGCAGAGAAGTGAATGAAGGGAACAGCAAGGGGAACAGCATCCACAAAGGCCCAGAGGCCTGGAAGAGCATGGCATTTCTGGAAGGCTTCAAGGTGGCTGGGGTGGGAGTGGGGATGGAGGCAGATAGGATACCTCATCTCTCCTCCCTCTCCAGGGGTGCCCATTTCAACTGAAGCCAGGACTGCAGCTCCTTGCCAAGACAACACTTTATAGCTCACGTGGACTTTTCCTCTTTCCACAAGGGATTGCCTAGCCCTGGCTTCCCAAAGTGCTGGGATTACAGGCATGAGCCACCATGCTTGGCCTTTACTTTATTTTATTTTATTTTATTTTTTGAGACAGAGTCTCGCTGTGTCGTGCAGGCTGGAGTGCAGTGGCGCGATCTCAGCTCACTGCAAGCTCTGCCTCCCGGGTTCACGCCATTCTCCTGCCTCAGCCTCCCGAGTAGCTGGGACTACAGGTGCCCGCTACCATGCCTGGCTAATTTTTTGTATTTTTTAGTAGAGACGGGGTTTCACCGTGTTAGCCAGGATGGTCTTGATCTCCTGACCTCGTGATCTGCCTGCCTCGGCCTCCCAAAGTGCTGAGATTATAGGCGTGAGCCACCGCGCCCGGTGGCCTATTATTTTTAATAACATGGATTCCACAGATGAGGACATAGAAGTCCCCAGAGGGAGCGGCCCCCCAGATATACCCAGCTGGGCCGGGGGAGAGCCAGGTGAGGACCCAGATGTGCAGAGTCTCCTGCTGGGGGTTGGACTTTCAGACGTGGGTGGTGGGAGCTGAGGAGGATTAACTTGGGGAATGGGGAGGTGCAAGGCGGCATCTCTCTGCTGGAAGGAAGGTGCGGGGCTGGGGCTGTGATTGCTGGGCAGGGATGATAGCCTAGGGGGCGGCCACGCGTGTTATTTATGGCTGTTTATTTGAGAGTCCTTCAGGGCCGCTAAAGTAATTGAATAAGTGAGGGTGAGCAAATGCGGGCGATCATTTAATTGTGGCAGAAAATGAAGTTGGTTGCAGCTGGGGGCTGCCAGCCCATTACTGTCGGCCCTGGTTTCTGCTGAGCTGGGCTGGCGGGGCTGAAGCTGCTATCCATCCTTGGCCTGCCCACACACTGTCCCCTGGCAGCTGGCCCTGCACCTGGGCAGGTTGGTGGTCAGGGAATTTGTTCTCTGGGCATCCCACTCCCCATGGCCCCATCTCTGCCCCAGGAAGGCCCCGGAGGCTGCTGTAGACAGTGAGGGGACTGGGAAGACCCAGGAGGGCAGGGGATGCTTGGAGCCTGGTGGCGAGAGCAGGGGTTCAGATCACAACGTCTGTAACGACAACGTCAGCAGACACATATAAAGCCCTTATTATGTGCCAGGCACTGTTACAACCATGAATATGTATCAACTCAGTCAATCCTCCAGTAACTTTGTGAGGAAAGTGCCATTATTATCCCTTGATTGCACAGATGAGGAAACTGAGACACAGGCTTCTGACTCCTCACACAGGGTTGAGAGTCCCCTGGGAGGTTCTGAGATTCTGGGGAATCCCCTGGGAAGCTGCCGCAGCCATCAGGTGAGACATAGTGAGACCTGGCCACAGGGGTCCCAGAGGGTCGTGGGGCTCTCTTGAGCCCTGAGGACCCTTAAGGCCCTGCAGACTTTCTCCCTCACACGTCTCTCTTATTTTAGCCTAGCTGTGCCCCAACTGCCTGCACCCCTGGACAAGGCCAGTGCAGAAACCCAGACCCCAAGTTCTGAGGCCGGAGGAGGCCACTTGCAGGCCTGGGCCCGCTCAGCCCCCAGAGCTCCTCTGGTGCCCTTTCCAGCCCCTGCAGGTGCAGATAAAATTAGGCCTAGAAGGCGAGAAGCCAGTTCACCTTCCCAGACTGGGGCAGTGACAGTGTCCCCAAGGCAGTGCCGGGAAGGGCAGCCTCGAGCAGATGGAGAGTGTGGGGGCAGGGTTGGGAGGCTGGGTCTAGACTGAATTGTCTAGACTGAATTGGAGGTGACCACAGGCAAGTCCTTAAGGTGGCCAGAGAGCAAATAGAAATACCAGACACCCAGTCACATTTGAATTTAATCCCGTGCTACTCACATTTCAGTGGGGTCCTGTGTTTTGTGTGGTGGCCCTCCCTGCAGCTCCAGGCCTGTTTCTTCACCTGCCAAGCCCGATGTACAGGCTGCCTGCCACACCCACTGGGGGTCCCCCCCGCTGTGAGGCTCTGGGGAGACATCGCCACATCTACTCATTCCGCACGCATGGCTGCACTCCCTCTCCAGGCCAGGCACAGATCTGGGTAGTGGAGTTAAGCAGGGAACAAAACCAATAAAAACCATTGATGTTAACTGGCAGACAGCTAAATTTTTTTTATTTTTATTATTTTATTTTATTTATTTTTTGAGATGGAGTCTTGCTCTTGTCACCCAGGCTGGAGTGCAATGGTGCAATCTCAGCTCACTGCAACCTCCACCTCCTGGGTTCAAGCAGTTCTCCTGCCTCAGCCTCCAAAGTAGCTGGGATTACAGGCATGTGCCATCATGACTGGCTAATTTTGTATTTTTAGTAGAGACAGGGTTTTGCCATGTTGGTCAGGCTGGTCTCGAACTCCTGACCTCAGGTGATCCACCTGCCCTGGCCTCCCAAAATGCTTGGATTACAGGCGTGAGCCACCATGCCCAGCCTAAAATTTTTTTAAAAAGTAAAACAAGTAGAAAGTAGATGGTAGTGTGGTAGAGAAAAAAAATGCAGTGAATTAATGATGGGGTGTATTGGGGGTTTCAGTGTTAAATAAGCGGGTCAGGGAAGGCCTGGCGGAGGTGTCTTTTGAGCAGAGACTTGAGGAGGTAGGATTGCCAGTGTGTAGATGTGGGAAGAGGAGGCCAGGAAGAGGCGCTGCAAGTGCAAAGGCCCAGGGGCAGGAGTCAGGAGGCCAGTGTGGCTGGAGCAGAGGAAGCCAGGGGAGAGAGGTAGAGAAGAGGGTCAGAGGGGTCTGTGTGTGTGTGTGTGTGAGAGACAGAGAGAGAGCGAGAGAGACTCTTTGGCTTCTCCTTTGAGTGGACAGGGGTCAATCCTAAACAATCTGTGAAGCTCAGTGCAAAATGAAATCTTGGGGCCCTTCTGAGCATGGAACTTATTTCGTGTATCATGAAGCCAGCCTTGGGGTCAAGGAATGAAACGGGGCCAGTGAGGATGTTTTGCATTTGTCAGGCTGGAGGTGACAGGGGTGCAGACAGTGGAGGTAGAGAGATGTGGCTAGACTATCCCCATTTTATAGATGGAGAAACTGAGTCCTAGGGGCTGTAAGTCACTAGCCTAAGAGCACACAGCTAGTAAGTGACCAAACCAGGAAGAAAACCCAGTTCAAGGCGTGTCCCCTGCTGTGTTTGCAACACCGTCTTGGTCTGCAGCCCCACCGCCACCTGCGGGGCACTTGTAGGTTCGTGCTGGCTGCACTCTTCCCAGTACGGGGGCCACAGGTACCTCCAGGTCTTCCTCTTCTAACTTATCTGTCCTGGTCTTCACTGCACTGCTGCTCGCCTGCTGCAAGGCCCCTCCGGCCACTGCCTCAGCCTTCACCTCTCACGTGGAGGACACCCTTATCCTCTGCACACCTGGCCTCTCTGAGGCACAGCCTTCCTCATGCCCCAACCCAGGCTGTGGCAGTTCCCCTGGTGATGGGGTGAGTCTGGCCCCAGTCTGAGAGCCCCTCCTCCCTCACCTCCCCACCTGCTCCCTGAACTTGGCTGCCCAGATATCCTTGTCCAGCGACTCCCTCCATCCACCTCTCTCCTCTTCTTGGCCTTCCCATGTTTTATCCTGATCAGCAGGCCATCTCCTCCAGGGAGCCCTCCCTGCTTGTGCAGCTGATGTTCTTGCCCTCTGCTGAGTTCCAGAGGCGCCTTGGTGCCACAGCTAGAATAATATTTATGTGTCGTAACACTAATGTAAACATGGGATGCTGAGTTAATAAAAACTGTAGTGTAAGTACAGAGGTGCCTTGGTTCCCTCCAATCTGCATCCTCCACCCAATTGGGCCGTGAGCTTTTTGAGGGTAGAGGATTGTCTCTTTGTCATTCCTTCATTTGTTCATTTATCCATCCATGCAGCACCTGCTAGGTACCAGGCACTGTGCTAGTTCTCGTGGGATTTATAATAAGAAATCAGAGATATGCTTCCAGTTAATCCCCACCGTGAACTAAGTACTATATCCAAGAACCCAACTAAATGTGATAGCAAAGGATGAAAAAGTGTGTGCCTGCAAGGACAGGGAGAATAAGCCAGAGAAGACTGCAGATGAGAGACTGCAGCTCAGAGAGGTGAAAAGAGACAGACAGGTGGTAACTAGCTCCCATCCAGCTTTTTCCACTCTGAGGCGGGCCGGCCATCAAGGGATCCAACAAGAAACAAGGTAAAAGTCTCTCAAACTGGAAGCCTCACATACATCCGAGGCAGGGGGGATCAGCTGAAAGCTCTCAGATAATGCCCTCCACCAAAATGAGGACAGAAGCCAAGAAAGAGAATGGCGTGGCGTCTGGGAGGCAGGAAGTCCAATTCTGGAGAGTGGTGGAGGCGAGTCGCAGGGCCTCAGGGCTCTGCAGGCCTGGAGAGCGCTCCAGGGAGGGAAGGTGCCGCCAAAGGAACAACAGACTGATCAGATTACCGGAGGTATGTGACTACCTGGAGAGGAGGTTTAAAGTCTGGTCAGAGAGTTTGGGGATAAACTGATGAAGATGCATAGAAAGCTCAGGGGCCGGAGCTTGGTGGCTCAGGACTGTAAATCCCAGCGCTTTGGGAGGCCAAGGTGGGAGGGTCACTTGAGCCCAGGAGTTTGAGACCAGCCTGGGCAATTTAGGGAGACCCATCTCTTCAAAAAACAAACAAACAAACAAAACAAAAAAACTGGCCAGGTGTGGTGGCACGTGCCTGTAGTCCTGTAGTCCCAGCTACTTGGGAGAATCTCTTGAGCCCGGGAGGTTGAGGCTGTAGTGAGCCATGATGGCACCACTGCACTCCAGCCTGGGTGAGACCCTGTCTCAAAAGCAAAAACAGAAACCTCAGGGAATAAACAACAACCAACAGGAAAATTAAACTTTAGGAACCAAAAAGTTTTTTTTGTTGTTGTTGTTTTTGTTTTTGAAATAGAGTCTCACTCTGTTCTCCAGGCTGGAGTGCAGTGGCGCGAACTTGGCTAACTGCAACCTCTGCCTCCCAGGTTCAAGCATTCTCCTGCCTCAGCTTCTCAAGTAGCTGGGATTACAGGTGCGTGCCACCACACCTGGCTACTTTTTGTGTTTTTAGTAGAGACGATGTTTCACCATGTTGGCCAGGCTGGTCTTGAACTCCTGACCTCAAGGGATCCACCTGCCTTGGCCTCCCAAAGTGCTGGGATTACAGGCGTGAACCACTGTGCCCTGCCCAAAAAGTTTTACATTAAAGGAAATATAATCCTAATATGCTGTATGGCTCAGCTAGAATAATATTTACGTGTCGTAACACTAATGTAAACATGGGATGCTGAGTTAATAAAAACTGTAGTGTAAGTACAGAGGCAGGATGGGGGAGGAGGAGTGGGCAGTGGGCCCGTTAAATCCTCCTAATGGGAAGTTAAAATACAATCTTTGCTAAGTCAATAGATAAAATCGAAAATAAAAGAGCCATAAATTTGTCGTGTATGCATATTACATAGAACTGAGTCGGCCAACAGAGGTGGAAGTAAGCCTGGGGCTGGGGAAGGGACAGATGTTCTTTCTTCATAGCCATGAAGTCCTATTTGACTTTTAAAAGTTATGTCCATGTCACTTTTTTCTTTTTTGAGACAGAGTCTCGCTCTGTCACCCAGGCTGGAGTGCAGTGGCGCGATCTTGGCTCACTGCAACCTCTGCCTCCCGCGGAGAGACTACAGGCACGCACCACTACACCTGGCTAATTTTTTGTATACACAGGTTTTTGCCATGTTGACCTGGTCTCAAACTCCTGAGCTCAAGCGATCCACCCGCCTTGGCCTCCCGAAGCGTGGGGTTTACAGGCGTGAGTCACTGTGCCCAGCTATGTGTCACTTTTATAACAAACTTATCTTTTTAAAAAAAGAAGGGAGGGGAAGGCCGGGCGTGGTGGCTCATGCCTATAATCCCAGCACTTTGGAAGGCCAAGGCAGGTGGATCATGAGGTCAGGAGATCGAGACCATCCTGGTTAACACGGTGAAACCCCGTCTCTACTAAAAATAACAACAACAACAAAAAACTAGCTGGGCGTGGTGGCGGGTGCCTGTAGTCCCAGCTACTTGGGAGGCTGAGGCAGGAGAATGGCGTGAACCCAGGAGGCGGAGGTTGTAGTGAGCCAAGATTGCGCCACTGAACTCCAGACTGGGTGACAGAGTGAGACTCCGTCTAAAAAAAAAAAAAGGAGGGGAAAGGAAAAACAGAAGCCCCTAGTATATGGGTCCATGCACCAATGTGGACCCCCCACCTTGCCCTGCTGAAGCACCAAAGGATGCGCAGTGCAGGTGGATCAGCACAGGTGGCATGGCTAAGGACTCAGAGAGGGACTGAGCCTGCGAGCCTGCGGGAGGTCAGAGACAGATGCCGATGTGAAAAACTAATCCGCACTAAGGGGTTAATTGCTCCATCTCTCAGCTATCACAAGGGCTCTTCAGCAGCTTGCTGATGCTCCATATATACTCACTAGCTAGAAGCTTTGACCCTACATTAGAAAGCAACCCCTGGGTGGGATGTAGCTCATGGTAGCCACCCCTGGAGAGGTGTTAGGAGTGCTCAGTGGAGACTGCACCCCTTCCCTTCCCCCATGGGTCATCCAGGCTCAGGGTCTTATGTTTCCCAGGTTCCATGTTGAATGCATGACCTGAAGGGTGAGGGTGCAGGTTTGCATATATAGTTTCTCATATGCACGTGTGTGCACAGGTGTGCACATGTTGACGTGTATGTGAGGGCATGTGCCTGTGTGAATGGTGTCTTCAGTGGAGGGGCGTGAGTCTGTTCACTCCCTGCACACAGGAACAGAATGGGGAGACTCAGAGCCTCCTTCTCCTGTTTGTTTTGTTTTGTTTGAGATGGAGTCTTGCTCTGTTGCCAGGCTGGAGAGCAGTGGTGCGATCTCAGCTCACTGCAACCTCTGCCTTCTGGGTTCAAGCGATTCTCCTGCCTCAGCCTCCCAAGTAGCTGGGACTACAGGTGCCCACCACAATGCCCGGCTAATTTTTGTATTTTTAGTAGAGACGGGGTTTTGCCATGTTGGCCAGGATGGTCTCGATCTCTTAACCTCATGATCTGCCCACCTCGGCCTCTCAAAGTGCTGGGATTACAGGAGTGAGCCATCGCGCCTGGGCCCCTGCAGATGTTTTTAGAGCTGGCCGTTAGCCAGAGCTGTGTAGCCCACAAAGGAAGTCCTGGGAGCCCCCGCCTGCTCTCTCGATGGGCCTCTGCCATTCTTCTTCACCACGAGACTACGCATCCTCTTCTCTCCTTTGACAAACCTACTTGTAGGTGAGACTCTGAGAGGTTTGCATTTTTAAAAAGGACAAAGTGTTAAGCTAAAGGAATGAATCTTTAACGGTGGGATTTCAGGCCTCTTCCTCTTAGGGGAGGTTTTATTTGTTTTGGCTCTGGCTTGGTTTTGGCAGGGAACCTCCCCTGTGTCCCTGGAGCCACCCTGAAGCCCTAAGATCCCTCCTGGAACTGTCAGCTGGGTCACTCTCCCCTTTCGACAGAGCATTTCCTGGGGTGGGAGTCGAGGTGGGGGACATCAGCTTCCTTAAGCTCCAAAGTAGCCCACCTGCCAGGGACCCATGCCCTCTCTGCTGAGCCTTCAGCCCGTCCCCTTCTCTCCTGCCTGCCCTGCTCTGATACAGCCTCCCCCAGGGGAGGCCAGGAAAGATCCACCCCCACTCCTGAGGGGCCGGGGCTGGCCAGGCCGCAGTGGGCAGAGGGCATCCCAGCCACCTCTGCATCTGACTCCACAGCTGTGAGACAGTGCCAGCTCTTACCTGGACTTAGCCCACCTCAGTCGCTGGGGATGCAGCTGCTCTCTCTGAATGGGAGCCTCCAAGAGTCAGATGCAGCAATAAGCCCCTCATCTTCTGCTGGGGCCCCCAGTAGTAGGCTCTGGGGGCTTTGTGCACCAGGGCAGGCTGCAGGGATGTATCAGGCTCTCCCCTCCTCTCCAGAGTGGGGGACAGTTTCATACTCTGCCTGTCACCTTCTCTCCAGGGCAGCCTTGTCTCAGGCCCCATGCTCTGCAGGCCTGCAGGGCCAAAGAGGGAGAAGCCTGGGTGTCTCTGTCTGGCCGAGCCAGCTGGGATGAGGGTCTGGGGACAGGGTTGCATCCCTGGCCTTCCCAGGGCCCAGTCTCCTCATCCTCAGTCTCCTGGCCCCAGGAGACCCCCAGTGGAGCTGAGAGGGCTCAGTGCTGGGGATGGGGCTCGACGGACCCTGGCAGCCTGCTGTGTGGCACTCAGAAGGGGAAGAAGATCTCAGCCCTAGCACAGAGGGCTGGGAGGCTCAGGCACAGAGAGCCTGGTCAGCAGGCCCCATGTTGGCCACACGAGTGACCCTTCTGGGGGCCTGAACCCAGAGCTCTGTCTCCTGGGACGCCAGCAACCCTGCTTCAGCCCCACAGCCTGCCCGGAGCCCTTGTGTGTTCAGCCTGGGGCTCCTCACTGGAGGCCTCAGAGCTCCCCTCTCCCGTGGCCCCAGCCCAGCCTGGCTGCTGTCCTTGCCCTGGCCTGACCCCTGCATGACACTTGTGAGAAGCTGTCAGCCTGGGCTTAGGGCCAGTGACTGGGGACTCTGCCCTGAAGCAAGGCAGCCTGACCCCGGTGTCACTCCTGTCCCCAGAACTGGTAGGGAGGTTGGCCTTCCTCCCCTCCTGCTGCACTGCTGACCCCTGCTGGCTACCCTCGCACACCCTCCCCACACAGGCATTTCTCCACAAGGATCTGCTGCTTGAATGCTCCCAGCACAGGGGGCTCAGCACCTTGCACAGCCTGCTCCAGTGAGAGACACTTCTGCCTCTCTGAAAAGTTCTTTATCATTAGCTGAAGTCTGAATATTAGTTACTTCTATCTGTTATTCTTAGTTATACTGTCTGTAGTCACATGTTTTCATAATAACAATAACAACAACAGATACTGTCTGTGTGCCAGGCGCTGTCCACTATGTCATTTAATCCATTCAACAGCTGTGAGATTGGTGCCTGTGTCATTCCCATTATACAGATGGGAACGTGAGGCCCAGAGAAAGCGTGTCGTCTAAGGCCACCCAGCCATGAAGTCAGGAAGCCACTGAACTTGGAATTGGAATCCAGGGCCCAGGCCTTGCCAGCTGTGCTGTGGACGGCACTGCCATCCCACACCCACCATCTGCTTGTCCCTCTCTGGCTGGTTCTTATTTCCCCACCAGGCCCTGTGGCCCCAACATGAACTCACTCCTCCTCCTCCTCCAGACCTTGCAGCTGGATTGACTCTGCCTCCTGGAAGCCCTCCAGGGACAGCAAAGAGTGAGGAGTGAGCCACCTGCCCCCTCCCTCCTTATCTTCTGACAGGGAGGGAAAAGGAGGGAAGGGGATAATGGGGTCATATCTGCATGTGGTGTTAGTGGGTCTTCAGTGAAGAGGGGTCTGATCCTACTGCTCCCCTCTCCTCCAGACCTGAGGTCCTCACTCAGAGCCTGGCAGGGCCCCGGGAGTCTGCATTTGGTGGGCTGGTCTGGGCTTGCTCTCACACTGACCCTTGGCAAGATGACCATGGCTGCGGCAATGGGGGTGACATCTTCCTACAGGTTCGTGCCCCGGCCCTGCCCAGCAGACACCAGGTTCTTTTGGGGTCTCAGTAGTGCTGAGAGGGCAGGGCTGGGGTACAGACTTCATTGCCCCTCAGAGGACAAGGAACAGGGAAGGGCATGGAGGGGCTTTCTAGGTTCCAGCCTCCCTGGAGCACAAGGTCACATGCGGAGTGAGGAGCTGTGTGGGAGCATGAGGGGTGGGACGACTCCGGGCAGTTCTGGTTCCCAGAGGTCTGGAGTCCCCCTTCCTTTTGTGACCCTTGGCCACACTCCAGGGCCACAGTTCTGCAGTCATGCTCAGGAACTTCAGCCTGGCTGCTACCTCAAACCCCTTCCATTTCTCAATTTAACACGGAGACCAGGCACACAGCTCCCCAGGGAGAAGTACCACATTCAGGAGGATTTGGATTCCTGCGGGTGAGAAACTCGGCCCAGCTTTCATCAAAAGCTTGCCTGGAATCACACTATCTCAGTGTAGGGCAAGACCTCAGTGCATGCATCCAGCTCTATCCATCCATTCAGGGCTAGCGTCCCTGCCGAGTGACCATGTAACTCTGCTTACATACCTCCAGTGACCTAAGCCTCACTACCTCTTAGGGCAGCCCAAAGCCTTCCTCCTCCTGTAGAGCTGGGGTTTGTTTTCAGAGGTGTTCACTCACAAAGCCCAGCCCTGCCCCCTTAGGCGTCCTCAGAACCAGCCTAACCCTCCCTCCTATAATGTTTAGAACAAGTGACCATCTTCCTGCTGAACCTTCTACCCAACCAGAGCCAAGAGAGAGGGCCAGTAAGAACCCCCTTGGAGAACTGGGAGGTGCCCTCCAGAAGGGAGAGAGGTATCTAACGTAACTAACTCCCAACCCTCAGCTGCTGCTGAAACTTCAAGCCCGGCCTTGTCAGCTTTGGTGGGAGAGTGGAGAGAAAGTTCTTGTAAAACTGACCTGTTTTCCCTGCACTTTGGGGGATCTCAGAGGCCCAGGCCAGACTTGCAAGGGAGATGTGTAAAGAGAGAGAGGGCTGGTGGTGCCTGGGCCACAGGGAAGGAGAGACAGGGTGTGGAGGAAGCTGTGTCCCTGCCCAACAGATCCTGGGCTTCAAACCCAGGTGCCCTGACTCCTGAGCCCCCACTGCCCTCCCCAGCCTGGGTGCTACACCTTTATTAATGCAGCCGCAGACCAACCCTGCCCCTGCCAGCCCCTGCCAGCCACTGTTGCCCATAGAACTGACCATCATCATTAAACCCCCAAGCCCACACCAACCTCAGCCCCCCACCCACTCCCCACCTCAGGCCTGTGCAGTCAGGTCTGTGGCCCCGACGGTGGCGGGTGTTTCACTTTTTTCCTCCTGTGAGCCTCATTCCTCCCAATTCCTCAGCACATGGAGGCAGGACACAAGTAAATAAATAAGGTGAAATAAACATGTTTGTCCCTGTTAAGTTTCATCTCATTAGATCTACCTCATCACTCCCGCCTGTCAGCTTCTCTTTAGATCCCAGCTCTGTCATCTGGCATATTTGCCATCGTTCCCTCCAGCTGTGTGGCATCTGCAAATTTGATAAAGTACATGGAGCAGGTTTGTCTCAGAGGAAGCCCCTCCCCCCACTGGGTGGCTGGAGCATAGGCGTGCGCGTGCGTGTCAGTGTGCCTACATGCGAGCATACACACACACGCACACGCACACACTTCCCTCTCTCTGGCCCGGGCTCCTCACTCCTGTCCAGTCACCTTCAAGATCCTGGTGGGGCCTGTAATCGCAGTACTTTGGCAGGCTGAGGTGGGCGGATCACAAGGTCAGGAGATCAAGACCATCCTGGCTAACATGGTGAAACCCCATCTCTACTAAAAATACAAAAAATTAGCCGAGTGTGGTGATGGGCGCCTGTAGTCCCAGCTACTCGGGAGACTGAGGCAGGAGAATGGTGTGAACCCGGGAGGCAGAGCTTGCAGTGAGCTGAGATCGCGCCACTGCACTCCAGCCTGGGTGACAGAGCGAGACTGTCTCAGAAAAAAGAAAAAAAAAAAAAAAAAAAAAAGATCCTGGTGGGGATCGTGGGCACCTGCTCCACACAGGGCCTGCATTGAGCAGCAGCATGCTGTGCACATGAGTCCCTGCGTGGGATGGGACGCTCTGAGATGTCCACCCTACCTCACTTCCACTTCCACTGACTGACCTGGTTGGGCCCTGCTGGCTTCTTCCACCAAGCTTTGGTCAAAGCTGACTGGCTGGCATGGGCCCCGGCTCTCCTGGGACTGCTGTGTGGCCCTCCCTTCACTGCTAACCTGCCTGTGCAGCACCCAAACGTGCAGCCTCATCCTCTCTGCTGCGGCTCTGGCTGCTGCTGGTGGAGCTGGCATGGCTGCGTGGCATGAGGACTCCTTGCCTATGCACCTACTGGGCGCCGCTTCTTTCATTCTTCTCTTCAGGGGACTCCAGACCTTGTGTAGGTGGTAATTGCACAGCGAGGGTAGCCAGCTTGGAGGGATTGGCTGCAGTGCCTCACTACAGAATCTGCCAGACACTGCCCTGGTCTCTGCACCAAGGCTTAGCAGAGCCAAAACATCCTACGGCCTGGATACGCCTTCCGGAGTCTTCACATCCATTCCCCACCTTCCAGGCACTGAATGTTGGTGGGTAGAGGACTCAGGTGTTCCCCCGCCTCCCCTACTGCAATGCGAGTGTGTGTCCTCCCCTCACGGAAGATGGCGATGGCCAGTTACCTGTGCCGGCTATCACGGGCCATCGGGTGCTGCAGTAACAAACCCTGGATTCTTGGTGGCTTATGACAACATCGGTTGGTTTCTTGATCACACGGTACCTTATGGGGCAGCTAGAGCTCCTGCTCCCAGTCGCTGTTGCTCTGGGACCCAGGCTGAGGGGCAGCCCCCAGCTGCAGCACCATGCCCTGACAGAGGCAAAGAAGGGGCTCTTAATGGTTGTGTCTTGAAGTGCCATTTGTCGCTTCCGTTCACATTTCTTTGGCTAAAGCAAGTCATATGGCCATGCCTACTTTCAAAGGGGTGGGGAAATCTAATCTTTTCTGGTGCCAGAATTTTGGCAAATGGCTTCAGTGACTACTCTGTATATGAGCTGTTCCTATCCCTCAGGGTTGCCCCCAGTTCCCACAATACCTCTTGGATGCTCATTCTGGGTCCAGTGTAGAATGTCCTTCCCCTCCCACCTGGGGTCTGCGTACCCAGGGTTTGCCCTGGGTGCTCTCCTTTGCTCTGCAATGCATATCTCCCCTCTCCTCTTCTGCTCCCAGTGCCCATCCCTTCCTTTGAGGGTTGCTCCTCTTCCCTGTGCCCTTATGATTCTGACCAGCCGCCAAGCATGGTTCTGTGCCCTGACCCAACGGAGGCACGGGGCTCGGTCCTCCCCCGCCTGTGCCCCACCATGGTGCTCCATCCCAGGGATTGGTTGGGAAGTGGGTCCCTCCTTCGTCTCATATGTGTCCTCTAGAAGGGACCTCTAGAAAATGTGGCTCATGCCCAGGACCTGATACTTCCCCTGCCCCTGGGTGGAGCTTCTCTGAGGCCTGCCACCCTGCCTCTAGTGGATTGGTTTACGTGAGCCAGCACATTCACCTTGTGCTGAAGTTTGTCTGAGTTGTGTTTCTGGGGGATCTTGTCCATTCTTGTGTTAATTATCTATTGGGAGTAACAGTCTACCCCCAAACTTAGTAGCTTCATGGTATAACATTTCATAAAAACTTCACACACACACACACACACACACACACACGCACGCACACACACACAAAATTGTTGAAACCCAGATACGGCCTGCACCTAAGTTAATAGGATTGTATCAAGGTCAGTTTCCTTGTTTTGATAGTATGTTGTGGTTATGTGGGATATTATCATTGGGGGAAGCTGGGTGAAGGGTACACACGAACTCTCTGTACTATTTTTGCATCATCTTGTGAGTCTTAAACTATTTCAAGTTAAAAAGTAATAATAGGAATTTGGTGGCATAAGACAACCATTATTTACTTATGCTTCCACCCTTTGGGCAGTGTGTGGTGGGAACAGCTTATCTTTTCACATGGTGCATCTGGGCTGGTACAGAGTAGCTGCACTCACGCATCTGTTGTGTCAGCTGGGATGCTGGAACGGTGGGGCTGGCCAGGCATCTCTCCCCACAAGGCATCTCCAGCTGGGCAGCTGGACCTCTTTCTATGGAGACTCAAGGCCTAAGAGGGCAAAAGGGGAGGCAACGAGGCCTCCTGAGGCCTCAGACCGGAGCTGGCCAGTGTCCTTCTCACCACATTCCACTGGTCAGTGCAGTCATGGGGCCAGCACAGATTCAGGGGAGACAAAATAGACTCCACTTCTTGATGAAAGGAGTGGCAAGGAACGTGTGGCATCTTCAACCCACCGCCATTGCCAAGTATGTCAGAGACTTCTGAGTTTGTCAGCTGAGATCTAGTCCAACTTTCTCACTTGGGATGAGGAGATGGCAGCTGGAGACAGGAAGAGGGTCAGCCACATGGGAAGTGTCATGGACTTAGGGACAGAGCTGGACTTCCAGCCAGGGCTCATCCACCCTCACCCCATCCAAGCCCTCAGCTCCACGGGTGGGACAGCCTCACCAGCCTGGCATAGCTGCTGGATTCTGTTTTGCACATGTTGGTGTTTGCAATCAGAAAGTTCAGCGGTCCTTCCAGTGTGCTTAAATTAGTCCCCATGAAAACCAAATCATTTCATTTGCAGAGAAGGGCTTAATTGCAAGGGGAACGAGGCAAAGGGAATTCTGTTGCCTGTTTTCATTGAAGAAAATTACTGTACTTTCCTCTGTCTCCTTACTAAACAGAAGCAGCTTAGAAATTGGGCTGTAATCATCAGTGATACCTCCTTTACCCTTTCTTCTCAGAGGTTGTTGTTCAGCTCTTTCCCTGTTCCAAGACTGTACTCGGGACTGTTCCTACTTATCTGCCCGGCCAGGGCAGCCCAGTCCTGGTCCCTTAGTGGGTAACGCTTTCACGGTTTGCAATATAGCCATCCGTCCCTGGAATCTCACCACACCTTCACGATGCTGAGACAATCACCCTGACTTCATGGAGGAGCCTCAGTGATGAACTGGGCCACACTCTTGGCAGGAAGAAACATCCCATCACTTTCTTTAGAAACCAAGTTAAACCTGCTTCAAGCTCTCACTCACAGGGCTGGTGAGAAGTCATGTTTTAGAGGGCCTTCCTGGCCAGCGTCTTATACAAATCCTGGAGTTTGTGTGGTTCTGTGCCCGGCCTCTAGACCATCTTCACCACGGCTTCTTCTGTCATGTGGTGCTGGGGGCTAGGCAGGTCCTCGGGGCTCCCCTGGCTGTTCCACTCAAGGAAATGCAAGTAAACACAGCTGCTCCTGGCCAATTTGTCTGGCTAGTCTGGGAGACTTGTCCCATCTCATACAGTCCAGCCTGGTCCCCTCTGTGGTCAGAACAAGGCTGCCTTCCCAGAGATAGCCTGCAGGGGGCGGGGTGTGTGCTGCAAGGCAGTGGGAGGGCTGGGGCTGTGGCAGATCAGAGTCACTCAGATTGGAAAAAGAAACACGAGTAAACAAAACCAGCCTGAAAGGAAACTGGAGGAATCCAGACGTTAGAAACTCAGTGCCAGGTTGGGCACGGTGGCTCATGCCTGCAATTCCAGCACTTGGAGAGGCCAAGGCAGGAGGATTGCTTGAGCCCTGGAGTTTGAGACCAGCCTGGGCAACGTAGTAAAACCCTGTCTCTACAAAAAGACAAAATTAATCAAGCATGGTGGCATGTGCCTGTGGTCCCAGCTACCCGGGAGGCTGAGGTAGGAGGATTGCTTGAGTGACGGAGGCTGCAGTGAGCTGTGATTGCACCATTGCACTCCAGCCTGGGCAACAGAGCGAGTCTGTCTCAAAAACAAAACAAAAAAACCTCATTGCCAGGTTCTTCTCCTTCTGGGATCGAGGTTTCCATTAATCTATTTCTTGAATATTTATTGAGTGCCTCCTGTGGGCCTGGCAGTGTTCTGATTGCTGGGGACACAGCAGTGAATGAGCCAGACAGAGGCTTGTGTAGTAACTCACCTAGATACAGGGATAAAGTGATTTGCCCAAGATCC
This sequence comes from Homo sapiens, assembly GCF_000001405.40. NCBI lineage: Eukaryota > Metazoa > Chordata > Mammalia > Primates > Hominidae > Homo > Homo sapiens. The sequence goes on from NC_000006.12 coordinate 33,769,363, forward strand.
CAGCCACTGAAGGCCAGAGCTGGTCCTGAGGATGCTGAGCCCTAGGCCTCCACCCCCACCCGTGTGCAGCGTCACTCCTGGGAAAACATGGGGGCGCCAGGTGGCATGGTGCCCACGGGGTCCTCCCACCTGCCCTCATCCCTTGCCTCTGTGTCCCTGCACATCATGGGACCCTCTGTTCAGACTCTCTGCTTGTGTCTAGAACTTTCTCTGGGGATGGGTGGAGAGGCTGGCCTGGCTGCCCGGGGAGGACTGTTTTGGAACAGTTGGGTGACTTAACTGTATAACCGCTCTCCCGCGCCTTCCTTTTGGGGGAGACCGACAGGATAATGGATTTGAGTCCACACACCTGCCTCAGCAAAGGGATTTTTTTTTTTTTTGAGGCTCAAAGTCAATGGTGTATTAATTAAGGGGGAACAGCTGCTACCGCAGCTCTTATGATAAGTCAGTGACAAATGGCCATGTTTACCATCTTCTTGAGTCGAGACTCCGGAAGGTGGCCTGGAGCTCCTTGGTGGATGTCCATGGCTGAGATTTGTGGGGTACAGCCTCCCCTTCCCTGCCCCTGAAGCTTCTTTATCGGTGTCCACTGTGGCCCGAGAGGGCCGTCTGTCACCGAGAAAAGACAGGTCTGCAGCCCAGGGAGCTCTCTGAAGGGATTTGGGCAGAGAAACTGGGATCTCAGCAATCACTCCAGCCCACAGATGCCCTTGGACAAACCCACCGCCCCATACTGTCCCTTGTGAAATAAGAGCTGCTTGAAAGGGGACTTGGCCCTGAGAAGCTGAGGAAGGTGGAAAGCCTGCTCTGAAATGTCTGCAGCCTGAGTGAGGCCGAGGACACACCTCGGGGCCTCTGCGCCAAGGCGCTCTGTGTTCCAGAAAGGAAGAAGCTGGGCTGGCAGGGGCCTTTTGTTATTTAGTTTATTTTGATCTCGCTCCTGCTCTCCAAACAGCTTCACAGAAATAGAGCCTTGCATTAGCTCCCTTCTCGGCTTAAAACAAAACGTGGCAGAGGGAAAGTCTTTCATGAGGAACAGAAAAGGGAAAGACAGGCTCATTTTTTCCCGAGTTGCGTTTCCAGGTCCTTTGACTATGGACCCAACTGTGTGACTCTAGTGACGAGGATAACAGGCTGGTGCTCACTGTGAACGGGAAAGGTGACCACAACAGCCCACAAGCCCCATGGGGCATGGCAGGACTGGCTGCCTTCTTGGGGTGACTGACCTTGGGGCCTCTGCAAAAGGAAGGACAGCAGTGAGATCCAGAAGCACACTCAGCAGCCCTGGCAAGGGAACCCTCATGTGCCTGCCAGACCGCATGGGTGGGCAATGAGTGGGCTTCCCTATGGTTGGGCCTCAGAGGAGACAAAGAAGTCGGCCTCATGAAGGGACGCTACCAGCTGCTGGGAAGCCCCATCCAACCTCACCCTGTTCTTTCTTCCTCCTCCTCCCAGGGCTGGTGCTGAGCACCTGAGGGGAACCTCTGGGTCTTGAGGGGAGGCAGAAATGGAGCCAAAGGAAAAAGGCCCCACTAGCCCCCACTTCTGGCCACCCACTGGGACCAAGGAGGCACCCTGCATGCTGCAATCCTCATAGCCACTCTGTAAGACAGGGTCATCACACGTTACAAATGTGGAAACTGAGGCTGTGAGAGTTATGCAGCTTACTCGAGAACTGGTCACTGGGTGGCAGAGGCCAGAGGTCTGGGAGGAACTGCAGAGCCCACGTCCTGCTGTCTCTCCCACCTTCCCTTCCAGCCACCTCCCAGAGCTGGTGCTTAAGGAGTCCACACATTGCCATTCCTTAGACATAGCTTTGGGGGAAGGGAAAGAACCATGGGCAAGAAACATCCGTTTTTAATAAATAGTTTATTCATCCAGCAGTTTCAGCCCTGATACTGAAGCCTGTTGCGGTGTTTCTTATTTTTCTGGCTGGAGCCTGATTATGAGAACATGGCCTCACCACGGGGCCAGCGCTCAGATTCCTGCCCTGCCGATCATCCAGACATCAGAGGAAATGAGAGTATTGCTCAAATGAGGGAGACTGGAGCTTTATTAAGGAAACAAAAAATACCAGTAAGACTAGAGAGGGGTGGTTAATGTTTCTGGAGGCAGCTGTGGAATTTCCTGTTTGCTCCCCCTCTCCTGCCTGCCGCAGATGAGGACACACGGGGAAGACTCGCTGGAGAGGCTTCTCGCACTTAATAAGGCCCCCCGTCGGGGTGCTTCTGGAGCCTGCCTCCCAGGGAGCAGGCTGAGGAGCTGGCGGGAGGGCCGGTGGGCGGCGGCGCGGACGCTGCTCCCTTGTGGCCGGCAGGGGGCAGCCTGCAGCCACTGCGCCTCTCCCGCCGCCAAGAGCCGCGGCCGGGGTAACAGAAACGCCGGCTGCGCTGAAGTTCTTGTTAAACAGCCCCGCGTCGGGGCTGTGGTCACAGTAAAGCAAGGCGATCTTCGCACACAGCAAGTGCGAGGCTCTGGGCCCTGACGCAGGGCTCCCAAGCTCCCGGAATCGGCGTTCTGGCTGCAGGCCTGGTCTAGAGTCGCAGCTTCTGTGAGAAGCAACACTGAGGCGGGCCCGCCCGCCCTGGGGCTGCCCGACCCTCCTCTCTGCTCTCAGCCCCAGTCCCTACTTCGGGATCCTCCCAGGAGGCTGTGCCGGCTGCTCACTCCTCCTGACCTGAGGGACCGTGTGTCTGGGCCTGGTGTTTCTAGACGGTCCCCCCTACAGTCACTTGTTCTAATTTCTAGCACCTTCCCTCTTCAGGATAGAGGCCCAGCCAGCCAGAGCACAGGCTTTCTCCCTTCACCCTGGAGCTCTCAAGTAACAACCCCCTGAAGGCACATGGACCAAGCTGCTCCCCATCCCGCCACCCGAAACACCATCCCTGCCCCACCTCCCAGGTGACAGACTCCCTGGCGTGGCCATGCCCCAGCCCACCAGCCCCACGCTTGTCAGCTGGGCCTGACAGCTGCTGCTCTTGTTTTCTATTCATGAAAACTCAACCCTTCTCCCCGTTTCTGCCAGCACAACAGGGCAGAGTCTGGGCTATCACCCTGGCTTCTCCCCCTCCCTTTAAAGGAAGCCCACATTTTCCTGCGAGCCGAACTCCTCTGAAGAGTATGGCAGACCTTTGGAATCGTGTCAGGACGAGACTGAAAGTCAAGGCAAGTGTGAATTCAGCACCGCAGGCCTGGTGACCCTCCTGTGCCTCTGGAGTGGGCTGTCCTGGGACAGGCTGACCGGGAACAAGTCCCCGCCCGGGGCTTATCGCTCTGAGTCAGAGAAGGAAGAGGGCTTAGTCCATCTCCACACCAGCATGTCCTCTCCTGCAACGCGGTGGGACTCCGTCTGGATCCGGGATTCGTTGGAGGCCAGGAACTCCACAGCTCGGTCCCAGACACGCTTCATGCGCCTCCTGCAATGAGAGGGACGGGGCTCTGCCTGGCACTGCCGAGGTGAGCCAGCCTGTGGATGCCCCTCCTACAAAGGGCACACATTTCCAGGCTCTGGCATGGAATTTATGTAAGAGAGGAAAAGCTGGCAGGTACTAACATGACAACTGCAGAGGAGAAAAACGTCTTGGGCCATAGAGAAATGATTCCTCAACCTTCACTGATCCAAACACATTCAATTAAAGGGAGCTAAAGGGCCGAGGTGTCTGGAGCACCCCCAGGTCTCCAGGTGTGCAGGGCTGTGCTAGGCTAGCTGACTCTTGCTGGGACCTGTTGCCTGCGCAGCCCTTGCCAAGCCAGTTCCAGTACCCCGCCAACTGCATCTTGATGCTGCTCTGGGTGGGCTCATTGAAGAGTGAGCACTGGGCTGTTTCATCTAAGCTCCACAGCACTCCAGGGGATGGGATGAGCTAAGCATCAGACGGGGGAGGCCAAGAAGCTGGAGCTGCTCTAGGGAACCAGAGCCACAACGGAGGGCCCCTTCAGTGGCCAGAGTCCCTTCTCTGCTGGGTCTCTAGGGCCTTGCACCCCCCTGGACAGCCTTCCCCTCATCTCTTCTTCCCCCCTTCCAGACTGGACAAGAAGGTTCCAAAGCCATGGGGGAGGGTCACTTTGATCTTCTCCCTTTGTGAAGCATGGTATTGCACAGCCCCCAGCCTTTTCTCATCACTGCAGCCCACCTCCCCATGACACCACACGTGGAAAGACAGTGACTGTGAGTGTGTACGCATGGGAGCAGAAGGGGAGGACAAACGGAGGTGGCCAGTGAGTCAGGAGGCGGGGGGGGGGCTAGGGCTTCCCCAGGGGTCAGGACCTGTCACCAACCAAACCCCATGGGCCTATTCAGCAGCCCCAACTTGGCTGGTCTGGCCGAGGCCACACATTCCCTGGGGACTGAGCTCCAAGGTGCTGGGTCCCTGAGCAGGAAGCGGCCAGTGTTGAGTGGGCAGTGTCTCACTCCAGCCCCTCCTTCCCAGGCCAGTTCTTCTCATCTCCCTCAGTCTTTCCCAAGCAGGCCCTCATCTACAGGGCAGACCTGACTGGCTAGCCAATGTCTCCTGACGTGGGGAGCTTGGCCTGGACTGACTGGGTGGCTTGGGAGGTAAGTCAAGAGAGCAAACAGAGCATGGGCGTCTGGGGTTCACATGGCTCTGACCCTGAGGGCCGGCTACCTGAGTGGCAGCAGCTCTGGGTATCTATGCTAATGCACGAAGGCTTGGGTGGTAGCTCCGGCTGCAGGCAAGCTGCAGTGCCGTCTCATGCTCTTATTTAAGCAAATATGTGTGTGGAATATCATTTAAGCCCAAGGCATAATGGCTACCCTTGGATGATGCCCACGTGCTAGGCACTGACTTTTTTTTTTTTTTTTTTTTTGAGATGGAGTCTCACTGTGTCACCCAGGCTGGAGTGCAGTGGTGTGATCTCAGCTCACTGCAACTTCCGCCTCCCGGGTTCAAGTGATTCTCCTGACTCAGCCTCCCGAGTAGCTGGGACTACAGGTGACTGCCACCATGCCCGGCTAATTTTTGTATTTTTAGTAGAGACGGGGTTTCACCACATTGGCCAGGCTGGTCTCAAACTCCTGACCTTGTGATCTGCCCGCCTTGGTCTCCCATTTTTTTTTTTTTTTTTGAGACAGGGTCTCGCTCTGTCACCCGGGCTGGTGTGCAATGGCATGATCTCGGCTTACTGCAACCTCCACCTCTTGGGTTCAAGTGATTCTCATGCCTCAGCCTCCTGAGTAGCTGGGATTACAGGTGCATGCCACCATGCCCGGCTAATTTTTGTATTTTTAGTAAAGATGGGGTTTCACTATGTTGCCCAGGCTGGTCTCGAACTCCTGACCTGAGGTGGCCCACCCACCTTGGCCTCCCAAAGTACTGAGATTACAGGCATGAGCCACCGTGCCTGGCTACTAGGCAGTGACTTAATGAACTTTGAGGCCACCACCCTGATACCAACCCCCCTTCCCTTAGGGCTTGTCACTACCTAATATCACATCTTTTCCTTATGCATCTTGTCATCTGTCTCCTTCCTGAGAACAAATGCTCCAGCTGGACAGGGATTTTTGTTTCTTCCACTTCCTGCTGTCTCCCTGTGACCCAGTAGGGTGTCTGGCATGTAGTAGGTGCTCAATAAACATTTGTGGAGGAACTGAATGAATGAATGAATGAATGAATGATAGTCTCTTCGTCACAGCCCTGTGCAAGGCAGCGGGATCACCTGCATTTTAGGATAAGGAAACTGTGGCACAGGTTGACTGAGATGCTCATTGTCACGATACTCCTGCCAGGGCCAGGAATTGGGTGGGAGTTTGAGTACCCCAAGTCACCCTCCCTGGGAGGTAGAGGGCCTCACGCTGAAACCAACAGCAAGCGCTCCTCAGAGCAAGCACAGCCCATGCTGCTGTGAGTCTGCTCACTCTAAACTTCCTGCCTGCCACCTTTCCAGGGGTGAGGTGAGCATGACAGGCAACAAGCACCTTCATGTTTAAGATGGACCTTTTTTTTATTTTTTTAAGAGATAGGGTCTTGCTCTGTTGTCCAGGCTGATGTGCAGTGGCATAGTTATAGCTCACTGTTGCCTCGACCTCCTGGGCTCGAGTGATCCTCCTGCCTCAGCCTCCTGAGTAGCTGGGACTACAGGCATGTGTCACCATGCCCACTAATATCTATTTTTTGTAGAGATGGGGTTTTGCTATGTTGTCCAGGCTGGTCTTGAACTCATGGGCTCAAGCAATCCTCCCACTTTGGCCTCCCAAAATGCTGGGATTACAGGTGTGAGCCACTGTGCCTGACTTAAAGTGGACTGCTAACGGCTCTATTTTTCTGATTCCTCTTGGGTTGCAGATAGGGATGATGTTGACAGTAGAGCCTGGTGGCGGGAGCACGGAAATGCCACTAGCCATGGGACTCTTGAGCACATTCCTCTACTTCCCTGTGCCTCAGTTCCCTTATAGGTAAAATGGGGCCACTTCTGTTGTGTGCGTGAACCATGGTGAGGACCAAGTGAGTGAGTTTGCATCTGTGGAGAGCTCCAAGTAGTGCCCGGCTCCCAGGGAGCACTCAGCAAGGGTGAGCTCTCAGCATCACCCAGCAGATGACAGCATCTGGCCAGAAACCACAGCAAGTGTCTGCTAGGGAGGGACCACAACCAGAGCCAACACTGGGGGGGGCCCTGCTGGCTGTCTCCTGGGACTCTGCCCTCCCCCACCCTGGTTCTGTCAGGACCCCAGTGTACAACTCCAGCAGTCACAGCCCATGTGGAAGGTGCCCTGCAGCTGCACATGACAGTGGCCCTGCCACCCCTTCCCATGAAGCTATGTGCCCTGGAAGCTGACCCCATTCATGTTGTGAAACTTTGCTTTCAATTACATGTATATGCATGAGTGTACGCATGCGTGTGTGGGAACTGGACCATGATGTTGCAGGTAACAGGTGTTTTTGACTGCAGGTCATGGTTTAAAAAGTTTGAAAAACAATTTCCTCCTCCTTGCCAGTGACTGATTCATAAACAGACATGTAAGAGATTCTGGTCAATAAAGCCTCAAGGAGTGTGTCACTGGAGGCTACTGGGAACATGTTCTCTTGCTTATAAGACAACAATAGGCCTACTTTTCCCCTGCTGGCTGTGACAAGGCAGACAGTGCCCCAGCTGCTGTTGGCCACCATCTGCAACCATGAGGGACCCCAGTCTGTTGATAACATCCATGGAGGAGTGTGGGACCACGAGAATCACAAGAGCAATGGAACCGGAGACCTGACTGTTCTGTGCCTGGAGCCCATGCAGCTCTGAACTTCCACTTACAGAGACTGAGGAGATCCTTCACTACTTGTGCCCTGGGGGAGGGAGCTGCTATTACTTGGAGCCCAAGGCCTCCTAACTGGTATCACCACTGCCAGTGTTCTCTCTACAGAGGTGTGGGATTGTGCTTTCATATGTCTTTTCTAGCTCATCCTGCCATAAAGAGCCGAGCATGCTGGGGAGCAGCAGGAGTGGGAGCAGAGCCACTCTTGGCCCTGGGGTCTGCACTGCCCTCAGCTGACATCTGATGCAAGGCTCTGGGTTTCCTTCTGGGGAGCTCAGTGGGGTCGGACCCCATCTTACCTCACACCCAGCGCCCCAGCCAGGGACTCACCGGCTCTGTGGAGGGATCAAGCTGTCGCGCACGTGCAGGATGCCTACATATGGATAGCGCTCCATGTCCTGCTCCCAGTCCACGTAATGGTCCTGGACCACGTCTGCAGGAGAGAGCACACCATTTAGGGCAAGGACCCTCTGGCTGGCGTCGGCAACCCTTTATTCACCAGGGGGCCACGCACCTATAATCTTCTTCACCATCTCATACATGGCTTGTTCCTCCTCTTCTAACTTTCGCCACCGATATTTTAGGAGAATTAGGAGCCCCCACAAAAAAGCCAAGCCTGTGAGGGAACAAAACACTGTTAATCCCTCACACTTCATTTGGCAGTGGGTCTCACCATGGACAAGATGCTGTGATGGATGCTGTGGGGGATCCACCACATGGGTTTGGGTACCTACTATGTGTCAGGCTCAGGGCCAGCATGCGAGAAACAAAAGATACAGAAATGCAGAGGGACGACAGATTATTAAGTGATCATCTTCCTCCCACCGGCTGTCACCACAGCGGCATCCCCAGCCGTCCAGATCTCGGCTCCTCCCAACCTCATTCTGGGGCTTTCATCTCCTCCCTTGTGAACCAGAACACAGTGTTTCATACATATATACATGCCGGGGCCCTTTGTATTCCGAGATGCTGCTGCCGATAATGATTTCTGTGCCTGATGGCACAGGGGAGGGAGCTGTGTGCACACTGAGGCGGTCTGTGATTTGTAGCTCCAACTATCTCTGGAAAGCCGTGGTTTCTGTGACTTGGCCTTTCGCCTTCAGAGACGCCCTGAGGTCTCTGCTCAAAGGCGGCCCCCGATGTCAGGGGATAAGACTGGTGCCCTCCTTTCAGTGCAGCACCCTGAGTCCTTCTTGCTTTCATCAGGTATCTGTAGCTCTCCAGGAGATGTTTATATTTTTCAGGGAGTAAAAGTAGGCCAAGCCCCTGCTGTGCCTCCTGCTCGAAGCTGGTCCACACTGGGATCCCTGCAGAGCCCAGAAGGGGTGGGGCCCAGCTCCTGCTCAGGCCAGGCTCCCGCTCAGGAAATCTGACAGTCCCCTGCCCTGAATCAAGGACATTTTCTAGTTATCCTCACGGATTCCTGCCACCAATCTCCAAAGGTAAATACAACCCAGGGCAGAGGCTGACTTGTTCATCTCCTCTGTTTTATGAGACAGACCTCAGGTTCACTAGACAGAAATGAACCCTCCGGGCCTGGAATTTCTATAGCTCATCATTCATGCCTAGGAGTATGCTTGACTGCACAGAAGGGGAGGGAAGGCGGCCGAGGACTTACACCAGAAGAAGATGAGCACGTTGGTGACAGCAGTGAGCAAGGCCCGGCTCAGGCGGCAGCCAACACCCATGCGGGGGTGGGCAGATTCCAGGCAGACCACCTTGTCCACAGTCGTCACCAATTCAGACTGGTCTTCTCCTTTCAACCTGAAACAGGACACAGGGCTCTGAACATGTTGGAAAGCTCCAAGGAGAGGCAGTGCAAGCCCCACTTCAAACAGGAGGAAGCGAAGGAAAGTGGGGACGCAAGGCCTCTACTTGCTTATAGAATAGGCTTGGTATCCTGGCTGCATTCTTTCCAGAAATTTCCCACATTGGCTACTTAGAATGAATAAAGCTTTAAAGACGGCAGCAGGCTTGAACCCCTACCGCTAAAGCAACGTCCCCCTGTCAGGTCTTTGACAGCCTCTCTCAGCATGCAGGAGATTAAACTGTAAATTGGATTCCCACCTCCCAGCATAGAGAAATGGAAATGTTTACTGAATCACTAGCTTTGCAATTGCATGGCAAGAACTGAAAGACAGAATCTGGGAGGTTGCACTTTTCCTCGGTGACAAGGAGGCACATAAGCTGTTTAAGTGTAAAGATCATGGGGCATCCATGAGGCTCATGGGGAATCCGTGAGGCTCATGGGGAATGAAAACCACCAGGCTCTCCGAGGCCAGACCCCAGCCACGGCGCCTCCACCATGGTCTCTGGCCAGGAGGTGTCAGGACCTGCAGAGGTGGGGACACCAGAGCCTTCTTCCAGCTAGGTGACCCAGGGCGAGAATATCATGCTCTTGAGGCTGCATGCTGGAATGGCTGGCATCCCAAGTGTCCTGATTTCTCAGGACCCACTTTCAATATGGTCATCCTGAGCGGCTCTGCCACCCTCCAGGCTGCCTTCCCCAACATGAAAAGGTGAGTGTCATCATTCTTCTGTGTTAGCAGCTTCAGTGAGCGCTGCTGCTGAGGATAAAATCCGTATTCTCCTCCGCCTTTTCTAACACAGGAAAATTGCTCAGCTACTCAGGGCAGCTTTTTTTTTTTTTTAAGCCAACAAATTTTAATCGTGCCATGCATCCAGTTATCCAGCTTGAGGTGGAGCTGCCCGAGGGGCTTCTGCTGGATGCAGTGCTGATGGAATTAGTAATTTGGGTGGATTAGAGAGGAAAAGAACAAAACTCTAGAGACGTTTTAATATCAAGAGCTATAACCTGAACAGAGACCCCCACAAACACCGAGAGTGGGAAGTGGGGAAGTGATGCTGCTCTGCCAGCAGGGGACAGGTCTCTCAAGGCTGCCTGGCTGTTGGCTGACACGCCCCTCCCCCTGGGCTGAGCCGCCAGATACAGCCTTTCAGCCTCATGAAAGGGTTTGCTACCTTTTCTAACAGTGCTCACCAGTGATAAAAATGAGGCAGAAACTGCCTGGTCAGAATAAAATCCAGTATTTCCTTATGCGATTTCCATAGTAAGTAAAACCAACATACAGAAAGAATAATTTCATCTACAAATAAAAACTAGCTCCCGAGGAGGGGAAGTGCAGAAAAATGCCTTCCCCAACAAACCATGTGGTGTTGTTGATGAATGAGAAAGGCACAGACTGAGTTACCTGAGACAGGATTTAGCTGGAACACCAGGCTAACATCCTAACACCTGGATTTTGTGTCTCATCTTGAAGCTGCTCCTTACACTGCATTCCAAATGCTTCTTGCTTTTGTTGCCCCACTTCCATCCTAACCCACATGATTCTGCTGGGAGACCCAGCCTCCAGCTTCAGACCTGAGACAGCTCTGTTGGAGCACGGGTGTTAGCTGACGAGCGAGGACAGTGGTTGCAGGCACCCATGCTGCGTCGCCACCCTGCCCACACTCACCAGATGCCCACGTCCTTGTTACTGCTCAGTATCCAGGTCAGTGCGGCTTCAAACTTGGCGGAGGAGCTGCTGGTCACATTCTGTGGGAGGGCGCGGGAGAAGGTTAGTTCGGCGTCTGGGCGGAGCAGCTGGAACATTATTCTGCTGCTGGATTAAGGAAGCCCTCTCCCGTGTCCTCCACAGCCCCAAAACCCTGTTCTGCTAAAAGCACAGCAAAGTGGCAGGAAGGAAATCGGGGGTTGATGAAAGCCAAGGAAGAGGCTATAACCAGAGGAGGTGATGCGGAAGCACAAGCAGGAAAACAGTGCGGGTCTGAGGCGGCCAAAAGAATATGATTCTCTCGAGGATGGAAGCATCAGGCCAGAGAGCTGGCAGCTCATCTTAGGGTAAAGCGAATAACAGCGTTGTGGCTGGGGGTGGGTGAGCCCAGTGGCCGGTGCAAGTGGTCTGGCCTCAGGCAAGTCCCTGACCCTCTCCAGGCCTCAGTTTCTTCATCTGTGAAATGCAAATGGAACCAGATGACCCCTAAGTTACTGGACAGGCAGGCGACCTGGAATACCAGCTCCATAGTTCTATAATCTACCATCCTGAGGCCACACAGGAAATCAGACGGCCCCTGGGCAGTCTGAATGGTAATCATACGGGGGAGAAGGGACAGCATGTTTCTCCTGAAAGCCGAAGGCAAGACGAGCAAAGTGAACCAAGGGAGAAGCAGGTAACAGGCACACCTACAGTGCAGCAGTCAGGAGTGAGCCGCCCCACTGCACATGGCGGCCTGGCTCTGGGGCAGTCACTACCATGGCTGCCTTAACTGAAGGTAGTCTAGCACAAAAAGCCATAAACCAAACCTTAACTTAAGGTAGCCTAGTACAAAAGCCACAAAGCAAACAAAAAACAAAAACCCCAACAGGGCTTGAAAGACCAATAGGAAAGCACCAGGCCCTCCCAGGAATGTATAAGCACTGAAGCCTACTTACGGCTATATATTCTTGGGCTTCCATAACAGGAATGCATTTGCTTTTTAGATTCTCTGGATTTCCACACTCAAAATTACCTAGGAGAAAAAAAACCACACATGCTCAAACACAAAGGAAAAATCACTCTGAAACAGACTAAAAAATGCAGCAAGAATCAAGCCATCAGCTCTAATAAGGAGCATGTTGCCCAGCGGCTCCTGGCTTCTGTGGGGCATCTTCACTCTGCAGCAAGATCAAAAGCCACTTAGCTTGGATCGATTCCAGATCATTAAAACCTGACCTGCAAAGCAGTGTGGCATTTTGCATTAAATGACTAAAAAGCTGCCCAATAGCAAGGTCTCTTTGCAATTGATCCCTAAAAGAATCAGACAGATAGCTTCGGAAGGTACCGGAATGGCACTATAAATAAACACAGCCTGAGAAAAAAGAAAGGCAGGGAGGCCATGGGCACCACGGGGATTCTGACTCATGACACAGGCAGGCGACCTGGAATGCCAGGTCTATTGTCTTGAGGGGCCCCTTGGAGGAAGAGGATGTCTGTGTGCTGGGCAGTGGGGCCTCAGCACAGCACGCCAAGGGGCAGCTCCCCCGAGTGGCTTTGGAGGCCTGCTCCCATAGGATGGAGCTGGCAGCCTCCCACTTAGTCCTGCCCAACCTCCCCGGTCCAGCCCAGGGGCCATCTCCCCTGGGAAGCCCTCAGCCCCTGGGGGCCTTTTGTTTGATGAAATGGCCCCAGATTTGGTGACCTGCCATAGCCCTTGGTCCTCGCTCCTGTGCTGTGGTTTGCCTGACTCCCCGAGAGCAGGGAGGGTGCAGGGCCACGCACGCATACACTATTTAACACGTGTGCGTGGCCTGACTGCCCTGACCCAGCACAGCCTGGGGGACTTCGGGTGGCCAGTGAGTGTGTTTCTGCATGCTGGGGAAGGGAGCAGCTGAAGGTCATATTTTAAAACTTTGAAACTGAACTGAAGCCTGTCGCCTTCCCCTAACACAGCCAGATCCTCCTACTTCAAAGTTGATCTTGACCCCAGGGGTCCCCTGAGACACAGGTGGCTTCTAGCATCCTCCTTTTCCCACTAGGACTCTTCCTGCCCTTGCCAGGCCTGCCTGGACCACGTAGATGGCCTCTCGATTCGGTTCCTCCTCTCCCTTTCCCAATCCAGTTGTTTTGTCAATAACACTTGAAAATGATTCTGCTTAACTGTGCTACTCAAGCTGCTGCCGCATTCACCTTCCTGGCACCTGGCTCTCAGCATGATACTCCCTTGCTCAAAGCCTCTCTGGCCCTCACTGCCTGCCAGATCAAGCTCTGGTGGCCTGGCATCCAAGGCCATCTATGGTAGGGCCCAACCAACACTTCCAAACTTCATTCTCTCATCTTCCCCTTCCTCCATGAAGGTGCTGCTTCCCACTCGAGATGTAATTTCCTGCCGCTTTGCCTTGTCCTTCCCCACATACATGTAACCAGTCTTACCTGGGCTTCAGGGCCTGGCACAGATGCTACCTCCTGTGACGCTCTCCTGACTGCTCCAGCTAAAAGGCATTGTGCCTCCCAGAACTTCTGGCCTCTTGGTTCTTGTCTAATCACATTTTATATCACCCAGTGGTCAGGGAGGTAGGTGGCCTGTCTCTTCCAGTAGACCCCAAGCCGGGGTTGGGCCCTGCAGGCAGGACCTGGAGCTGAGTCATCTCACTGCAAGGGCCTGCACAGTGCCCAGCCCACAGCGGATCCCTAACAGGAGAGGCATGGAAGGGGTTGAGGACTACTAGGGAGCCTCTGTGAGGCACACTCCTGTCTCAATGAGATATGTACCTTCAAGGCGGCCCCCCAGGCTTGTCGGAGGGCAACAGGTGCCAGGGCCCTTGAGGGCATAAGGCAAGACCACATATGGAGGGTAGGATGGAGGAGAAATATCTACTAGGACCCAATTTCGAGCAGTGCTTCTCAACTTTAGGGTGCACTCAAATCCCCTGGGGATCTTAAGATACAGACTCTGATTCACTGGGTTTGGCATGAGACCTGAGATTCTGAATTTCTAGTGAGCTCCCACGTGATGCAGATGCTATGGGTCCTTGGACCACATTTGAGACACAAAGGTTTGGAACACTCTCTTAGGTCAGAATTGACATCCCAAGCACCTGGGCCGTACAGAGGAATTCCTATGATGCTGTGAGCAGGAGCCCCAGTACCTGTTTCTCCTCCAAGTGCTCATGGATGCCTCCCCTACCATCTCATCTCTCACTTTCAAGAGGGAGGAGGCAGAAGAGCTGATGCTCATGAGATTGACCCTGAGGACTGAGGGCCCAGGAGAAGTCCACCCGACCCTAATTTCCCAGTGAAACCTTAGACAAGGGTTGACCTCACAATCCTAAGACCTGTCCTCTGACCCCACAGGTAAGAGGCGCCTCTTGAATATCCCTTAAGATAGAACTGCTCTGTCTGGTTCTTGTGTCCAGCGCATTTAACACAAGGCGCACATGCTGATATTCACCTATGTCAACTGCAAGTGATTTTGAGAGCCTCCTGGATGCCAGGCGTCGGGCAGGACATAATAATGCAGGTGGTATCTCTGGCCTCAAGGAATAACTTCACCAAATAAAACAGTAGGGGATGCATCTTCTGGATGCATTTTCAGGGGCATTTCACAGAGGTGCTGAGAATGCCCTCCTTTAGAGGACAGCACTTGACTCTCATTTGTAGAGAACAGACAGACCCAAGAGCCCTTGGTCAGACAGGGAGATGAAGACCCTGAGAGGATCAGGGACTTTGTCCGAGGTCCCACAGCCACATGGTGATCAGGACCAGATGTGACACCAGGGCCCACTACACAGACTATCTGCTACTTGCACAGGCAAGAGGCCTCTCCCGGGCCCAGCCAACCACCTGGTTCAGAGGGTCCCTCTAGGGTGAAGGACACAGATCCTGACAACACCTGGGGCTTGGCCCCTTCCCATGCCAACAGAGACCCCCAAAGCATTAGGTAGTGGGCATCCCCAAGAAGGAAGAACAGCTGCAGGAAGGCCTGTTCACATGCCAGGACCTCCCTTAAAGAGGAGCAAGAATCAAATATGTTTTGTTCAAACACAAGGCTTATAAAAGATGTGCCTGAGTGAGGAGGCGAGAAGGTGAGACTCGGCTTCTGAATATGCCTTCTGAGAGACAACCAGGGAGTGTCTCGCTGGCCAGCAGCAGTGTAACTAAGCCTGATGAACCGGGTCAGCCGCCCATAGCTCTCACAAGAGGAATCTCAGGACTTACGTGACTTACTCACCAGCTTGGATGGCCAGGAAATTGTAGAGTTCATGCAGCAGCTCCAGCAAGGCTGCCTTCTGCTTGGCCTGACAGAACTGGAAAGGCACGGGACAAGTGGTCAGCAAGGAGGGGTGGGTGGGAGGGGTCCGTCTGTCCATCTTTACTTCTCCAGCCACACTGTCAAATACTAAACAGCAAGGAATATCTCATACTTTTACAAAATAGAAAAAAATTCTGCCAAGTGCTGGGCCTAGGGAGAGAGTTGATAAATATTGGGTTAACTGCCTGAGAAAGACCCTGGAGAAGCAGAGGCAAAGCTGAAAGCAGACACTGTAACCAAGGGGCTGCATCCCAGAGGCTCCTGGCTCCTGCCTTTCCCTTGGAATGACGGCCATTAAGAGGGCTGAGCAGAGGCGACGTGGTCGGGGGATGATGCAGTCGCTCAGCTTCCTCAGAGGAAGAGCAACTGCTGTCGGAGTTTGCAGAGATGGGAGAGCTGGAAGAGCTAGGAGAGCTTGCAGACAGGGCAGAATGTCAGCAGCTGCCATCTCGTCTCCCGTTAGGTGGAATCTCAGAGCCCTCATCTGAGTAAGGATTGTGGTAGGATTCAGTGCGAACTCACACAAACCACTCAGCAGAGGCTGCTACCACCTAAAGGAAACAGGAGGACAGACGGTACCAGACAACGAGACGGCCTGATTAAGACAACACACCCACTCCCAGCCTGTCCCCACGTTTTCAGCAGCACAAAGGCAGAAAGAAAAACACAAAGTGTCACCGTCTTCAACGACCGAAAAGGGAAAGAACATGAATCTGAAATTCAAATGCCCGTCTGTGATCTCGGTAAGCCTGGAGCCATGCAAAGAATAAGACTTTCAGCAAGAGCCTCACCAAAGCCAAGAAACACGTCCCCACCTGCTTGTTCCTGTGTCCACCCTCCAGAAAGGCCAAGGGTGCCCCATGAAATCTTAGCTCCACAAAGCCTGCATTGAGATGGCCCAGCCCCTGCTTTCTGATGCTCTGATGAAGGTCTGAATGGTTACAAATAGGGATATCTGCGTCTGAAGCCCTCGCTGGCAGGTGCTGAATGCCGTCTGCCCACGGAGCGCATCTGTAGCTAGGACCTGGAGGGTACCTGTCTGGGCTCACTCAAGTGGAGCCTGAGTGTGTCCAGATCAGAGAAGGCCAGGGAACAAATGTGCCATTCACTTGTGGGTCTGATTCATTTAGAGATGTGAAGGACCAAGAAATAGAAACCATGGAACTTTTTTCTAATTAAAAGACAAAACTAACAGCACTGAGAAGTCTTACAGAAAGTTATTTTTTCCTGTTTTTGTTTTAAGTCTTCAAATTCCAGTTTCCCCTCTGGCTGCCTGTGTTTCTGGGCCACTTCCTCTCATCATCAACTACAGTTTTTATGATAGAAGGCAGATTAAACTTACTATGAATCTGTTTTTACAAAACAATTGGGAAGCAAAGATATTTGGTGGATGAATCCAATAAATGGATGTAATAAAACACCCCCAACTATGACACACCCGAAGCCAAAGAGAAATAAAAGCCGTTATCTGCACCAGGATGCCCCCTCATTTACATGAGTAAGACAGTCAATGCAGGGCTGGCCAGAGGACCATGCGTCATTTTCTTTCCCAGCCCCTGGGCTACTAGAGATGTTAACTAAGGACTTGGGAGGCCAGGCATTGCACACTTAATTAGACTACTAAGTCATGCCCTCTGGCAGCACAAGACTCCTCCTGGTACAATTTAAGACCTGAAAATTTACTGCCCCATATCTTCTCCAGACTGTCACCAGAAGCAGCATCCCAGCTCCTTGATAATGCTGCTTTCATGATTCATAAATGGATGGGGCTGCTCGCCATATTAGAGCTTCATAAAACAAATCTAAATGTAGACTAAGAGGGCTAATTCCACTTAAGATGTGTTCCAAACAAACTCCCTATGTTTCAAATCAGAACAGCATTTTCAGAGCCACAGCTGCACCACTGGAGACAGAGAATGTGGAATTGAGAACTTGGCCTCCTGATGCTTAGAAACGCCGGCCCTTCCTCCCAGTGCCAGGGAGCTTGAGGGTCCTTCAACAACAACCTACTGCATCCCCCTAGATTGACTCAGGCAGATCAAAGTCCCCGATGCTACATTTGATGGGAAAGTGTCCATAACAAGCCCAGGGTTGGATTTTGGGAGGTCAATTCTATTTCAAGTATTCCTTCACTGCCACAATTGAGCCTGACAAGAACATCACAGAACACAATGTGACTCTGGTACATTACAGGAAGCACTCCCTGAAAATGATCCTATTCTTTTTCTGGGGAAGTTTACCTCCTGATGGAGGCTAATATCCTCAGGAAGAATAATAAAAACCAGAGAAACTCAAACTCACCTCATCTGTTTTTCTCTCACAGTCCACTGGCAATAACTTCACTGAGACCAAGAAAAGAAACACAGAGGAAATTAAGTGTGGGTTGAGAAAGGAATACAAAAAGAGACTACTCACAACATTTGGAGGGAGTAAAGCATTACCAAGCCAAGGGTGGGGATTAGAAAGATGTCATCTAAGGAAGGCACTTTTAAAATGCAGACAGCAAAATGTAAGGGTATCCAAATCCTGGATTAGGAATTACGATAGCTGGGTCCTTGTCCCAGCTGAAAATGATTAGCTCAAGTTTCTTGGGCAACTCAACCACTCTGAACCTCTGTCTCCTCGTCTGTAAAACGGGATCAAATGGGCCTTCCCTGCTTAACTCAGGGAGTTAGGCCCAAACAAAACAAAATATAGGAGTTTTGTAAACAATGATATGTTAAACAGAGATTAACACCGTAATGGGAGGGGAAGTCCAGGTAAATACCAGCATACATTCTAGCGCTGTTGTCTTAAAGCATCTCAGCAGTGAGTACCAGTGTGATACTGTTTGACATCACCAGTGTAGTTATAGTACCATGACACTCCCAGGTCTCCTTAATTTCTCTAGCAGGTCGACAAACTATTCACATAGTTGATAAATGCTCTCATAGTGGGGAAATCATTTGGGTGTTTGCACACGAGTCTGTTAATACCCTTGCCCACAGACTTGTACACTCCCAAACATCCATCTGCCACACCAGCTAAGACATACTTTAGCTTTTTCCTGTATTTTGGCAGTTCCTGCTAGGCATGAAAGGATGTGGCCTTGGCTGGAAGCTGGGAACAGTATTAGTCACATTCGTGCTTTGTAAAGAGTATTAAAAGTTGGTGAACTACAGTGGCCCTTTATACCTAAATGTATAATGAAATGATCTCTATGTTTCCTTTCAGAAAACACACAATCCTCAGCTATTCCGGATACATACTGTATCCTGCAGACCTCTCATTGGCATATCTAACCATGTAACTTAAATGTGGCCAGAAGGATGGCTGTGAGCATCCTTGAGTCGTAGTCTCTCTCTTAACACACTCCATGAGGGTGCTACAAGCAATGATAAGGGCCTCCAGTTGCGATCAGTTTAACCTGTCTGGCAAGCAAGGCTGGTAGATTCTCCTGTTGACAAAGCGGCGGCCCTGTGATTCAAAGAAGTGGAGAGTGGACTTTTTGGTGCTACAAAGGTGGGACCCCCAACCAGATCCTATCTGTGGGCCACTGAAATCTGGAGTGCCTTCAAACAGGCACTAAATGTGTAAGCCAGAGGTCAAAAGGGAAGAACCCAAACGGATGGGGTGAATCTGTTAGAGGGGGGTGTGGCTTCCTCTCCAGGGAGAAAACCAGAGGTTGGAGGAGCAGTGACTACAGCTTGTGATTGAAAGGGAGACGTTAGAAGGGAGGGCTGGGGCAGAAAAGGAGAACAGGAGAAAGTGAAGGCAGAAATTATTGCAGATGCAGGAGCCTTGGCCCTCTCTTCCCACAGCTGGAAGAAGGCAGGCCTGGAAATGAGAAGACAGTCAGAGGCAGCTGACAAGGCCGGAAGTGCGCGGCCTGGCGCCGACAGGAACGGGGGGTCCTCCGGCGGACACACGCGCGCCCAGGGCCCTCCCCTGCGCCGGCCCAGGACGTACTGTTGTCCTCCGCCTCCTGCGGCGCTGAGGGCTTGCCCATCTTCACCCAAAGGATGCCCAGGAAGACGAGCAGTAGCCCTAGGCTGGCCCAGAGCAGAAGCCGAGAGAGCCAGCGCTCCAGCCGGCGCCCCACCTCAGGCCGGGCCCTCGCCGCGCCAGCAGGGCCCGCTCGAGTCGCCCGCAGGCCCGGGCGCGGGTCGGGACCGAGGAGGGAGGAAGGCAGCCGCGCCGGGGCGGGAGACGCTGCCCACCAGCGGCGGGCCGCGAGACCCGGGCCCTGCGTGGCCCTGTCGGGCGTCCGGGCGTCCTCGTCCTCCTCGGAGCTGCCCCGGACCGAGGCGCGGCGCCTGAGTTGCGCCGGGCGGGCAGGATAGGCGAGGCCGCGGCTCCCTACCCAGGAAGCCGCGGAGGGCCGGATATCACCGTAGGCCCCAGGGGTCGCGTAGGCCGAGCCCGAGGCCGGCTGGGAGAGCCAGGGCTCCGCCCGCGGAGAGGCCGCGGCGGGCCGGGCGCGCAGCGGCGCATCCTCGCGTAACCGGGCCTCTTCCCGTAACCGCTCCTCGCCCCGCGGCCGGGCCTCCTCCCGCAGCCGCTCCTCGTCGCGCAGCCGGGCCTCGCCCCGCAGGCGGCGCAGCTTGTTGCGGTAGACATCCCGGGTGGTGTCGGTGATGGGTCCTGGCTGGAAGCCCAGGGCCTGCAGCTCCCGCCGCAGTTCCAGGTCCGACAGGCCGGCCATGGCCAGGACGCCGCCCCCCGCCCGCCCCTGGCGCGCACCGCACCCGGAACTGCTCCCTCCCGCAGGCGCGGCGGAGCGGGCGGGGCCACGCGCCATGATGGGAAGGTCGGTCGCCATGTTGGGAAGGTCTGCACTTGGCCTTTGGTCGGCCATGATGAGGCGGTCTGACGTGGCTCTTAGAGCCGCCATGGTGGGAAGGTCCAAGGGGGATTAAATTTTTTGTTTTGTTTTGTTTTGTTTTGTTTTTCTCTCTCTCTCCGCTCTCCCACTTCCCTTTGTTTGTTAGATCAAGCGGTATTAATCTCTGAGTCCTCCAACCCTAGCTCTGCCTCTGGCAGGTGGTAAGCGTTCAGTAAAGTCAGCGTTGATTTAATAGATGAATTGCTTAATGGTGAACGAAGCCACTGCCACGAATGGAGAGACAGGATGATTTGCCTCTCTGGGCTTGGGGACTGATGTGTGATCCGGTTTTATTTGGGTCTTAGAGTACACTCCAGGCATGCTCCAAGACCCTGTCCCGACTTCGGGCTTGTTAACTGGGCGACACTGAGCACCAAGTAGGTGCGATCCCTGCCTTAGGACAGACACTGGCCCCCAAGGAGCGCCAGCCTGGAGGAGACGCAGCATCCATGGTGGAGGCAGAGGAGCAAAATGCCCTTGGGTTCGAATGGGCAGTTGAGGCTTCTCTGCGGAGGGCCTGTGTCTGCGTAATGGGATTTTTACAAGGAGACATGGGAGAGAGAAGACTCCAGAGATACACGGTCTTGCAGCCTCACTGGTGGTTTAGGTTGTGGGCTTTGGAGCCAGACAGTTCGATTTCAAATCCCTACTCACAACTATTAGATGTGTGATCATATTCAATTAACATTGTTAGCCTATTTGCCAGTAAACCTCAATAGAGTTGCTGTGAGGATTAGAAGAGGTAGTTTGGCTAAGGTGCTTGGGACAGTGCCTGGCACACGTTCATGCGTGTTTATACTTAACCCACATCTTTGCAGTGTCAGTGCTGTGTAGAGCCTCCCACAGGGCAGGTGATTTGGTTACATGAAGGCTCTTAGCAGGAAACCCCTAAGGGAAGCAAGGGAATGTGGCAACTGGAAATAGAACCAGTTTATAATCTTCCTTCCACATCCCTCAACTCCCATTCCCAAACATTTATTGCCGGCCCAATGGGTTCCATCCATTTCTACCCCTGCCATTCCATTCTCCCCTTCCCCCAGGCCCCTCCTCCCTGGAACTGCCCCGTATCTGTCCCAACAGCCCCCTTGCCCATTCCCCACTTTATTCCCTCCCCTCCCTGACACCCTGGGCAATGCTATGCTCCTCTGTCTGGGTTTTGCATTCCTGCCACTTGCTCCACCTCAGGGGTATTCAACACTGGCCACAATTGCTGGGAAAATGACAGCCTCGGCTTGGTCAGCTTCCACTGTTAGCCTCCCCATCTCCCCTGACTTAGCTGCTCCCATGTGGTGTGATTTCTCTCACCAAGTGTTGTTTTCCTTTTCCCTGCATGTGTTTGCACAGAATGCCATGAATTTGATATAGTGATTGCCTAACACATATACCACATAATAGTATTTTATTTCTTTCTGAAGCACTGTTTGCATGACAAATGAGTTGGTAACATTTGTGCAACTCCTTGCAGCTGTGCGGTTCAATATATAAAGAATGAGCCTTTCGGCATCAGTACTGGCCCCATGTATTCTAAGAGGGCTTGAAACTAATGCTTAAACAAAGTTATCGTTACAGCATTTCACAGAGTTATGGTCTATTTTATAACAATGGATCTCAGGGCGATTTAAAAATATGGACTGAACTGGAGCCACCCCCAGTGGTGGCACGCAATGTGGGCTTTGTCAGCTTCCTTGTGTTTGGGGACACTGCTGCCGCTCCACACACGTAGGGTCAAGTGGCCCACAGCCCCTCCCCCAGAACCCTGTTGTCTTCCCTGTGGTGTAGAACCCACTGTGCTTGGAGTTGTGGCCTTTGGCCACCCATGGTCAGCCCTTTTACCTCCATTGTGGCTTCTGGCTGTGGATGGCCTTGTCTTGCAGGATCTTACAGGCAGGCCTTTGGATGTGCACCAAGGGGCACCCAGTGACCACTTAACTGCAAATTTGCTGATCAATGCTCCCCTTCCCCACCCCCTCTGAGAAGGAACCTCACAAGTTAGTCAGGCGTTCCTCCCAGTTTTTGGGCCTTTCCATTTCATCCTGAATTCCCAGCTCCAGTCACGTTCCTGCCCAGATTTATAGCCCCTCTTTGGTTTAGTGAAGTTGGCGTGTTGCTTTTTGCTTTCCTCCACACAACCATCCACATGCTGCCCTCCACTTGGAAGGGCTCGACCTCAGCTCTTCTTTGCCACTGCTGCCCCTTCGGGAGCTACCCACGAAACCTGCCAGGGCTTCTGGCAGCCAGCCTTTCTGTGCCTTCAGCCTGGCTCTCCTGCTGGGCCTGTCCATGGCAGGAAGGCTTATTGTAAAGAAAAGGGCAATATTGCAAAGTCAGAGGCTGCTCTGCATGCCCTCCTTTCTCATCACTTTGCTGTGGGTTTTTTTTTTAAGGTGAGCAGCAGCTTAGGCTGTGGTCAGTCTTCCTGATGTATTAAAGGCAGAAGAGGAAAAACAAGCTCCAATATCTAAATCTACTTAGTAACCACATCCACACATTTATCAGAGGTGAAGGGCTGCTCTGAGCACGCTCTGGATTCCCGGGGGGCTGCCATACTCCCTTCCGTC
This sequence comes from Homo sapiens, assembly GCF_000001405.40. NCBI lineage: Eukaryota > Metazoa > Chordata > Mammalia > Primates > Hominidae > Homo > Homo sapiens. The sequence goes on from NC_000006.12 coordinate 33,791,855, forward strand.
CCGTTGACCTCTCTCTGTCTTGGCAGAGCCTTATAATAATCACAGCCATAAATCTTTTAGTGGGTTCCATTCTCTTCGTCCTCCTGCAAAAAGCCCTGCACACATTTATCAGGTCCTCAAAGATACTCAGGGACCACGGAATCGTCCTTGATCCACCTCATGGAGGGCCTCACGTATTGCCTCAGCTATTCAGGGCTTCCTTCAAACTACATTATAGGTGGCATTACAGTGGGGGCAGGGCACCGGGAGATTGTGGTTGAAAAGTGGGGGCCATGTGGGGCTCATATTTTGACTGGAATGACCCAGGAACACCCAGCTTCTCACTGCTCCATCTCAGTGCCTTATGGAAGAGGAGGACACTCTTTTCCTCTCTCTAGGTCTGAGGGTGCATCAGCTAAGGGGGAAAATGGAGTCACAGAGAAATGCCAGAATGGTATTTCATAATCTGTTGAAAATTAAACAAATCTCTCACTCTTTTGACTGCTCTCACACTTTGATATCCATGAGTAAGAGTTCCTTCAAAGGCATGGAATATATTACCGAATGTCAATAACAAATTGTGTATGAAGAAAAATGTAATGCTTTGAGAATATTTTCTTTTGGGCTTTGTCCATGATTAGATTACACTAAATTACAGCATACAGATATCAGGCAATTACTCTTTGCTTTTAACTATTCAATTTCATGGCAAATCCACATAGCGCAGTAATGCTAAAATCACACCGATGTGGTTACCAAGAAAATACCTCATCATCTCCATTTTGTGAAGCTAGGTTCAAGTTGCACTGTAATGACCTGTAGTCCTGTTAAGTGTAAAGTACATTCCAGATGAACATGGGGTAATCCGTACCTCTCTGTAATTGCCAGATATCTGGAGAGATTCTTGCAGATGTTGCTGGATAAGCCTGGGTGAGATGTGAAGAGGAATGGCATCTTTGCTCTCCTGGTTACTCTGGCTACCCTCCCTGTCTCTGATCCTGGTTGGTCTCTGGTCCTACTCATTCTATTGCTTTAACCAGGAGCATGTCTCCTTTTCTTCTGTTTTGTGAAAACATAGTCATTTTCTCTTCACTCAGCTCACAGAATCCTCCCCAACCTCCTCCCAATTTTAATTTCTTCCAAAGCTGTGGATATCCCATAAGCAATCAAGTCGGCTGTCCTGGAAACTGGAGGAGCTTGTTGGTGAAAAAAGAATTATTTGAGCCAATTGTGAGAAATCGAACAGTGGCAGGAGGAGGAAAACGAGAGAAGAAAGGAGCCGACACATCTAAACAAGCAGCCAGGGCACTGTGCATACAGATGTAGGTGGTAGCTGGGTCCCTGTTGCGGCTCATTACTGAGAAGCACATCAGAGGCCGCGGGGTGAGGGTTGGGGCTGCCGGGCGGCAATGCTGAGCTTTGAACGGGGCTTTTCTGCAGAATGGACAGCACCCTCTCCCTTCCCCAGTGCTGTAGTTGCTGAACCCATTCCCACCTAAACAGTGCAGACCTCCTGGGCAGAGTCTCCTGTGGGCCCCATGTCCCTCCATGGTGGGTGTCTATTTCAGTGAGAGGCTCTTCAACACCCAGAATCTCAGGGAAAATTCCCCAGCCAGTGCTGGGCTCCCCCCCAACCCAGAAATGGGCACCCCCTCTGGTGATAGGGGAAGGCGGTCTCCCTACAGAGGCAGATTCCAGCAGAGGGTGAGGGAAGGACACAAAATGCGTTTTCCACGGGGAAAGGGACCACCGTGAGCATCTCGTTTCTCTGCTTCTTGGAGTGTGTTACAGAAAATGGGGTGAACTGGCGTGGTGGAGCTCGGAAGGGCAAGGAGGAGCCTTGGATCCAGATCTTCCCAGCAGCAGGCTTTATAGATTTCTGTGTCTCCCCCGCTGCCCCCCGCATGCCCTTCTGCTGCAGCCCTCTCTCTCTATTACCGGGCATCTTGGCAGCATTTCCCGGGAACCTGCACCTGCTCTGGGGCTCATCGGTATATGTGCTGGAAATGCGTGTGAATGTTCAGCGTGGCGGGGGTGGGAGCCCATGGATGGTTTGAGTGTTTCTCAGGAGAATTCAGAGTACCTCAAATGAGGGTGCCTTGTTCAGCAGTGGAGTTCTTGTTCTGGTAACTACTTTCTGTGGCTAAGCCTGGGTGGAAATGCAGAATGGACACTGTATCTAATTGCTGGTAACCTATGGATGGAGGGAGCTGCAGTTCCAGTGTGGCCCCAGTTTATAAATACATGAACATTCATTAATGTAAAATTAAATTGGAATGAAATTTCCCATCCAGTTTTGTTTAGAAGGCAGAAATAAGTGGGTTGGCTGTGTAATTTTGCTGCGGATGCTGGAGTTGGTAGTCACAAGGTGCTAATAGTAATTTGCTCTTTGCTTGTGCCTCCATCCCAGATCTCGAGGCAGATATTACCACCTTGGTTTTGCACAGGCTCATTGAGGTTAAAGGGCTGGTTGGAAGTTACTTGGCAAGGGGTTGAGTGCGGAGGCCCTAAAATTCTCTGGCCCGTTAGACCTTGAGCTAGTCAGTAAACTAGAAATGGACCGAGACCCGGGAGACCTGAATTCCAGTCCTCACTCTGTCACTGACTCAGTGTGTGGGCAAAAAATGATCAGTTTCCTCACCTATAATGGAAGGGCCAGTGGTACTCTTCCACTTATTTGGATCTGAGTTAATATTTGAACTTAGACCTCACAAAAGGCACACAATGCTAATGTAAGCATCATTTATGGCCAACTTTCTCTGAGCTTTACTTTCCCCCCCTTTTTCTTGCGACCTGAGTTTGCCCTTTGGGAATTAAAATATTAAATAAGAGTCATTTCTGTATATTTCATGCTTTATTTGCTGGAGGGGAATTTGCTTTGGAAAGGGTGTTTTCCTTCCAAGCCCAGCTGGCAGGCTCTGTAAATTCCCAGGGCCTCACTTGGGCAGGAGGGGCCTCCCAAATCTGTCCACCTTCTCCCCAGCGTGGCCATCACTTGGCTGCTGGAGAAAAGCAGAGGTTTGCGCTCAGTACCATCATCAGGTCTGCTTATGAAACTGCCCTCTAAAACTTGCCTGCAGGTCGGAGGGAGGAGGGGGCACAAGGGCAGGCTGGGCGGGAAGGTGGGAAGTTTTGCAAGGAGCCTGCAAGCTGTCTGTAGCCTGGGGCAAGTCATTTAACCTCCCAGTTTCTCCATCACTAACAGCACTTCCTCGAGTCTCTCCTCTCCTCCTGGGGACTATGAGAAGTAATTAGTGGCTGTTTGTCAGAGGAGATGTAGCTTTGCTCAGGTAACTCGGGCAGACCTTGAACTGGGCAAGGCCAAATGGGGCTCAGGACTTTAATCTGCAGAATGAATGGGGGAAGGGAAAGCCTCACCAAGGTTCCCTTCGGAGCAGCCACCCTGTGGTGATGTTGTGGAAGGGAATGAAAATATCTGGAGCAGGGGAGTGGGGTGGGTAGCTGGGAACCCAGCCTGAGACCCGCCTCCCTGGAGAACTGCTGCAGCCACCAGCAGGTATCACAGCATAGCCCAGGGAGAAGACGGCTCCACATTCTCAAGTGCAAAGCAGCCAAACAAATTGCCACCCTGAAACCCTGCCTCTGGAGTATTAACGCCAGGGTGGGCGGAGGCCGGCCAAGCCACAGAGATGCCCGCCCTCCCCGTACCATGCTGGGGAAGCATCTCACTCAGCAGCCCTTCCAGGGTGGCCGGGTACTTTTCCAGCTGTCTGGAGTTCATCCTCATTCCAATTTCCAGAGGAGCAGTCAGCTGTGAAATAAGGCAGCGTTAACAACGAGGGAGAGGTGGAGAGGGCCCTTAACCCCTGGGTGCACTACAGGTGGCAGGAGGGACCCTTGGGAGCCACACCACCCTGCAGACCCCACTAGAGCCTCTAGGGATGGCTGGGAATTCTGCCACCTTCCCCTAATTCTAACCAGAGGGCTGGATCCTGAAGGTCACTGAGTCCTGCTGAGGGGATCAATACACCTTCCATAACGGGGAAGCTGGGACAGGAGGGGTGGGGTCAGCAGGAACCCCAGCAGGCTTTTCTCATGGGGAGGGAATTCACTCCCACCTCAACAATTATAGCCAACATTGTGGAGTCTTACCCTTATTCTAAGCTTTTTTTTTTTTTTTTTTGAGACGGAGTCTTGCTCTGTCGCCCAGGCTGGAGTGCAGTGGCGCGATCTCGGCTCACTGCAAGCTCCGCCTCCCGGGTTCACGCCATTCTCCTGCCTCAGCCTCCCAAGTAGCTGGGACTACAGGCGCCCGCTACCACGCCCGGCTAATTTTTTGTATTTTTAGTAGAGACGGGGTTTCACCGTGTTAGCCAGTATTCTAAGCTTTACACTTATTCTAAGTGCTTTATGTATGTTAACCTCTCAATAGCTCTGTGGGGTAGGGATGGTTAGTGTTCCCATTTTGCAGATGAGGAAACTGAGGACAATGAGATTGAGTAACTTGCTCAAGGCCGCACAGATGGTAAGGAGCAGAGGAAGAAGACGGTACACCCAAGGGGCCTGGCTCCAGGGTCTGTGCCCACAACCACCAGGCTACCTTTCCTCTTGTTGTCTGGAGACTCTCCACCAAAGAGGTAGTTGCAGCCTTGAGGCAGAGCCTAGGGCGCTGATTGATCTCCCCGTCCCCGCTCCGCAGAGCTTCCTGGATCAATGCTCTTGCTGCACAAACTAGCCAGCAGACTGGGAGACTCCTGGCCTCTCGGGAGAGTTGCCCTGGAGGAGTCCCAGCACCTGCTCCCCTGCCTCCCACCGGGCTCCCTGGGTTCCAGGAATGGGCCTCCTAGACGCTTGGGGGCTCAGGGTGCCTGAAGGGCATCTGAAGGGCCCCAGTCCAGTTCTGCCTGTGCCGTTCCCAGCTGTGGTTATGCCTCTCCCTCTAGACCCTCCAGCAGGGTCCTTACTTAACACAAGGAGGCTGGACTGGACAATCCCAAAGGGCCCTCTCAGCTCTGTATGTTGTGGTTGTAGGAGATGGAAAGAGGTGAGAGGTGCCCCACCCAAGCCTCCCCAAGAAGGCTTCATGGACATACAATGTCCCCGGGCAACCTTGGAGTTAGTGCCTCAAACTCCGACTCAGCTGCATTTAGGAGGTGATTCTGAGTGTGCTCCCTGCTCACCAGCTGCTGGATTCCCTCCCAGCTCCCTCCTCAGGAGCCCAGGGAGTTCGGAGTGGATATGGGGGGAAAGGGGCCCCACCTCGCTGAGTGCAGAGTGCGGCAACAGCACCCAGGTTGTTTTCTGGGCCCAACAGCACCGGGAAAGATCACTGGCCTGTGTCCAGTGGGAGGTGGGAGTCCAGCTGGGTTCTGCCCTGACTCCTGTGTGACCGTGACAAGGCCCCTGCTCTCTCTGGATGTCAGTCTTCTCGCCCCTCAGGCCCCTTTATGTGGTAGCGACCCACACTCAGGTCTGGGCCTCTTCTTTTCCATCCACACCTGTCCCCTCAAATGGCTCACCCAGGCCTAGCTTGAAATTCCCTCTAACCACGGATGACTCCTACATGTGAGCCTCCAGCCCTCACCTCTCTTCTGAACTCCAAACTTGTGTGTCCACCTGCCTGGGCAATGTCTCTGCCTGGATGCCCAAGAGCATCTCGGTTTTCAGGCCCGATCTGACTCCCTGATCTTCCTCCTGCCATCCTGCAGCCAACCACAGGCTACTCTGTCTCCATGAGTGGCAAATCCGTCTTTCAGTTGTTCTGGCCCAAACCCTTGAAGTCAATTTTCACTTTTTCTTTACATCCTATATCCATTCTTTAGCAAATCCTGTGGGCTTCTACCTCCAAAATATTTTAAAAATCCAACCTCCTTGCCCTGCCTCCTCCAAGACCGCCCGAGGCCGAACTCTCTCTCTCTCTTTTTCTCTGTCTCTCTTAGACTATAGCAGCCTCCTCAGTGGCCTCCCTAAATCTGCCTTTGTCCGGTCCCTTCAGTCTGTTCTCAGCAGCTGGAGAGACCCCTTTAAAATGTAAATCAGATCCCATCCCTCCTCTGCTCAAAACCCCCAAGGCTCCACTTCAGCAGAATGAATGGAGAGTCCAGTGGCCTGTGAAGTCCACAGTCTGCCCCTACCCCTCTACCAGTCTCTCTGGCCTCCTCACTCTTCCTGAATGCACCAGGCCCTCTCCTGCTTCAGGACCTTGGCACTGGCTGTTGCTTCCACCTGGAAGGCTCTTCCCCCAGAAATCCTTGTGGTTCATGCCTTGCTCTCTTCTGGTCTTTGTGCTGCTACCGTCTCCTAGGACACCTGCTGTCGCCCACTGAGATCCATAACCCACCGCGTCTCCTTGCGGCTCTGTTTCCCTCCATAGCACATGTCATTGCCTGCCACACTGCTGAGTTTGCTTCCTGTCTTTACCTTGTTTGTGGTCTGTTTCAGTCGTCCTAGGATCTTGTTTCTTCTTTCCTATGGAGTGTGAGTTCCACAAGGGCAGAGATTTTGTCTGTTCACTACCCTGTCCCCAGTGCCTGGAACAGTGCCTCAGACCTAGTAGGGGTTCATTTATTGATCACCCAAATAAACGAGTCTGTGAAATAAAAGAGCTCATGGGACAAGCTCAAGGTTCTCCCCAGCCCCAACAATCGGCCCTGGGTGTTGAGGCCTGTGGCTGGCTCCTGGGTTTCTGTCTGGGAGGGGAGGAATTGGCACCCTCGCCACCTCTTTGCCGAAGACTGTAGCGCCTCCTGCCTGGCTTCTTGCCTCCACTCATGCTGCCCCAGCTCTAAGAGGGCTCCGGTGGCTTCCCTGCTTTGAATCCCCAGTGGCGCTGCATGCAGGCCCTGCCTGGGCTGGCCATGCTGACCTCTCGCCCACTCGACTAACCCCTGCCACAAGGGCCTGTCGCCCACCGGTGTTCCTCAGTCTTTGCACTCACTGTTCCTTCTCCCGGGAGGCCCTTGCTCCAGCTGTTTGCACAGGTGGCTCCTTCCCTTCATTCAGGTTTCAAATCAAATGTCACCTCCTCCAAGAGGCCTTCCCTGACCCGTCTCAGGGACAAAGCAGTCTCCCAAACCCCACTCAGTCACTCTCCTACTTCCTTATCTGGTGCCTGAAATGGTTGATTTATCTCGTTGCTGGAGTCCGTCTCTCCCTACGAGGATGGAGCTCATTGCCTGGATGTCTTGCTCACTGCGATATCCTAGGACACTCTGAGGCTCACTGTGGCTTGTGGGCTCTGCCTCCAGGCCAGGCAGGGGAATGCATGCCCTGCTCTGAGTTTCTCTCCTTTGTCCCAGTTGTCTGCTCACCTTGATCATTTCGTTTTCTTCTTCCCTGATGGGCTCCGCAGGGTCTACAGGACCTTCCTCCCCAGACCTCTGCCATACACTCAGGGATTTCTTTTGCCCTTTATTCCGTTCCTTTTCCTAGGGGCAGAACAGAAAATTGCACAAAACCGCCCTCCCTCAACCCACGCTGATGGCCCCTTGCCTGTCTCCATCTGCCCAGGGTGCTGTCTGCCCTGAGCTCCCTACAGACTGAAAGAACCCTTTCCTCCAGGAGCCTCCTGCACGAGGAATCTCAGATACTAACTAGTGGCTCATGGATGTCCCTTGAGGTTGCCCACCAAGGGCCTTGCTCTTCAAGGTCAACTTGAAGAGGAATCCATTCCTTTGTAGTTAAAACATTGCACCCAGATTGTTACTGTTAATTAACTTAAAAAGCTGAAAATAATGCCTGCCCTTCATGCATATTAAGTGTGAAAATGTGTCTTTCTTAGCAGAGAGCCTATAAAAAAGGTAGTGAGACAGCCTAGCCTGGGAGGGTGCCATGGGGTGGCCCGGGAACTCAGAGTCCCTGGGAGGTGATTTATAAGAGGCAAGACAAGAGATAAATTATGGAGGAGGGAGTTTGTAGCTTCTTCATAAAAATCCTGGTGCCTGGCAATTATGAGGAGAAAAGCCATGGAGCAGATTAATGCAGTGTCCTTTGCTTGCTATTTTGCTAGTTTATGTTCCATTGGGTTTGACTGTTCCTGTCCAGCCCCCAGTCTTGCCCGGCATGCTGCTGGCCAGGTCCCTGAGCACTGAGATCCTCATTCCTTTGCTTTCTCTAATGACACTCTTGGGACTCTGCTGTTGGCCTGCCCTGAGACGTGGTGATTCTAGAACAAACAGTCATCCTGTGGGGAGTGTGCTGGCGTGGAGGAAAGTGTGTTGGGGCCTGCTGCAGTACCTACCCAGTTCCCATGTCTGCTTGCAGAAGGGGAGCTGGATTCAGCCTTGCCTCTAAAAAGAGCCCTGTTCACTGGGAATGTGGATCCCCACACACCTCCCCACATAAAGTGGGCAGTTGCAGACAGGCTGTGCCCCAGAGCCTCGAGACCTCCCTGGGCACTAACTCATGTATTCATCCCTATTGGAGTCTCAGTTTCAGACAGGGTGGAGCATGAAAGTCCCTTTCTTCATCTCCTTAGGTTAAAGGGAACCAAACATCTGCATAGATACTCAGCGTCCCCTGAAGTCTAAAGTAAAAGGCAGCAGGGAGGCAGAGCCAGCAGTTCCATTTTCCTTAGGCTCCACTGCCTGAGTTCCATGAGGCCTGCCTTTTTTTCTTCTGGGCCCTAAAGAGGAGGCTTTGGCCACTGCTACATGGACCGCAGCCTTGTTTCCCGCCTCTGGGCGCTGGCTCCCATTGGTCCCTCGCTCTTGATCTCTCAAGGCCCCCAGCTGAGTTCCACCTTTTCCCTGCAGGCTTCCAAGCACGCTCCAGCCCTTGGTGATTCTCCTTCCTTGAACCTGAGCACTTAGCATCAGCACCACTGATGGGGCAATTCATCATGTCCTGCCTGTGACATCTCTCTTTTGTCTTCGACTGTTAGTTAATTTTTCATATGTTCGTATCTTGGCACCCCAGCCTTCTCCCTGGAGATGGGGAGGTGCTGAGATTCTTCTGCATGCTCGGGCTCATCGCCCAGGGTGGCCTCTTGTACTGCAGAGCAGCTCGGTAAATATTTATTGGCTTGTTAATTTAAAATTTCCTCCAAAGGATAGGCAGGGGTGGGAAAGATGTTGCTCATACGAGCCACTGACATATCTGAGTGATGCCAGTGAAGGCGTGAAGGTGGCCAGAGAGGTGGCTGGAACTGGGGGTTATCTTGGGTCCTGGTCCTTTACACTTTCCTTGGTATCACCGGCATAGGTCATAGTGACCTCAGCCTTGCTAGCAGGGCAGGCAGCAGGGGGTTCTTACCTGCATCCTCTGGAGTTCGCCATAGGTGAAGATGGGGACGAAGGCTTCCGTCTGGGAGGCCAGCATGGCAGCTACATGCACCACCAGCAGAGCAGCCACAGCCTTACGGGATACCATCTTGGAGCTGGACAATGACAAGGAGCTCTTGTCACTAAGTTTGGGGTACAGTGGCAGACTGCTGTGTCCGAGGCAGGGGCCCTCAGTTCTGGCCCATGCCCTACCTCTAGCTGTGTGATCTTCAGCCAAAGCTCAGCCTGTCTGGATTTGGGCCTGGTATCAGAGCTTGAGCAGATGAGCTCTGAGCACCTTTCTGCCCCAGAGCTGTGGCAGCTGGCCAAGCTCCTGGGAAAGGCCATCCAGCTCCCTGCCACACACCAGGGAGGAATCATTTCACTTGTCCACCCTTCTCTTTTGTTACAGGTAAGGTCTTCTGGGGTCAGCTGGACTCATAAGGCAGGAGGGACCTCATCTTTCAGAGAAGGAATGCCTAGATTATCAACAGAACTGTGCCCCAAGACCCAGAGAGACCTCCCTGCCCCAGTGCCTATTAGAATGACAAAAGGGGTGGACCCAAGCCCAGATGACCAGGGCTCTGCCTGGAAGTGCCAGGCCAGGACCCTGGGTCTGTAGAGCCTCTGCCATTGCAAAGGATGAGCCAGATGGAAAAATTCAGCATGGAGCTGTATCCCTGAGCCAAGAGGGCACCCCCTTCCCCGTTGGGGGAGCGATGGCTTGGGAACAAGCCCCCCGCCCCGTGCTCCAGTGCATCTAGCTGCCTTTGGCCACCATCCTGAAACAGCAGGGAGCAGGCTTCCTCTTTCCTCACACCCTGGAACCCAGTGATTGCTGACCAGGAAGCAGGTATGTGTGGAATGGCTGGTAGGACATTGGGCTTTAGTGGGCTTTTGGAGCTCGGGTCCTGGCAGGGAGCAGGTAGGCATGGTGACTGCAGGGGTGCAGAGCCTTGAGAAAGGGTCCACTGGGCAGACTTTGGGCAGGGACAGGGTGGTCCTGGGGTGGGGGTGGGATGGCCTAGCTGAGTGCCAGCCAAGGTTGACTCATTCAAAGGCAGCAGGGGCTGGAACCTTGGCCTTTTGAGGCCCAGTGCTTTTCCCAATACCCCACTCTACGTTGCCTCTGCCCATAGTAGGCAGAGGAAGGCACAGGGGGCAGGCCTGTTGAATGCATCTTGGGCACCACTGTTCCTGCGCTGGGTGGACTGCTGAGTGCAGGGGCCAGGCCTCCAAGCAGGGAGGGGAGGCCGGGACAGCCCCTCCAGCAGTAGGGGTAGGGGTGGAGGTAGTTACAAGGTTTCAGATAAAGCGCTCCTCCAGTCCCCAGGCAGCCTGGATTCTGTCGGCAGGAGAGGGTCTGCCCTGGAAAGGCCTCGGGGCTTCTCTGCAGGTCTCAACCTGGCTCCCCCTTTGAACAGAACCTTCCAAGGCTGCAGGCTTGCATCCTGCCTCTCAGCCAAGACCTGTCTCCTCAGTCATCTGAAACCACCCTACCACGCCAGACGCTCCCTCTGCCTTCTTGCTATTCCAGCTCTCTCTTCTTCCCACTTCCTATTTTCTCTCCATTTTGTTCAAACTCCATGAACAAGAACAACAGAGCTCAGACAGCGAAAGCCTCCCCATCCCAGCTGTATGCAAATTCCCAGCAGGCTGAAAGGACCACCCGCCCACCCAAGACCACCTCCCAGGAAGCCGAGGCCTTGTGTGCAGCCCCAGAGGAGCTTGAGCTGAACGGAGAATGGGTTGAGGTGGGTGGGACCCATCACTGTTCTTCCCTTCTCATTCCTGCGCGTTCCCTGAAGAGTCTCTGGGGCCTGCTTTTCCCCCCAGCAGAGACGGATGTGTCACATTTATGGCATCCCATTTCCTTCACAGAGAGGCTATAGATCCTGTTTCATTCTGGTGTATTTAATTCACTCCATAGGAATCAATAAAAACTTTAAATTAAAAAAAAGGCAAAATCCAATTGCTTCTCATTTTCTTGATCCAACTGGCAGTCGGCATGTCACCTACGTTCATGTGTGTTCTGGTGAGCTGGAGGTGGGAGAAGGAGCTTTTCATTGTACAGTGAGGCACTAACTTTCCTTTCCCATCATCAGAGATGGGGGGCTTCAACCTTCAAGTGTCCAGCTCTGCATGAAGGGGGTGACCGTCTGCCCTCCCTTGCAGCACCCCTGGCCGGGCTAGCCTTGCCTCCCCATGTGCTCTCCCTCGGGGTCAACTTTTTCTTTTCCTTTTCTTTTCTTCTTTTTTTTTTTTTTTTCTGAGATGGAGTCTCGCTCTGTCTCCCAGGCTAGAGTGCAGTGGCGCGATCTCGGCTCACTGCAACCTCTGCCTCCCAGGTTCAAGCGATTCTTCTGCCTCAGCTTCCTGAGTAGCTGGGACTACAGGCATGTGCCACCTCGCATGGCTAATTTTTGTATTTTTAGTAGAGACAGGGTGTCACCATATTGGCCTGGCTGGTCTCAAACTCCTGACCTTGTGATCCGCCCACCTCAGTCTCCCAAAATGCTGGGATTACAGGCATGAGCCACTGCAGGGCCAAATTTTTCTTACCTTTCCAGAGCAAAGCCACCATGCCAAGAGGGGCCCTGCGCCCATGATGAGCTCTGGCTTGGGTTCCCGGCCCACCGTGGATGTGCCAGACCCACCCACAACAGCCTCTGCTTTGCCAGGAGTTGTACCCACCTGCTTGCCTCCAGCGTCTGTGCCTCAGCCCTGCCTCTGCTCACTGATGCCCTGGGAATCAGCGCGGGCACTCAGTGCGAAGCCCGGCTGGGCACTGGAAGGTGGCAGAGGGCCCTGGACCAGGCTGGCTCTGGCTTGCACCAGCGTTCTGCTTTAGGGCTTATGCTGACCACTCCCCACCCACTTTCTCCAAGGGCTACTTACGGCGTGCACGTGGTCTGAGTGGGTCTGGAGGAGTCTCTCTGCTTGTCTTCTGGTGTCCGGCTGATCTGACGGGTTCTTATATACCTCCCAACCCTGGGAGCTGCCCTTGGAGCCCATTAACCTTTGACCACAGCTTTGGGGGCCCTCAGAGGGGGAGCCTGGATTCTTGAAGCTCGTGGAAACTCCAGGCAGGGCTAGCCACGCTATGGGCTTCCAGGGCTTTCCTGGAAGGAACAGCGACAGTCAGGGTTCGGTGGAAGCTAGCCCCCACCCAGATGGCATTCTCCCGTCCACTGAAAACTCAGCTGCCTCTCAGAGGTCATTTTAACAAAGCCTTTTCTTTTTTTGTTCCTTAAATATATGACATTGGTGAGCGTCTGCAGGCCAATGCTCTAGTGATCAGATTTTCTGTCGGCCTGTCAGAGCGCTGTATTAGAAAGATAACTTCTCTTCAGTCTTCCCCCTGAAGCCCCTCATGAAAGAAAGTGTTCAGGAGTTTGTGACAGCATTTCAGTGGATTAATGAAAATAAAACTACTGAGTCCAGACCCAAGGCTGTGTGGGGCCAGATGCCGCGAAGGAACCGAGGAAATGCAGAGGGGTGACAGTGTAGGAGGTCTGCACGCTGCAGCCTAAACGGGGAGAAAGACACCTACCTGGACAATGTTTCATGGTAATCATGCAATTCAAACAGTATGTGTAAAGATTCAAAGAGGGAAGAGGGAAGAGGTGAATGTGATCTGGAGTCAGACCTGGCTCGCTGTTGCTGGGGCTGGGCGGGGCCAATTCCAGAGCGCAGCATTACCCAGGAAATGCTGAGCACGAACGTTCTGATTAAACGCAGCAACCCCGTGAGGTGGGTGCATTTATTTCCCCCATTCAATAGATAAGGAAACGGAGGCACTGCTAAATAGCTCATCTGTGACTCCTCTGCAAGGTGTCTTTATACTAGGGTGAAGGCCAGACGTGGCCAGGTGCAGCAGAGGGCAGGAGTGAGGGCTTCTGGAGATTTGGGGCACACACAGGCTTAGAATGGTGTCACAGGAGGTCCCCTGTGTGGGCTGGGAGCCGCTCAGTCGGGTCTGAGTGTGGGGACCCTTAGCAACCAAGCAGAAGGATTTAGATTTGATGGAGGAAATGGAATATTGGGCATCTTCATGATACCTTGAAGGGGATGTTAGGGCAAAAACATCACTCTGGAAGATGTCTAGTTTTCTGGGTACCGGTCATGGACCAGGCAGAGGCTGAGGTGGGGTACAGTCTGGGTGTGGAATCCCGAGGGTCTGGGTGGGCAGTGGCCATTTTCCCAGGCGACATACGTTGGCCAGTAGCACCTTCCCCACACATCCAGACGCTGCCTCACACATCCAGAGGGGCACTATTTCTTGCCCAGGAGACCCTGCCTAGCCAGTCCTTGGGTCTGCTCTGGCCCTTCCACTCAGAAACAAATGTTTGCAGTGCTTCAAACCCAACACAGATAATTTCTACCTTCCCTACTCAGCAAGGCTTAATGAAAACAGATGGCAGCTCAGTGTCCTCGCTTCCTGCCAGCAGGGTCTCTGTGTACAGCACCCACATTAGAACTCCAGCACACTGGACCAGCGGCTGTTGTGAGATGTGCAGTGTGGCTCTGAAGTCTGAGACTTACATCAGGAATTAAAGCTCCAAATGCCGGGGGTTTGCAGCAGAGTTACCATCCCTTAACCTTGGGCCTCATTGGAGTCTGACTGTCCCTGTTTCAAGAGGGGCTTTTGGGAAGAGGTCGCTAGGCTGGGCAAGGTGGCTCACACCTGTAATCCCAGCTTTTGGGAGGCTGAGGCAGGAGGATTGCTTAAGGCCCAGGAGTTCAAGACCAACTTGGGAAACATAGCAAGACCTCATCTCTGCAAAAAATAAAAACAATTAGCTAGATATGATGGCATGCGCTGTGGTCTCAGCTACTCGGCAGGCTGAAGTGGGAGGATCATTTGAGCCTGGGAGATGGAGGATAGAGTGAGCCATGATCATGCCACTGCACTCCTGGGAAACAGAGTGAGACCCTGTGTCTGAAAAAAAAAACAAAACCAAACCGAAAGACAAGGTCACAGACCTTGGTGGGGGCAAAGTAGTCCCTTGAGAGTTGGGAAGTAGTCTATCAGCTTCTCAAGCTCTGGGATGCTCTGGGGAGCTCCATCCATAAGCACGGGCTGCTGTGATGGGACACATCACACCTGCATCTCTAGCACCTAGACCAGGACAGGCAAAATGGGCCAAACCGGCCTGCCACTTCTTTTTATAGTCTGTGAGCTAAAAACTGTTTTTATATTTTTAATAATTAAAATATCAAAAGAATATTTAGTGACATGCAAATTTAATTTCCATGTTCATAAATACAGTTTTATTGGAACAGGTCCACTCATTCATTTCTGGGTTACCTATGGCTGCTTTGGGGCTGTAACAGCAGAGTTTAAGTAGCTGTAGCAGAGACCTATGGCTTACAAAGCTGAACATATTTGTTGTGTGGACCTTTATGGAAAACGTTTGCTGGTCCTGACCTCAACAGTGTCTGGAGCATGTGATAAATAACAGCCAGATGTTACACGTATCTGCTTTTTAAAACCTTACAACAGCCCTGAGGTTCATGTGGTTATTATCCCAACTTACATGTGGGGAAACTGAGGTGGAACAACGGACCCAAGGTCACACAGCTATTCAAATGGCCAGGCCAGGATTCAAACTCAGGGAGTCTGGCTTCAGAATCAAGTTTTTATTTTTTTATTAAATAACTGTGTTCTCCTGCCCCTCATTGTTTGGTGAATGTGCATAGGGATGTTTATAGCTGGGGAAGACACAAAACAGTGGCCTGGTACCAATTCTACAAACCTGTCACTCTCTCCTTAAGCCATCCCCTGCGAGGTCTCTGAGCATGAGGCAACCTGAGCTGACCAACCGGAACAAGTGCCGCTTGTGCTGTGTGTCCTTAGGCTTGGAGATGCCAGGCTTGGGCTGGGAGGAGGACTGCAGATGGCGGACCAGGCCTATCCACTGAGCACAAGGAGACATCTGAGGCCACTTTCCCAGGGCCCCTCCACACTGGAGGTCTGAGATCCGTGCCCTGCCTCTGCTGGGCCAGTCTGGGCTCTGGTCCAGAGATGCCTCCAAGACACTCTGTCTGAGAAATGATTAGGAGCCTCCAAGCCCAAGACAGGCCTGTAGTGAGGGATGGGGAGAAGGGAAGTGCGGGAAACAGTAAATAACCCGGGATCAATTTTCTGGGCGTGAATAGCACTAACCTGGATCGCTCCCATGATTCAGTGTTTCTGACCCAAGTAATTTGCAGTATTACAGTGAGACATCTGCAGTTTGGTGTGGAAGGAAGGCAAACCAGGGTTCACAATGAGCTATGCCTGCTAATGCAGAAGGGGAATGTAGACTCACAGGGGGCTCCAGGTCTGCTTTGGGGTCACAAGCTGCTGGGATGCAGTGGCCTCCCCTCACACTCCTCTGGGCTGCAGGCTGTGTGAGCCAGCCCTTTGGGAACCATCTCACCAGGAATACGTCTTCTCTCCCCTGTTTGTGCCTTGGTCCTCGTTGGGCATTTTCCACTGCCACGATTAGTGCTTTAGAAATGGAGCTGGGTAGATAACAAGCTTAATAACCACTACTTTGTCTTTACCATGTACCTTGGCTCTCCCTACAAATGCTCAATTAGTGGCTGTTTCTCTCCTGCTAGAAACCAGACAAAAATAAAAGGAAGGCATAATCTGATGTTCTTCATTTTCCAAGTGGGAATTGCCACGGATATGCAGCAGCCGAGGCAGAGGGGAGGCGTAGAAACCTAACCCCAATCTGGGAAAGGAAGTTGACAAAACTCAGAGGAAATGGCTCAAACCACATGTGAGCACTTGATTGCTTCTTTCTCCCACAGCAGGCAGAGGTATTAGCAGTTTAGCTCTCCTCTCCTCATGACCTTGAAAATATTGTTTGCCAGGTACCGCCATAACATCTTCATTAACGGTCTGGAACAGGGAGGCAACGACATGTTAATTAAATTTGCAGATGATACTAAATTGGGAGATATAGCAAACATCAGGGAGGACAGAGATCTAATACAAGAAGATGTCGGGAGTTAGAACTGCGTGCTGGAAATGGCCAGGTGGGCTGCTGGACATATGACACCAAGGCCCCGAGGACACAGGATGGAGGATATGGGTGACAGGGAGGGACCAGCCAAGAAGAAAAGGTGCAACTGGGGGCTCCTGCGGGCGGGGCAGCTTGAACACCACCCTGTTCTCCAGGTGGGTTCCTCAATGAGCCAGAGGGCAGCGGCCAGACAAAGGCAGAGTTCAGGGGAGCCAAAACAGCCTAAGGATTGCAGGAGTGCCAAAGCTGAAGGAATAACAATGAAAAATGAAAGGTTTCAAAAGGTTGGCTTGTCCAGAACGCTGGTAACAATTAAATGTGCATCCCTCATGTTAAGCAAAGGCTAAAGCAAGGCAAAGAACCCAGGTGTAGGAGGGAGGGCAGGAGGAGAGAGAGTTGTTGCTGAGCCCTCGCATCTAAAGTCCTTGATGTCCCTTACAGAGCCAGAGGTGTGCAACTGGACTCATAAGCAAAATTACGAGTTGATGGTGACGACGTTTAAAACTGGGTCAAGCAAAGCTCTGAGAGATGTATTTTGGCAACGACTTTGTCCTGGCCCAGGGGACACAGGCTTTGGTGACCTGTGGAGTATTTTTATTCTTTTCCTTCTATGGCTCAGGATCTTTTTTCAGAACTCACAAATGATTGTTGAGAAATGACACACAGCAGAAACCATACGCCAAGAGCCCCATGATACAGACTCAGTGCAAGTGGAGAGGAAAACACTGACACAGAGAGGGTCTGGCCAGGATTAATTTCCAATTTTCCGAGCTTCTTGTTTGTGTGTTACATCTGCTACTTGAATTAACATTCCTGCATCTCCAATTTCCTGTTGAGTCCATTCAATGTGCACTGACAACCTGGACCCGAAACAATCCAATAAAATGCTTTTCTTTTTCGTTCAGCCTCAAGGACTATTGACAGTGTGCACACAACCTGGGGACTCGGCTGAGTTTTACAATAGCATCCCTGCGGATTTCCCAGTCAATATTTCCCTGGGGGTTTAAAATACTCCTAGAAATGTCCCGTCACCAACTTGCTTCTGGGTTTCCTTTCTATTTATGGGGGCTTATCGCCAAAGCTGCTGCTATAAAACTTCAAGAAGAGATCACATAACTTTTTTTCCAAGGACGGGGTGTGGGTGCTAAGAGCAGGGTCTATGCACTGGACTTCTATGGGATTTTTTTTTTTTCTGTTTCTTCTGGGAATTGAGCTTGTGGTACCAGATCTCCTTTTAATCGAGTTTTAATATTTTTATGGCAATGATGGATGCGTGTGAAGAGAAAGCAGATTGCTTTGGAAGTGATGAATTAATTCTAAGGAAAGGTTGGCCTCTTGTAAGCCAAAGCCTCTTCTTTCTCTTCAACCCCTTCAGGGCAGGCAGCGCTCCTGGCTCCCTGACCTGAGGGCACCAGGCGCTAGAACAGGAGGCAGGGACAGCTGACACATTTTCATAAATGATTAAGGAAGTCTGAAGTCTGTGGTTGAGAAAAGTTTGCACTTTCATGTTTAAGAAGGAAAGAAGTCTTGGTAGAGGTTTTAGGCCATGAGGATGGGAGCCAAAGTTGTTTCAAATGTCAGTCTTATCCAGGGTGGATTCAGGTAGAACACTCAAGCTGTCCAAATTTTTTCTCTTCCATTGCATCAGCAAACCTCAGTTGTTGACTTCCCCACATCTGCTGGGCTGATGACTTTTGGATTTGGGGGGCTGCCAGCAGCTGCAAATGGAAACAGCGGGCCACATGCAGCCTCTGCCGTTGACAGCTGTGGGTGGCAGTCACATGGGTCTCCTTCAACCAGCCCACTCTGGAGTGGCAGGAGAAAGGGGAGGATTCTGTTTCCTCTGGGGTCCAGGGATTGGGCTGGGTGGCTGGGTGAGATCTGGGTGTAGGGGTGGGTTGCCCCTCCACACCTGTGGGTGTTTCTCGTAAGGTGGAACGAGAGACTTAGGAAAGAAAAAGACACAGAGACAAAGTATAGAGAAAGAAATAAGGGGACCCGGGAAACCAGCGTTCAGCATATGGAGGATCCCGCCAGCCTCTGAGTTCCCTTAGTATTTATTGATCATTTGTGGGTGTTTCTCGAAGAGGGGGATGTGTCAGGGTCACAAGACAATTGTGGGGAGAGGGTCAGCAGACAAACACGTGAACAAAGGTCTTTGCATCATAGACAATGTAAAGGATTAAGTGCTGTGCTTTTAGATATGCATACACATAAACATCTCAATGCTTTACAAAGCAGTATTGCTGCCCGCAGGTCCCACCTCCAGCCCTAAGGCGGTTTTTCCCTATCTCAGTAGAGGGAACGTACAATCGGGTTTTATACCGAGACATTCCATTGCCCAGGGACAGGCAGGAGACAGATGCCTTCCTCTTGTCTCAACTGAAAGAGGCATGCCTTCCTCTTATACTAATCCTCCTCAGCACAGACCCTTTACGGGTGTCGGGCTGGGGGACGGTCAGGTCTTTCCCTTCCCACGAAGCCATATTTCAGACTATCACAAGGGGAGAAACCTTGGACAATACCTGGCTTTCCTAGGCAGAGGTCCCTGCGGCCTTCCGCAGTTTTTGTGTCCCTGGGTACTTGAGATTAGGGAGTGGTGATGACTCTTAAGGAGCATGCTGCCTTCAAGCATCTGTTTAACAAAGCACATCTTGCACCGCCCTTAATCCATTCAACTCTGAGTTGACACAGCACATGTTTCAGAGAGCACGGGGTTGGGGGTAAGGTCACAGAATCTCAAGGCAGAAGAATTTTTCTTAGTACATAACAAAATGGAGTCTCCTATGTCTACTTCTTTCTACACAGACACAGTAACAATCTGATCTCTCTTGCTTTTCCCCACATCTGGGGAAGTGTGAGAGGCTGGTGGAGGAGGGTGAGTTCACCAAGGAATTGAGTGTGAAATTGTTTGCTGGTCAGGTCTGGTATAAGGGGCCAGTCTCACCTTCCATTCCCTGGGGACTTCAGGCCCCAAACCCCTTCACAGATGTCTGGCTAAGTAGAGGCCAGATCTGCCACCATAAATGACCACAATCCTCCATTCCTAATCCTTGTGGCCTCGTGTGTGCCACATCTAACTATGCAGCAAATGGGCAGGTCCGGAAATCTCAAGCAGGATAGTAGGGTGAGCCAGAGGCATGATCTTGTGTTCACACTGCAGCATCCAGGACGCAGGCAGGATGAATTTGGAGACAGCAGTTTAGATAGTGGCAAGCCTCAGCTCCTCTTACCTAGATCTAAAACAAGAAAGAGCTGCCCAAAGCACTTCTGAAGACAGGGGCATTAGAGCTCACCCTTCCCTCCCTTGACACCATCCATCCCTTTTCTCCCTTCTCCACTTCTTAGAATAAGATTTTCCTTGAAAGAGCAACCAAGTTATTAGGAAATTACAGCCAAAAGCGCTGCAGGACCTTGAGAGAATATCCCCAGCTCTCAAGCAAGACTCCATCACAGAGATGATTCATTCAATCATTATTCACCCAGGGCCTGTCTCATGAATGTTGGACTGTCAGAACTGAAATCCATCCCAAAGTAAAGCTCTCCTCAGAGAAGATTTGAGTTGTTCTTTGTAAAAAGGAGATAAAAAAGGGGGAGTTTATTTAAAATAGACACGTGTAAGCCCTCGAGGGACTGAAGGCATAAATTGCAAGAACAGATCCAATCAAACCTGAATCCTCCTGCTTTCAGGTTTTACCAAGGAGGATGGAATATGAAAGGGAATGGAGTATCCCCACTCAATTCCAAGTCACATCAAGGCAGTCAGCTTGTGACAGGAAGATTACCTGCAGGAGGGCTTTATTTGATGTGAAAAGGGTTAACATCATCTTAGTAGATTAGGAATTCTCTGGCTCTCTTAGGAGGGTTAAGTGAATTCAGAGCTTTTACCTGAAGGAATGTGCATGAACCCTTTTTAGACACTGGCAATGAAACGGGGAAATTCCCTTACTTGTTTTGCATTTAACACACAGACTTGTGATTAACACAAGTTTTATTATTTTCATTTGGGGATGGCCTTGCTGGGTTGCAGAGAGGTAATGCAGAGTGGGTCAGGACTATGTTCAGTTCAGAGCAGTATGTAAAAGGTGCAGCAATGGACCCACTGGTGAGTGGTGAATAATTACTACCTAGTGTTGAGCTCTGTGCTTGGCACTGGGTGAGGGTGTGCACACGGATGTTGTAAGCACAGCCTAGCCCTGCAGGAGAACTTGTTCTGCTCGAGAAGGAAAGATGAACAGCCAGGAATCAATGCTGAATACAAGGAGACGGCACTTAGCATGGGCAGCCAGCTCTGAAGGACTCCAGAAAAGAGAATATCGTTAAGGCTGGAGTCATCAGAAAGGGCTCTTAAGAGGGGGCTGGTGAGCAGACTTCAGCTGGGTGGTGAGAAGGTGTGCAGCCTCAAGAACCTCCATGCCCATGCCATCCTCTTCTCCCCATCTGCCTCTCTCTTCCCTCGCTGTCACATCCCTCTGCCCTCAGCATCTCCCACACCCCACCTCCACCCTCCCCAGAGACTGGGGACACATTTCAGGCCAGCTGTGTTATTGGATTTTAAATGATGCGATGGCTTTTTAATTCTTGCCTAAATTGCCTTTCCATGCAGGGCACTGAGGATGGTTGATTACCAGGCAACTGGGCCCGCCGGTGACATTCCTTATCCGATGTCCCTTCAAGCTGCAGTCAAAGGGATGTGCTCTCAGGGCCTCGGCAGTGAGGTTTTCTTAGGCCTAGAAGCCACCCCCTCCCCAGCTTCCAGCCTGCAGGGCACCTGGTGGCCTCTTGGGCCCGAGTGCGCTGTCCGTGGTGCTGATGGCTCCGGCCACCCTTCACGCAGCTTTGAAACTTGGAGGGCTGAATAATTTAAACAAATAGACTTGGACATATTTCCCTTTTCCCTAAGGGCAGCCAAACGTCGCCTGCTGAGTCTCTGGAATGATTACCCTCATTCAAGGGTACTCAGGAAAACAAGAGATTCAGGAAGCTGGAGAGAGGAGCGTGGGCGGGCTCAGCCTCCCTCTGGGGGGGCGGGGGGCGGGGGGCGGGGGCTTGCTGTTAGCTCCCAAGGGAAGGGGCTGCTGAAATGGCGAGTCCAGCCCTCCCCTCAGCCACTGGCTTTGTCAGGTTGTTACAGGGGTCCAGTTTGTCCCCCCAGTGTTTTTCCAAAAAGCTCATGATGACAGGGCCAGGACTCCTAAAAGACCCCCAGCCGGCTTAGTGTGTGGAGGCTCCCACAGAGGCCAGCTCTACACAGAACCACACGGACCAATGCTGCATGGGGAGGAGATGGCTCGTTAGAGGACAAAACAGCCTGGGCATGGCGATAACCACACGGAGGGGCTTCCCTTCGCCCTCCCACCCCCAAGCTGCCATCCCTGAGGTCCCGCATGCCCTCTTCAGGCCTGGGCCCAGCTCAAGTACCAGGGAGGGGGCCCCAGCCTCCTCTTCCTCCCATTGACCCTGCTCCGTCTTGGTGCTGCCTCCCTGGTTGCTGTTCTCTTCTCCAAGTATCGTTTGGTCTCCTTCACACCCCATCCGACAGCCTAGCACTGAGTGGCTACCCCCGATGTGCCCTCTTCACAGACCGCAGCCACGTTTTCCTTCCTCACTGCCCCTGTGTGCTTCACTCGGATCCCTCCTGTGTCCAGCAGGTCCAAAGTTGTAAGGTGCTGACCAGGGCACTGAGCATTGGTGGGTGCCCAGGAAACAGGAATGCAGTCCTCTCTTCAAGGGCTAACTCTCTCGGGGGGTACGGAGAGCAACAGGGCCACTTTCTCTCAGGAGGTGCAGCCTAAGGGGCCAATCCTGGGGGGCCAAGGAGGCCAAACTCACTGAGGCCACCAGGAGGGAGTGCTCTCCTCCACGATGGGTGGGGCAGGGGACTTAAGCATAATTTGGTGATGGGAGGGGCTGAAGCAAGAGAGTTCTCCCTGAATCACGCTGTATTGCTGGGTGGGGAGAGACTATGAGAGCCCAGGGGCCAGAGAGTGCCAAAGGGGAGCCACGGGGTATGAACTCTGGGGCCTCAGCCTGGTGCTGCTGCAGGCCCCTTCCCCAGCTGTGCCCCATCCCACCACCACCCACCTGCTGGCCCGGGTGTGACAGGTTCCACCGGCCTTCCTGCTTTCATGTCGGCATTTCAGTTCGCTGATTTAACATTTCCTCAGAAAGCAGGATTGGATTTTTCCCTCACTTGATTTCCTAGGGTTTGTCTCCTCATTGTTTTTCTTCTTAAAAGAACAAAGGCAAAGACAATCACCTGTCTTTTATGCTCTGGGCTGAAATTCTGCAGCTGTTGGTGGTAAAGGAGGTTGGGGGAGGCGGGAGAGAATGTGTTTGGGAGATGGGACACAGAGAGGCAGGGTTTCCACACCCAGTGAGGTGAGCCCTGCCTCTGGGAGAAGCCCCCCCAACTGCAGATCCCAGGCCTTGGGGGAAGGTGGAGGGCACCAGAGGACGCTCCCTTGGGGGAGCAGCCGGAGCGCTGCCCTGACAACACTGAGGGTTCACACACGCACTGGCCCAAAGGCTGGATGAGGGTCACCCCACACAGCCAACCGCAGCAAGACCTGGCCCTCCCACCCTCCCTACCGCTCCCTCCAGCAGGGGCAGTGGAGCGAGCAAGAGGACTGTGGGCAGCCAGGGCCATGGGTGCCACTCCTCTGCCAGGAGCAGCCCTACCGGGAAACTCTACAGGCAGGAAGGAGTTTGGCTGTGTTCTAGAAACTGACATTCCACATGGTGTGGAGTGGGCCCGGGGGGGCAGTCGGGTGGGTGGATGAGCTGTGGAGAGGAGGAGAGAGACGCCATCCCACAAGGCCCCAAGAGCCACATGAGGACACTTATCATTCCCTGACCACCGTCAGCAGCCACCCTTCCTCCCATCTGGGGGCAGAGGGAGAGAGCTAGAGGGACTGGACTCATCCTTTCTCTCTCTCCCTTTCAGCTAGGATTTGCCACATAACCTGGCTTGGCTGACTGCTCACTTCTGCCCTGGACTTTGAGTCTCAAGTGGCCAAAGATGGAAAAAAGTCAGGCTCCCTCTCAGTGGTAATGGGGGAGCTTTGGGGGTGTTCTGCATAGGCTGTTCCCACTAACAGATGCCTCTTACCTGTTTTCCAAATCTAGAGCCTCCTGTCATCACTTCTGAGCCCCCCATTTCTTTTCTTAAGATAGCCAGAAGCAGGGGGTGTTCCACAGGGGGCACACATCCTGGTTGACCCTGGATAGTTTGAAGGGGGTGCCACTGAGGGACATTAGACGGTGGGGAGAAGACATGGTGTGGGTCGGGGTACCATGTGGAAAGAAGATTGTGGGAGGAAATGAGAATTAGGGACCTCAGTCGGGAGGCCACAGGCCAGGGGAGGGAGGATGGTGATGATGGAAACCCAAGATTCAGAATATATACTTGGAAGCAGATTTGGTGATTAAAGAATCAAGGGTGATGTTTAGATTTCTGACTTGAGTGTGGTGTGGACGGCGGTGGTATTTAATCAGCTGGAGAAAACTGAGGAAGGAAGAGATATGTGTTAGGCGAGGTGGCATCCACAGTTCCGTGTTGAATATTTTAATGGTGAGAAGCTCTATCAGTGACGGTCCAAGCAGGAAAACGGAGCTTTCGCCAGGCAGTTCAATCAGGGAATATAATATGCAAAAAAATTCCAGAGGTGCTGGGGGAGCTGAGCAGGAGATGGGGAAAGAAAGATCCGAAGATTGCTAATGGCAGGAATCTGCTCCACCCTAGGTTGGAGGAATAGGGACAGCCTGGGAGCTGGGCTGCCCAGTGGGAGCTGGGATGCAGAGAAGGGGCTACCCAGGGGCCTCCCAGGCTGGAACTGGAACTGGAATTGTGGAGGGACAAACTCTGGAAGCCAATAAACAGCCACTGGCAGAGACACCACAGATCAGAGGAGTGGGAAGAAATACCCAGGCTTCTCCTCTTCTCCCTCCTACCAGCCTCCAGCCAGTGACTGCTATTGGTCTAACCTGACAGGAAGCCAGCAGGCAGGGAGCCTGGGAAATGTAGTTTGTGGGGGCAGCACACTGTGATCCATTGCAGAGCAGGGGAAGGGGGCAGGCGCACAGGATCCTCACAGATGCCACCAAAAATCACTCTGAGTTTGACAAGTCTTCCTCCAGGAGTATCTGTATTATTTTTATTTTTATTTTTTATTTTCATTTTTGAGACAGAGTTTAGCTCTGTCAACCAGGCTGGAGTGCACTGGCACAATCTCGGCTCACTGCAACCTCCGGCCCCTGGGTTCAAGTGATTCTCCTGCCTCAGCCTCCCGAGTAGCTGGGATTACAGGTGTGTGCTACCACGCCCGGCTAGTTTTTGTATTTTTAGTGGAGATGGGGTTTCACCATGTTGGCCAGGCTGGTTTTGAACTCCTGACCTCAGGTGATCCGCCTGCCTCAGCCTCCCAAAGTGCTGGGATTACAGGCATGAGCCACCGTGCCTGGCCCAGGAGTATCTGTATTTCTAACAAGCCCTATTCAAAAGGATAAATCTATAATGAGGAGATTCGGGTATCAGGGACAGGTGAGTCTGGGGGCCATGGATTCATGAGGGTCCCTCCTAGTTCCTCTGCAGGATGTGATCTTTGTTCCATCCAGGCTGAGTCTGCCTTGGAAGTCAGAGCTGGACTTGTTCATATTCTAAGAAAGCCACCCCCAGATCTGCCACCTCCATCCCCACCTTTCCAGTCTCTATCTTCAACATCCTTCTCCTTTCTTTCTTTTTCTTTTTTTTTTTTTTATTTGCAGGGAATGGAAACGGGACTTGTCAGAAACCTGCCTCCAGAATAAAGAGAAGAAGGGGAAATGTGATTAGGAGAGCTGTGAAGTGGTGATGACAGCAGCTGCTTAATATGGAAAAAGGAATCCTAATTATTGCTTGGACAGGCAGGAAGTAAAAAGTCAATCAGAGCCAAGGTGGAGGGCAAACACGCATGTCAGGGCGGGCTGCCCCTGCTAAGAACCGCATGCCTTCTTGAGGTGGAGGAGCCTCTGACTGAGAGGCAAGGAGATGGTGAGCAAAGGAACTGGGCCAACCAGCCGCTCAGCCTGGGGGAAACTGGTTCTCCTGAGGAACTGGCAGGGCTGAAGCAGAAGAGCTGCATTCGTATTCCAGCCAGAAGAGCAGGGGCTTTGGGAGAGTGTTAGGCAATGCATCTGGCCTCAGGGGTCTCAGTTTTCTCATCGGTAGTGACCCAGATGTGTCCGACTTCTCCGGTCTATGGGGTCTGTGATTTTCAGGGCGACGATACTCTGAGCCCCTCCCATTCCCGCCATGTGGCAAGTCCAGTCTTTTTCAGGTTTCCCTCCCAAGTAGTTCTAGGGATCCCTAAGGAATTCTTGCACATCTCCCAAAATCCGTGGTGGCAGCTCTGCCAGCATCTCGCTCCCACTGACAGCTGTTCCTGGTCTCTGCCTGCCATGTCTTCACTGTGGGCACTTTCAGGTCAATTCCTTCCTCCTCAACCCCTTCCTTCCAAGCTGGGACACGGCCTAATTCCCTTAATTTGCAAAGTCTGGCAAAGACCAGGCTCTGGGGTTTAAACAAGCTTTACTTAGGGCTTAGCCAGTGTAAAGAAAAGTTGGCTGGCAGGTGCCCTGATCCTGCCTCCACGGGCACCTCTCCAACCCTTCTCCCACTGGGTGGCTCTCACTTTAGGTTGGACCGATACCAAGCGGCCACTTACACCTTTAGTGAAAGCGCCTTTGGCCCTAACCCTGTGACCCATGGTCCAGATCCCCAACCTCTGCTGAGCTGAGAGACAGAGAGAGAGAGGCCACATTGCCTCCAAAATCATGTGCTTCTCATCAAATCCACTCTCTCCAGTCCAGAAGAGGAGTTTAGCTGCACTTTTACACAAAAAAATCTGCTAAATTATTTTTCTCAGAACAGAAGAGCTGTCTTTCCACAACACGAATCAGAGAAGTGCTGACAGCTTTGATATAGAAGTTTGTTCCCATTTCTGGCCAATGAGGTTGCAAAAATATTGGGGCTTGGCTTGGCTGGAGCCCCTTTTCATGTAGATCATGGGGTCAAGGTCTGCCTTGCTGGGGTGGGGTGAGCATTAAATAGACAATGGATGCCAAGAGGCTGGTGTGTCTGGTAGGTGCTCAATCCATGCTGAGGCGTTTCCCCATCTTGACTCGGTTACCTCAACTGTAATATTAATGTAAGGAAGGGGGTAGGCCATGCTGGGGACTTTGGAGGCCCCTCCCAACTCTCTTAGTACCAGATACAGGGAGGAGGGAGTTTTCTGGGTGATGACAAAGGGCTTGGGGGTGGGACCAGACCAAGCACTGTGCACGTGGGGTCTCCTGGAGGCTGGCTTCGTGGACCCTGAAATGTGTTGAAGCTGGATTCAGGTCCAGGCACTCTCCCTCCCTGCTGTGCTGTGTGCTTCTTGGGCAAAGCACAACCTCTCTGTGTTTCACTTTCATCTACTGATGACTGGGCATATTTGTCTCTTCCAATCCTTCACTTCCTGGTTGACCTGAGAATTGAATGAGACATGGATGTGAAAATCTTTCTTCAACTTAAATGTCATCTCCACCAAGGACGGGACCAGCTGTCTGATTTAGGTTTGAGTTGCCAACACCTGAAGGTGAAGGAGAGCCAGGCCTGGGGTTGTGTGAACCCAGGGGTTGCAGGATCTAACCCATGTGTGGAGGGTTTGGAGAAGCCACCTGCATCCATACATACCTACACATGCGTGACGCTGTTCGTGTCATTGCACCCCTGCTGGCCTCGCTGTTAGTAGAGTGACTGCCTAGCCCTGCACCTGAGACACAATGGTGCTTACTAAGAGCTTGCAAAATAAATGGATTTGTGTGTGAGAAGCTCTGGCTTAAAAAGGGAGAAAATGATCAAAGGGGTAGAGAAAATCAATAAGGATGGAAATATCTCAGCAAGGAAGGCACATCTCCAGGTAGAAATATGGTCTGCTGTTTGTTCAGCTGTTAGCAGTTGCTGAGAGCTTTCCATGGGGGATATGGAGATGGACAAGGCACTGTCCCTGCCCTTCAGGGGCTCACAGCTACATCGAAGGGGAAGCAAATGATTCACAACCTCAGTAAAGGGCGGGCCAGGCAAAGTCCAGAGGACACAGAGGATAAAGGTCAGTGGGCCTTTCATGGTAGATGGGCTCCAGGAGGGCTCCCAGGAGGAGGTGGCATTTCGATGTAGAGCAGAGAGGAGGGTGCTTAGGCACAACTTTTCACAGGACCTGATGGAGTGGCACAGAGGTCAGGCAGGCAAGACCCTTCAGCAGAATAGTTGAGGCTGTGGGCTCTGTTCCGGACACCTAGAGGGGGAAGCTGACTGCCCCCACCCCCGTGCTGGACCTGGACCTTCTCCCTGAGTGTCTGCTCCTGCTGGGGGTGGGGTGCCCACTGCTTTTCACTATGCTCTGAGCTGAGGCCTTCGATCTACACCTGTGTTGCAGCATCAAAATGCAGCTCAATTCGACTGAACACGTGTTTATGGAACAGCCACTGTGGAGCCCATAGCAGCGGCCCTGACTCGCTTCTCCTCTGGGGGTTTGGAAGGGAAGAGGATTCTGACTCGGTTTCTGGCCCAGGATTGTTCTTACCCACCACGATGGGGAGGAGGTTGGGAGGAATAAAAAGCAGGCACAGTTACGACCAAACGAGAGGGACACACAGGCCGGTGGATCCCGCCTTTTCAAGCATGAAGATCCATGGTTGACAAAAAAGTCTCAACCGCTTTGAACACGACTGGATGTGAAAGAATTACCATTAAGCTTTTTTCTTTAAGTGTGATATTGGTGTTTTGACTCTGTTTAAAAACAAAGTCCTTATCTTTTAGTGATCTATAGTAAAAGATTGAAATAGGAAATGATATGGTGTCCGGGGTTTACTTCAAAATAACTAGGCAGGGGACATGGCTGCGGCGTAGATGCAATGAGACCGGCCAAGAGCTGAGGGCTGCTGATGCTAGGGAAGGGGTATCTGGGGCTCCCCAATTATCTCTGCTTGTGTGTGTGTGTGTGTGTGTGTGTTTAAATTCTCCAGAATAAAAAAGTTAAAAAGAAAACCAAAAAAGAATAAAACCCAGCATCACTTTGAAAATAAAAACTTTCAACTGAGCTTTCAGTACAAGTCACTGTGTATGAAATTCCCAATGACAAAAATCCACTATGGGTTCAGCAACGTTTTGGATGCATTTGCATTTTATTAATCACAAGAGCATCTTTAGACATCTGAAAAATGGCAGTGCAAGTGTGTGGGACAGTACGTTCAGTCTGCAGGCCGTGTTCAGCTGGCGTGCGATGTAGGAGATCTTTGACAGTTCTCGAGCCAGATGGGGCTGGGCGTGCCGGCTGACAGCAGCCACTGGGGAATGAACAGCAGTGGCCTCAGGCTCCCCAGGAGGTGGACTGTGGGGTGACAGGGATCACGGGCCAGTTCCTGCCACAGACCTGCCACATATGGTTGCTGTGCATGGTGGGGAATGGCTTCATTGACACCTCGTAACCCCATTCCACCTGCTGTGCCTCATTAGGCAGGTGACACATATTCTTCAGGCTCAAGAGAGAGCTAGGGATGTGGAGGAAGGTGGCTCTCCCAGGTCCCTGCCCCTGCCAGAGTGGAGCTCTGGGCACTTCCGGGGTTGAAATTTGGGGTCGACCCAGTTTTCCCCCTGCCCGTCCCCACTCCTCCCTGTGGGCAGGTGCTGGTGCTTTCTCCGCTTCCCAGCCTCCCCTTTGTTTTTTCTGGCTTCTTCTCCTGTCGTTGCAGTCCCAAGGCAGGGCTC
This sequence comes from Homo sapiens, assembly GCF_000001405.40. Taxonomy (NCBI): domain Eukaryota; kingdom Metazoa; phylum Chordata; class Mammalia; order Primates; family Hominidae; genus Homo; species Homo sapiens. Next base: position 33,820,864 of record NC_000006.12, read on the forward strand.
AAGAGGCCAAATGGGAGAATGGAGGGAGATGCTCTTCACCCCCCATTTTGTGTTCTCATTTGTGTCCTTCCAGGGAAGTCACTGAAACAACCTGAGGACTTCTCCAGGAGGATTTACAAAGAGGACACAAGGGGAGGGCATTGCTTAACCGAAAGGAATAACAACCATGGAGGAGGAGGGAGGGGGCAGGGAAGCAGGGGAACTGAGGGAGGTGGGAGAGAGATGGGAGGAAGAAAAAAGAAAGAAGGATAGAGTGTGTGGTGGGAGGGAGAATTGGTACACAGCGAGGCAGGAAACAGAGGAACTGGGGTTTCCTGCTGTCACCCAGGCCCTGAGTGGGCTTGGTCCTGACCTGGGGAGACTCCAGTTGCAGGGGCATCTGTGTCCTCTTCTAATGCAGCATGCTACCATCCATCTGCATCCCAGTGGATCAGACTAGGTCCCTGTCACTGCTGTCACTTCCACTGTGACACAGCAGTGGCTCCCTGCCACCAAGAAGCGGTCTACAGGCACCTGGGCTGGCACAAGCAGAGCCTCTTTTCTCTCCGCTTTCCCTCTCTTCCCCATGTGGCGGGCAGCTTGTGGCTGGCACTCTGGAAGGAGGGTTTAGAGAACCCTGCCACCCACCCCCAGGCCAGATGGGAGGTAGCTGGAAGTGGGAGCAGGAAGGCATTTGTCTGATGCTGTGAGACTACAGTGCTGCTAACCTCCTGACCCCCACCCCAGGCTGGAGCTGAAGGAGTTTCTAGGAGGGGGTGCACTGGGCTTGCAGGGCTTCTCAGACTCGGTGCCCAAGGAAGTCTACACGGGGCTCCCAGTCAGCATTTCTGGGCCAATCCTCTATGTCCTATATAGGTTGGGAGATTTTGCCACATGGAGGTCTGCCCAGCCTGCCCACCTCCCCAGGAGAAAGAGGCCTGAATTTGGGGTCCTGTAGGACCACTAACTGGCTATGTGACCTGAGGTGAGTTGCTGCCTGCTAAGGTTTGAATGTGTCCCCCACAGTTCATGTGTTGGAAACTTCATCCCCAATGCAACAGTGTTGAAAGGTGGGACCTTTAAGAAGTGCTTAGGCCATGAAGGCTCTGCCCTCGTGAATGGATTAATATCATTATTGAAGGAGTGGGTTAGTTATTTCGCGAGTGGGCTTGTTATAAAGGCAAGATCAGCCCCCTCTTACCCTTGCTGTCTTGTGCCCTCTTGCCCTTCCACCTTTGGCCATGGGATGACACAGCATGGAGGCCCTCACCAGATGCTGGCACCTTGATATTGGACTTATTGGCCTCTAGAACAGTGAACCATATAAACTTCTATTGTTTATCAATTACCCTGTCTGTGGTATTCTGTTATAGCAACACACAATGAACTAAGATACTGCTCTCTCTGGGCTCATTTCCCCATCTGCTGAGAGGCCATACACTCCCTACCAGAGCCACTCTTGGGACCCCAGGCTAGAGGGGTGAGGAGGAGGGAATTGGAGCCCCTTCCCGGAGGTGCTGGGCTGCACTGGGGCTCCTCCCCGAAGAGGGCTGGAAAGGAAGAGATGGACTTTGAGGTCCTGTCCGGTCCTGTGCTCCTGCATGGCTTCTGCTTTTCCTTCTGCCCATCCAAATCCAGCTGGCTCCTCTAGGAGGTCCTCCTGGATTGCACTAGCCCTTTCTGCCCTCCTTTCCTGTGACTACAGGGCTGAGTCCCCAGTCCCGTGCTGGGACCAAGAGGGTGCAGGTATCAAGGCTGAGGCCTTAGTTATACATATTTTGCAAAGAATCTTCTAGAGCAGGCCTCTGGCAGAATCTCAGTGCTGCCCCTCTCACCCCCGGATTCGTCACCTAATTGGATCAGGTGCCTGGACATGGACCAACCAACTGTGGCTGAGGAAATAGGGCGGGACCATGTGATACAGGTCCCGGCGCTGGCACATCCCTGTGGCCAAGCTGGGAACTTCAGGGCATATGGACCCCTCTCTCTCCCTCCTCCTCCCTCAGGCCAGGAGTCAACAATGTCTGTTCCCAGTGCTGCTGCTCCACTGTCCCCAACCCAGGACCCCATCACCCCTCTCCGGGATGTCTGCACCTGCTTTCTCCCTGGTCTCCAGACTCTCTTCTCCTCCTCCTGCCAGCCCATCCACCCTCAGCCTTGCTTCTGAATGCCTGATGGCTCCTCTTTCTGTGAAGTCACAGCCACTTAGGGACTTTCAGCACCTGCCCGCCACCAGCTTTTTCTGGCCCACCTCCAGCGTCTTCCAACCCCCATATCTGACCAACCCCAGGCTTTTGGTCCAGTTCCTTAAAAATGCAGATCCTGCCTTTCTCCAGGCTGTGTTCATGCTGTTCTCCTTGGCTGGGGTCCTTCAAGGCTGAGTGAAAATGCTACCTTTCCTCTGGCTGCTTTTCCTGATTCTTCAGGTGGAATTAATTGCCACCTGTGTCCCCATTGTATCTGTAAACACCTCTAGCATCGTTCCTCCTCCTTTCTATTAATGCTATTTTATTTGTCTCACTCCCCATCACGGCTTTGTGTCTAGACAATGGGGACTGCCTCTTACTCATTTAAAATTTTGGCCTGCACACAGTAGGCACATAATAAATGCTTGTTAGGTTGAATAGATAATTGCCATTCATACCATGCATGAATTGTTCGTTTTTTTTTTTAAACTTTGAAAATTATTACAAAAATAATCTCTACAGGTATTTAAATGTTCATAACAATGCCTAAGTGGATAAATACAAAGCAAAGGTCCCTCACACAGCTTAATTCCCAGTCGAATTCCCCAGCGTGAGCCTAGGAAGAGCTGGGAATGTTTTCTCTAAGCCAGTGGTTCTCAAAGCTGGTCCTCCTCCTGGCAGCATCAGCTTGTGTTAGGAATGCAGATTCCTACTGAACCCCATGCTTGGATCCCAGGAGGTGGTGCTCTCACAAGGCTCCAGGTGACAGCGCTGGCCCAGGTGGTCTGGTTTCCAGCCTGAGAACCAGCTCTATTTGTGCAGAAGCTCCTAGGCCTGGGGCCTTCCCCAGAGCCCCAGCCCCAGTTTTGGATCAAAACTCCAAAGTCAGCCCCTTTCCTGGTCTTTTGCCTCTCTCAGCCTCAGTGGGTGGCAGAGACAGCCAGTGTGGGCATGGCCAGTGCCCTGGCCTGGCGCCGGAGGTGGCTCTGGCTGGGCCACTGACTTGCTGAGTGGTGACACTGGGGGAGTCACTGTACTTCTCTCCTCTCAAAAAGGCAGGGTGTTCTCTGAATGTTTTCCAAAAAAGATGTGAGCAAAAAAATATTTGTTCTTGGAGCTCTCTGAGGGCCTATGCTCTGGATAAAGAGAATTCTATGGAGAGATGCTATCAGTTTCCAGATTTTCTAGGAAAGGGGATGAGACCTCAAAGTGGTATGAAAGACCTCCCTTCTCCCCTGCCCTTTCCAGTGCAGAACAAATCACCTCCCTTCGGTTGCTGCATGTGTGTGGATCAAGGCAAGAAAAAACTCTACTGCATAATTCACTCTGTAAAGAGCTGTGTGTAACCAACATTTACTAAGCACCTACTCTGTGCTGGGCACTGTTCCAGATGCTGGGCATACAGTAGAGAAGAAAACAGACAAAAACAGTCACCCTGACAGAGTTTACATTCTAGTCAGGAGAAATAGACAATAAACCAAAAAACAGCTAAAATATGTAGAGCCAGGGGGGCTAAGGGCCGTGAAGGGGAATGAGGCAGCGGCTCTCCGGCTCTCCGTGCTTAGGGCCAGGAGGCTGGGTGCGGAAGTGCTGGAGTTGTGAGGCTCCTCCTATGAAACAGGAAGAGGGAGTTGCCAAGGGCTCTTCACAGGAGCCAGGACGAGGGCCGCACTGCCCTTAAGGAGCTCCCAGTGTGTTTGGAGAAAGAGGCCAGATCAGCCACAGGGCATGGTGGGTTTCTTCCATGGATGTCGTTTCTGAGCTGGCTTCGGGCAGCGCGGGGAAGGTGGGAGACCTAGGCTGGAAGGCTCAGAGTAGGCTCCGGAGAGGAGGTGGCATCTGGGCCGGGCCTTGAGAAATGAGTAAAGTCATAACTGCACGGGAGAGAGAGGGCACTCCAGGTCAAGGTACAGTGTGCGCCAAGGGTGGCAGGGGCTGCTCCCCCTTGGAGGAGGGCATGGGCCACCCCAGTCCCTGGGCTGAGCTCTGCAGGCACTGCTGGGTTTGGGCCCTTATGAATTACACCCTGTGTAACACTGCACCCTCACTGCCACAGTGCCTTGTAAAGGCCCTTGATGACAGCCTCTACCCTTGGCAGCATATTGACATCATTCCTCTGTTTCCTGCAAGGACCCCTGTCCCCCTCCCACTGCCACCGCCCTCTCCTCTCTGTCCCCTCCTAGTCTTAGACAACAAAGAACTGTTTCGGACAAAAATCAAAAGAGAACGTTTTCATTGGGAGAGTGGACTATAGGAAGCACAGAGAGCCATTTCTCTTTTCTTCAAGGAGGCCCCAGGTCAACTCCGGTCCCAGGAAGCCCCTGAGTCGGTGGGGAAAGCCAGTACAAATGAGTGGGTCTGGTGGTCCAGAAAGGGGTTGAGAAGTCTCTGTGCCTCAGTGTCCCTTCTCAGGGCTGTGTTGTGGAGCTGGGTGGAACCAGGGCCAGGCTTGCCAGAGAGAGGCCCGGTGGTGGGTGTTTTACCTCCACCCTGCAGCTCATTGCAGGACTGCAGGCATGTCTGGGCCGCAGAGACCCTGGGTTAAATATGGCCCTGTGGAGGAAGGCTTGCGGGTGCTGAGCCTGATGAAGGCATCCGGCCATTACATAACCATCCTGATAGGCTTTACACTCCCAGTGGAGACATTTTTGCGGCAATTGCCAAAATAATAATAATGATGATAATAATAATAATAATAATAATAATAATAATAATAATAATGTGGTGGCACCTCCTCCAGTCATTTTTCGACTTATTCCCCATAAATGAAAAGGCAGGATGATTCCCAGAAGGGTTGCAGCTAGAATTTCATTTCTCCCTGGCACCTGAGAGCCTGGGACGAAGGGAGAGCGCTGCATCCCCCTCGGGCCCACCCTCTCTGCCTACCTCCTCCATGACACCTAGGCCGTCCCTGGTAACCAGCCCCAGACTCTTCCTCACTTTCTTCTTCTCGCGCCATCCCACAGCTACAACTCTGGTTGAGTCCCCTTGCCTTCAAGGTTCCCCGACTGCCTGCCTTCGCCCTGCCCCCTCCTCCCCTCCCTTCTTTCTCTGCCCCCTCCTCCCTTCACCTCTCCTTTTCAATGCTCCCCCAGGTCTCCTGCACAATACTCTTCCCCATCCCTCCTCTCCCCTTTCTCCCGACCCTTCCTTCTCTCCCACTTTCCAGGGTTCTTTCCATTTTGCAGATGAGCAAAGAGACCCAGAGAGACAAAGGAATTTGCCCAAGGTCACAGAGCCCATCCACCTGTGTGTTCTCGCTCCAGAACCCAGCTGGTGATGGTAGCATTGTAGGTGCTTGGCGTGCCACAGCTGCTGTCCATTTCATCTGTGAGACGAGGCCTGGACAATCGTCCCTCTAGCCAGGCTGTCTGTATTGCAGTCCTCTGGGGTGTCCACCTGGGAAGCCGCAGGTCTGGCTAGACCAGCCCCTTGCCCTGTGGCCCAGAAGCGTTGGCATCACCTGGAGACTGGGTAGAAACGCAGAATCTTTGAATCAGCTTCAGTATTTTAAGGATACACCCCAGGACATTCATGGGCACATGAGAGTTTGTGCTGGAGTCTTTTCTTCAGGGTGGGGAGTCCCTATTCTGCTAGTCTTGCCTGCAGGAGGAAGACATATACCCTTCAGCCATCCCAGGTGTTTGTGCAGGGTGAGGGACCAGGCTGGGTGGAGCCGTGTGCTCACAGCCATGGGCAGCAACCCCCTCTCCTGGCGCTCTTCTGCATCAGGAAAAGCATGTCAGAGTCCTCCACCCAGGCTGCCTGGCTCAGAGTGGGGCTGCAGTGGGCAGGTGCTTGGCTGATTTCCTCTGGGTCTCCTGATTCCTGGCCATGCCCTGAGAGATAAAGGCTTGGAAATCAGAACCTGGCATTCATGGGCAGGGCCTGTCCACCTGTTTCCTGAGTGTAGGTAGGACACATGGGTGGCTCTGGCCCAGAGGCAGAGGCAGGATACTGAGTGGAACGGCTGCAGGCCAGGCCCCTGCTCTGTAGTGCCTCCCAGCCAGCCACCCCAGCCCTGTCTCAGGCCTCCCACCCGAGGTTCTAAGAGTAGCTCCTGGGAGGAGGGGGCATTCATCTCCTGGGCCCCATAAGGAAGCTGCTCCCAGCCCTGTTGCTAGTGTCCCAGGGCTGGAAGGGACAACTGTCTTCCCATTCAAACCCTTTATCTGACAGGAAGAAACAAGACCTGTGAGGGAGGGGGCTTGGACAAGGCCCACAGCTTGGCCTCTGGAGGGTAAGGTGAGAGAGAAGCAGTTGCCTCACTAATGGCATACACCAGGACGTAAGTGGCTCAGGCCAAGAATCCCGCAGTCACCTTCGCCTCACCTCTTTCACACTGTGTGGCAGAGTAATGATGGCCACAAGTTCTTTGTTCTCTCCGCTGAGAGATGGTGGGGTCTAATTCCTCTCCCCTTGATCAGGGCTAGCCTTGGCGACTCACTTGACCAATAGAAGGCAGTAGGAAGTGATGTTCTGGGATTTCTGAGGCTAGATGGTAAGAAGCCCTGCAGCTTCTGCCTTGGCTTCCTGAGATGCTTGCTCTTGGAACCCAGGAGCCCCAGGAGAGGCTCACATGAGGAGGGGCTGAGACCTCAGGTGGATGGGCCAGGCCAAGCCCCAGTTGCAGCATCAGCCTGCGCCCACCAGCTGTACGGGACTCATCCTGCTTCCCAGGCCACCCTGCTGACATCATGTGGTGCAGAGAGGAGCCTTCCCCACTGAGCCCTGTCTGCGTTTTGCAGATTCATAAGCAAAATAAATGCCTGTGGTCGTTTTAAGCCACCAAGGATCGGGGGTGGTTTGTTGTATAGCAATAGATAACTGGAAGACATCCCGAATCCAATCTGTCAGCAAATCTCATCAGCTCTGCCATCTAAATATATCCACAATCCAGCCACTGTCATCTTTTGCTTGGAGATTACAATGGCTTTCTAACAGCGTCCCTGCCACCTGCCCTTTGCCCCTGCTGTCTGTTATCCTGTTAAAACTGAAGCCAGGTCACACCTTTCTGCTCAAACCTTCTATAGACTCCCCTTCCACTCAGAGTGGAAGCCAAAGTCCTTTCCATGGCCCAGAAAGCCCTGTGGAGTTGGATGCCACTTCCCTCCCTGCGCCCACGTCCCTCTTGCTTACTGCCTCCTTCCACTCCAGCGCTGATCTGCTTGTTAGTCTGGGATCATCCGAGTCCCGCCCTGGCAGGACTCTTTGCACCACTGCTTGGCATGCTGTGTGGAAGGAAGCTTCCCATAGATGCCCCCAGGGCTCCTGCCCTCATTTCATTTAGGTCTCTGGTCACATGTGTCCAGAGGGATTTCCCTGCCCAAGTGGTAGAAAGAGGTATTCCTGTTCGTTCCAACCTCCTCATTCTGTTGTATTTTTCTCTGTGGCGCTTAGCACCAATGTCATTCTATGTTTACTTTGTTTAATGTATTTCTCCCCTCACTAGAACGTAGAGTCCTTCAGAGGAGTCTGTTTTGCCTGTTTGCTTTGCTACTCAGCAGGTATTTATGAGGTGTAGGAATGAACGAAGCTGGCTTGGGCTGGCCAGGCGTCCTGCAGGGCTTGGGCTCCAGGGCCCTGCTCTCCTGGCCTTCTCCTGCAAACCAGGCTTCCCAGACCCTCTTGCTTCTGCTCAGGTCGGAGGGGGTGAGGAGGGAGCATAGTGTCTCACACAGTGGGGCTCTCAGCCTACATTGCCAGGCAGGTCCTTCAGCCTCCTCTCTGCCTGGGGTCTCCCTCTGGAGATGCTGGCTCACAACTGCTCCCGCCCCTGCCCCTGTGGCCAAAGTAGCTTTCTCCTGTCTCTGCTGCTTGTTGAAAGAGGCATGGATCTCAGTATCATCCTCCTGCCACCTGCCCCACAGGAGTCTGCTGAGATGGCCATCTGGGAGCTCACCAAGCCTCTAGGGGAGCGGTGAGAACCAGCATCTGAGTGCAGTGTCAGGGGTTCCCTGCTGCTTGTGCCAGACGAGGTCCAGAACGTGCTTCTCCACTCAGCTCAGCATCCGGAGCTCTCCCATTTTGCCTCTCCTCCAGGGCAGCATTTTCTTTCTAAATTCCCAGGCTTTTTACATTTGGCTGCCCCATGGGGCTAATTCTCTCACTTCGAGATGGTGCCCATTAACACTTCAACAGGCCTCGCCTGGAGCTGCAGCCCCAAGCCCTCTTCCCTGGAACATCCGCGCCCACGTTCACTTCGCTGTCATCGCCCCAGCTGCGGAGGCTGGACTAGCTTCAGCTACTTTTATTTAGGCTTCAAAAGGAGGACCTTGGCCGCCAGCAGCTGAGGTCTGCAGGGCACCAGAGGTAAACTTCTGCCCTGAGTCTCCAAAAATAATTTTCTGTTTGGCTCCAAAACATGGTTCTGCTCTTCATCTGCCTGCAGGAGGCCTTGGGAGGGCCCATATCCCGAAGCTGCCCAGTGAAAGCCTGATGCAGGGAATGCTGAAAGCAGCCCAGCCTCTTGTCCCCTCCCCTCCCCTCCTTCACCTCCCTGGGTGCTGAAAACAGCCCAGCCTCTTGTCCCCTCCTCTCCCCTCCCTCATCTCCCTGGGTGCTGAAAGCAGCCCAGCCTCTAGTCCCTCCCTCCCCTCCCTCACCTCCCTGGGTGCTGAAAGCAGCCCAGCCTCTTGTCCCCTCCCCTTCCCTCCCTCACCTCCCTGGGTGCTGAAAGCAGCCCAGTCTCTTGTCCCCTCCCCTCCCTCACCTCCCTGGGTGCTGAAAGCAGCCCAGCCTCTAGTTCCTTCCCTCCTCTTCCTCACCTCCCTGGGTGCTGAAAGCAGCCCAGCCTCTAGTTCCTTCCCTCCTCTTCCTCACCTCCCTGGGTGCTGAAAGCAGCCCAGCCTCTAGTTCCTTCCCTCCTCTTCCTCACCTCCCTGGGTGCTGAAAGCAGCCCAGCCTCTAGTTCCTTCCCTCCTCTTCCTCACATCCCTGGGTGCTGAAAGCAGCCCAGCCTCTAGTTCCTTCCCTCCTCTTCCTCACCTCCCTGGGTGCTGAAAGCAGCCCAGTCCCTTGTCTCCTCCCCTCCCTCACTGCCCTGGGTGCTGAAAGCAGCCCAGCCTCCGGTCACCTTCCCTCGCCTCCCTCATGTCCCTGGGTGGAGAGGTCGGCATTGCCTCCCAGGTGGATGCAAAGTACCAGTCTCATCAAATCTAAGATACCAGTGATTTTTAAAGGAACCATTATTTTACCATGAAGGGGGAAAATGCTGCTGATTAAACTAGGATATGCCACCAATTGTTAGACAGATTTCAATTTCAGGGATATTAAAGTGTGAAACAAATGTGTTCCTTAGGACAGATGAAATATAGTCTAGGTGGAACAGCCCCTTCGTCTCAAAGCCAGCACTCTCTAGCTCACACTTTCCCTGGAGAAGAAATTAAAAGTGTGCTTCGAATCCAAAGGCTTTCAGCTCCTACTCCTGCCAGCACCGTGTGTGTGAGAGTAAATGGGTGGTGGGGACATCAACAGAGGACTGAGGTAAGAGGGGATCCTGTCATTCTGCCACCCACAGAGCCTGCTGAATGATAGTCACAAGCCCGCACCGCTGTCTTGTCAGCCCAGAGCAAATCAGACTCAGCCCCTATCCCGCTGCTCTGATTCACGAAGGACTTCAGTCAGAGGGGGTGTCCTCACCGCTTCGCCCATGACTTAGCACCCCTGTGTTCAGAGGTGACTTAGGGCATCAGGAGAGGCGAGAGAGAGGGTGCTGGCGGGAGCCTCACCCTCTGGCTTCCTGCGAGGGAATCTGAAGCCTGCAATGTGGAGCCGTCCACACCAGCATAAGGCGATGGGATGGAGTGGGACGGACAGACGGGGAGCAGGGTGCAGAAAGACTCAAGAGAGGAGACTTCAACTGCAGCAGGAGGGACGTGAGTGAGGCCTACAGCAGGAGGGGGTCGGGCGCCTCATCCTTTGGAGACTATAGTGGCCACCTAGGTGCTGCCCACGTACCTCCCTTCAGGACCCCAGTGCCCACTCTCCAGCCACGGGGGGACGTGAATGGCTGACTGCGCCAAGCTGAGCTCCTCTTCCTCGTGGTTATCCTTGGTCTCTTCCTTTGAGGTTGCAGCATTTTCGGGGGACAGCCAGCATCCAGCGGCTGGTAAATGCACCAGTGTGAAGGCAGATCCCCTTGCCCCATGTGGGACAGGCTGCAGGGCCTCCTCCCCTCCTCTGTCCTCCCCGGGGTGGCTGAGGCCTTTGCTGTGACCACAGGGCAGCCCAGCCCCTCTGTCTGTCCAGTCCTGCCTGCGTCACTCTCCACAGGTGTTCTTCTCAGCAAACTTCCTGCACATAATCTTCCTCTGAATTGTCTTCGAAAGAACCTGACCGGTCAGAGACCTTGAGGGGAAAGGAGGGAGGCAGCAAGTGGCTGCCAAGGGAAGGAGCGTCCTGCTCCAAGGCTGGGCAGTGGCCCAGACAAGCCCTGGAGACCTCTCCCTAGCCTGTGGGTAGCTCTAGGAAGCTCCCCCAGGAGTGTCCTCCTGGCCAGGCCCAGCTCCCTGCCCACCCATAGAGCTGGGGAGAAGGCAGCAGGTACACCAGGGGGCAGGACCATGGCAGGGGCAGGGATGCCGATAGAGCCCAGGCAGGTGGGCTCAGGAACTTTTAACAGGCAATACAGCTGCTGGGGGCCCCAAGCATGGCGGGGGGCAGTGCAGGCCCCCATACCTATGTGCAGAGCAGAGCAGAGCAGACAGAGCATATTTGAACTTCATACAAAGCCTGGGCCTGGCCAGCGTGTAGGTCTGTCTATGACTGCATGTATAGGTGTATGTGCATAAATGCATGTGTGTGTGTGCATGTGTGTGCATGCATGATGGTAAGAGAAGGCCCATGTGTCCTTATGCCTCGTATGTCAGCTTGTGTTTTTGAGTGCACGGTGTTTTTTTTTTGTTTTTTTTTTTTTAAATTTTTTTTTTTTATTGATCATTCTTGGGTGTTTCTCGCAGAGGGGGTTTGGCAGGGTCATAGGACAATAGTGGAGGGAAGGTCAGCAGATAAACAAGTGAACAAAGGTCTCTGGTTTTCCTAGGCAGAGGACCCTGTGGCCTTCCGCAGTGTTTGTGTCCCTGGGTCCTTGAGATTAGGGAGTGGTGATGACTCTTAACGAGCATGCTGCCTTCAAGCATCTGTTTAACAAAGCACATCTTGCACCGCCCTTAATCCATTTAACCCTGAGTGGACACAGCACATGTTTCAGAGAGCACAGGGTTGGGGGTAAGGTCCCAGATCAACAGGATCCCAAGGCAGAAGAATTTTTCCTAGTACAGAACAAAATGAAGAGTCTCCCAGGTCTACCTCTTTCTACACAGACACGGCAACCATCCGATTTCTCAATCTTTTCCCCACCTTTCCCCCCTTTCTATTCCACAAAACCGCCATTGTCATCATGGTCCGTTCTCAATGAGCTGTTGGGCACACCTCCCAGACGGGGTGGTGGCCGGGCAGAGGGGCTCCTCACTTCCCAGTTGGGGCGGCCGAGCAGAGGCGCCCCTCACCTCCCGGACGGGGCGGCTGGCCGGGTCGGGGCTGACCCCCCCACCTCCCTTCCGGACAGGGCAGCTGGCCGGGCAGAGGGGCTCCTCACTTCCCAGTAGGGACGGCCGGGCAGAGGCGCCCCTCACCTCCTGGACGGGGCGGCTGGCCGGGCGGGGGGCTGACCCCCACCTCCCTCCCGGACGGGGTGGCTGCCGGGCGGAGACGCTCCTCACTTCCCAGACGGGGTGGCTGCCGGGCGGAGGGGCTCCTCACTTCTCAGATGGGGCGGTTGCCAGGCAGAGGGTCTCCTCACTTCTCAGACGGAGCGGCCGGGTAGAGACGCTCCTCACCTCCCAGACGGGGTCGCGGCCGGGCAGAGGCGCTCCTCACATCCCAGACGGGGCGGCGGGGCAGAGGCGCTCCCCACATCTCAGACGATGGGCGGCCGGGCTCCTCACTTCCTAGATGTGATGGCGGCCGGGAAGAGGCGCTCCTCACTTCCTAGATGGGATGGCGGCTGGGCAGAGACGCTCCTCACTTTCCAGACTGGGCAGCCAGGCAGAGGGGCTCCTCACATCCCAGATGGGCGGCCGGGCAGAGACGCTCCTCACTTCCCAGACGGGGTGGCGGCCGGGCAGAGGCTGCAATCTCGGCACTTTGGGAGGCCAAGGCAGGCGGCTGGGAGGTGGAGGTTGCAGCGAGCCGAGATCACGCCACTGCACTCCAGCCTGGGCACCATTGAGCACTGAGTGAACGAGACTCCGTCTGCAATCCCAGCACCTCGGGAGGCCGAGGCTGGCGGATTACTCGCGGTCAGGAGCTGGAGACCAGCCCGGCCAACACAGCGAAACCCCGTCTCCATCAAAAAAAATACGAAAACCAGTCAGGCGTGGCGGTGCGTGCCCGCAATCGCAGGCACTCTGCAGGCCGAGGCAGGAGAATCAGGCAGGGAGGTTGTAGTGAGCCGAGATGGCAGCAGTACAGTCCAGCTTCGGCTCGGCATCAGAGGGAGACCGTGGAAAGAGAGGGAGAGGGAGACAGTGGGGAGAGGGAGACGAGAGGGAGAGGGAGAGGGAGAGGGAGAGCGAGTGCATGGTTTTGTATGTACACATAGGCATAAGTGTGTGCACACAGGCCAGTATGTTTGTGTGTGCCTGCGTGTGGGTACAGGCAACTTACAGAGGGAATGCACCCTGTGTCTCTTCTCCCTCACCCACTGCATCTTCTCTCTCTTGCCACAAATCCTCGGCCTAAGCTGTCTTGAGATTGCCTCTTTCTCCACCTCCTCCAGGAAGCCTTCCTTGGTGAAGCCAACATACATTCCAAGCCACCCTTTCTTGTTGTCACCAAAACAATTTCCTTGGCCATCTGTATTTGCCCGTGTCTCCATCTCACTGGGAGTTTCCTGAGGGCAGGGTTGTGTCTCCATCATCACACTGGGAAGTCCCCGAGCATGGGAACGGCCTCTCCCATCAGGCCAGGATCTCCTGGGGACTGGGACTCTGATTCTGTCTTCCAGACTGAGCCCCACTACTAATGCCCTGAGAGGCGGTGGAGAACTGAGGACCTCACTCCCAGCCCTGCACTCAGCCCTTTTCCTGGACGCTGAGCTGTGGGCTGGCTGTCAGGGGGCCTGGGTTCCAATCCTGGCTCTGAATGTGACTTGGGAAAGCTTTTGCTTTCTGGGCTCCAGGTGACTCATCTGTAATGGAGGGGACTAAGCAGACGGCCTCGGGGCACCTCACTGCCCTGTGTTTGCCTACAGAGCTCTAGCGAAGTTCAGTCTCCAGGGTCCTCTGTGGCCCCTTGCCGTTCCCCATGACTGTTGCCCACCTGCCCATCCCCATTTTAAGCTTGTGGGTGGACCTGGCTGCCAGCGGTACCCTCCCCCTTAGCCATGTGGGGGGAATGAGGAGGTCAGTGGGCCACATGTCCTGGGTTATTACATTAAATAAGCTGACAAAAGCCATCAGAAGATATATCGTTTAATAGGAGATTAAAAACCAACAAGAGCGGCTGGGGTTCTGACCTGAAGTCTCTGTGTTTTTAATTTAATTTCATTTGCTGCTCCAATCACAACATTCTAAAATGATAAAAGTAGCTGTGTTTGCTCAAGGGTTTTATCATTAATTGATTTGGCTGAAGTTTTCCCATAAGCCACATCTTTTGGAACACGCTTCTTATTTTAGGCCTCTGACTCAGTGGGAAGGCGCCGTTCGAGGCCCGCGGGGGTAGGAGCGAGCGGCGAGGGATGCCCTTGGCCAGCGCCTCCCCACAGGTGAGCAGGCCCAGGCGCTGTGCGGAAGCCCTGCTGGGAATTGGTCAGTGTTGCTGCTTCAGCATCAGGAACAGCCTTCTCTGCAGCCCTGGATTTAAAGGGTCAGAGCCAGGGTCTTCCCCAACCCTGGGCACATCAGAGCCTGGCGGGCGCCCTGCAGAAGGCTGGCAACCCTTGATGGTAGGGGCAGGTCTCTGGCCAGGCCTCAGCCCCCGAGTCTGTGCAAGTCAGTGGAGCTCAGAGCCGCGGCGTGTCTGGACACGTGTGGTAGGTCTGGTTGCCTACAGGCCCTCTCCATTTTCACTCCCTTCCTCTCTTGCTTGGTATTTGTTTCTTGGTCGCAGGCTGTTTGTCTCTATGAAGCAGGAATACTGGCCTCATGTCCTCATATTTTCATGATCAACCAGGAAAGAATTGCTCTCCTCCAGCTCCAGTTAAAAAGCCCAGAGAGGGGCTCTGATTGGTCTGACTGGGTCACATGCCTAACCCTGGACCAATCCCTGTGGCCTGTGGGGCAGGATCAGGTGAGAGTTGGGCTCCAATTTGGACCACATGGCCAGAGCAGGTGGGAAGCTGAGGGGGTGTTTTCCAGACAGGGGACGCTGACAGGGCCACCGCAAACGAAGTGTCCTATTACTATAAAAAAGAAATAAAAAGTGTTAAGACACTGTTGACATTTGAGTGTAATTCATGTGAATATGTTTTCCATTCAAAAGACAAATACCTCAGTAGAGTGGTCAAAAGCATTGAACAGAAGAGGAAACTGAGAGGGATATGAATGTATGGAAAGCGTATAGAGAGCCCTGTAAAAAGGGAAATGTACATCAAACCACATGGCGAGATACAATTTCCTACCCGTTGGATTGTCAAAAATAAAAACGTCTCCCCACTGAGGATATGGAAAATGGAAACTACTCACTCTTTTTTTTTTGCGGGGGGGGGGGCGGGGGGGGCGGGGGGGATGGAGTCTCACTCTGTCGCCCAGGCTGGAGTGCAGTGGTGCGATCTCAGGTTAGTAGCCTCCACCTCCCAGGTTCAAGCAATTCTCCTGCCTCAGCCTCCCGAGTAGCTAGGACTACAGGCACGCGCCACCATGCCCGGCTAATTTTTGTAATTTTTGTATTTTTAGTAGAGACGGGTTTCACCACGTTAGCCAGGATGGTCTTGATCTCCTGACCTTGTGATCTGCCCTCCTCGGCCTCCCAAAGTGCTGGGATTACAGGCGTGAGCCACTGTGCCCTGCCAACTATTCACTCTTAATACCACTCCTTAGGAGGACAATTCAGCTGCACATTGTAGGGAAGAAGACACACACACCCTGCGCCCGCTACTGCGCTTGGGGTGTAAACCCCTGGGGACAATCTCATGTGTGTACACAAGGAACCATAAGAGCTGCAGCATTTTAGAGTAAGAAGTATTGCCAATGAGCTCAGCGTTTATTAACCAGAGAAGGGGTAACTAAAGTGTGGGACACTCAGAAAAGGAATTCTTGACAGCAGCTAAAACTAACGAACATGTTATCAAGATGGACTGAAAGCAAAATGTATGGTTGGTGGAGAAAAGATAAGTTGCAGAAAGCCTCATCCTACAGATTAAAGTGTAGAGATGTGTAAATATAATGCATTACTTATGGATACATACATAAGCAGTATTTAAAATCATACATGGGGATGATACCAACTTAGATAAGGTAGCTACCTTTGGAGAGGGAAGGAGGCTATGTAAGAAATTGAGGGATGGTACACAAAGGATTTCAACTGTATGTGTAATGCTTTGTTGCCTTAAAAATTATCTCAAGCAATCACGCCACTGCACTCCAGCCTGGGCGACAGAGCAAGACTCTGTCTCAAAAAAAAAAATTATCTCAAGCAAAATTTTTTAAAATGGAGATTATTCTTTTTATATATAAATATACAAATGTATGTTTATGTGTGTGCATGTATTTTTTATTGCTGTCCTGCCTTTCACTTATTACTTTATAATAAGCATGAAAATGTAGTTTTAATAGTTATATAATATCCCCCCATAATTTATGAATGCATGTCCTGTGGTTGCATATATAGGTTGTTTCTATTTTTTCACACTGCTGTGACTGTCCTTATAAAGATTATTTTCTTAGGGCAGAAAGCTGGGATCACTGGGTCAAAGATTTGAGCTATTTTTAAGGCTCATAATAATTACTGGGTGAGAGTGTTAGTCAGAACACTTTGGGCTGCAAGTGACAGAAAACCAGTTCAAACTGGCTTAAGTAAAACGGGAAACATGTTGGCTTGTGTTGCTGAAAAGGCTAGGGAGGGAAGGCTGCCTGCAGGGTGACCCAATGTCCTCAGGGCTCTACCCAGACCCCTGTGCCCCTCTCTATCCCTCAGCTCTGCTTTCTTCTGGATCTGCTTCAGGCTTCCCACATCCTCTCCACATGGCACAAAATGGCTCCAGCAGCTCCAGCACTCACCATCTGTATCCATTTCTGGGGATGCTATAACAAATTACAAGAAACTTGGTGGCTTCAAACAATAGAAATTTATTCTCTCACAGTTTTGGAGGCCACAGGTCTGAAATCAAGTTGTCTGCAGGGCCACGTGCCTTCTGGGGACTCTAGGGAAGAGGCCGTGCCTTGCCTCTGTCAGCATCTGGTGCTGTCAGCATGTCCTGGCTTGTGGCCACATCTCTGTCTGCTCAGTTTTCACATTGCCTTCTCCTTTGTGTCTAACTTCTCTGTGTGTGTGTAAAGGATACTTGTGATGGCATTCGAGACCTACCCAAATTATCCAGAATAAGCTTCTCCTTCCAAGATTCTTAACTTAATTATATCTTTTGCCATATAAGGCAACATTTGCTTTTTTGGCATGTAAGGTAATATTTGCAGGTTCCAAGTATTAGGAAGTGCATATATCATTGGGAGAGAGGCATTTTCTTCAGTCTACCACACCGTCCTTTACAGCTCAAATCCCAGAGGACCAGTTCAGGCAAAAGTCTCAGGAGAGGGCTCTAATTAGCCAGCTTCCATCATGTGCCCACTATTCGAGAATTGATGCATAATATAGTTTGGCAAGAATGTGGGTGTGTGTGGGAGATAGCCTGGAACGGTTTGCCAGGGGTGAGCCTCAGAAAGCCTCCGAGACAAGGCTGAGGCACTGGGGCTCCATTTAGCAGGTCACGGGGGAATGGGAGGTGTCCAGGGGTGTTCAGCAGGGGAACCCTCCAGGGACAGGAGAGAGGGGAGCTGCAGGGAGGCCTGGGGGAGGTGGCTGGTGTGGTGATGAAGGTAGAGGAGTGGGTTGAAAGGTAGGAATGACAAGCAAGGGCCACATCTGAGAGGAGTCTCAGGGGATGGAGCAGCAGATCTCATAGACTGGGGAGGGGGCTGTGACACAGACAGGGAAGGCGGCAGGAGGCAGTAGTTTGCGGGCAGAGGGAGGAGGGGTCATTCCCTTGGAGACATCCTGAGTTGAGGCGATGGAGATGAGTCCTTCATTAGCTTTTGAGGCTCTGTGAGGCTCTGTGAGGCTCTGGCCAAGTCGACCCTGAAGTCAGACTGGGCTAAGATCTTCTCCAAGGCAGAGGAGCAGAGAGAGCCTGTCTTGTCTTCCTGACACATTGTGGAATGCAGCCTCCCTTTCCCGGGTCTCCCTGCGGATTGCATGCCAGGGCAGGCGGGTGTTTGGCCTGGAGTGTGTGCTCCCTCCCACCTCCCCGCCTCCCCACGCCTGCCGGAGTGGTAGTTCCTTCATCTTCCAGGAGCGGGGAGTAGCAGCAGATGAACTCTTTAACAAGCAAAAGGGAGAGAGCAGTTCCACAGGCAAGGGTTTCTGCTGAGGGAGCTGCAGCCACAAGGCCGAGCAGCTCCTGGGGTTGGCATCTCTCAACCCCTCAGTCCTGCCCTGGGCTAGCAGCCTGCAGGCAGGGCCCCCTGTCAGGGGGAACTGAGCCTCAGTGCACCTCACCCCAGCGAAAGTTCCCCCAGGGAACCTGCAGCCACAGTGTTTGTGTCACAACTGTATTTTGAAGAGAGGGACATTCTAGGTACTCCGGTTTTATTAATACAAGATGCTGGGATCCCCAGAAATTAGCTCAAGGAGAGACAAAGACTTCAGCCTCCCCTGAGAGCTGATCAGAGATGGCTGTGCTGACCCAGGGTAGGTAGAGACTGGGAGTGGGTGAGGTCCACCCCACCACTGACTTCCCCACTGGATGGAAGCCTCCGTGGCTGCTGGCTGCTCCTGTTATAAGAGGCCCTGTGAGAATGTAGGGAGAGCTGGGCTTCATCTCACAGCCCCTAAGATCCACCCCCACTCCTCTTCCCCAGACAGGCACATGCACGTGCATACGTGCGCACACACGCAGAGTCATGCACCTCGCTCTTCAGTCCTCGCTCCCCTTCCACTGCCCCTCCTGTGTTTACACAGCTTCCCCCCAGGCGAGGCCTTAACTGAGAGCAGTCAGCCCACACTGGCTGCAAAAGATGGGCCACGTCGGCCTGTGGGGTCTCTTGGGAATCTGGAATTGGGCTCTGAGATATGTGCTTGGACTCAGCATCCATTCCTTGCCTTCTGCTGCTGCAGAGGCTACAAAGCTAACAACAGTGTGGCTCCCGTGCACCTAGGGTTTTTGTTAATGAGCTAGGTTCTGCTGAATGCAGACACCCACATGAGGCCTGCAGGGCAGAAGTGAGGCAGAGCCAGCTTCCTCATCCGTTAGCTATTCGCCGGTGGCAGGTAGGCTCATGGACACACGAATTTTCCTTCATGGCATTCCAATGTCCAGGCACCAGCTTTATGGGGCCCAGACGTCATATGGTGGTGACAGCAGCTTCAGACGATGGATGGCAGCTAGAGTGGTGTGTTCGGTGGTGGCTCTGATTCCTCCCCTTCCTGATGGGGCCAGTTCAGCTGTTCCATACTCATTCCTGGGTGCAAGCCTAATGCCAACTGCTACAGCACCTCCAATGACTTTTTAAGCACCTAATTCCCCATGTTAATTGCCTCTCTGCTTCAAATCCCCACATGCCTTCTGTTTCCTGCACTTAAACCCTGATTGAAACAGATACAAACGCACTTTGTACAAACAGTCGGACTTTTAGCACTAATCTAACAGGTCATGAGAGGCCCAGGCCAGGGCAACCAGGAAGGGCTCCACAAAAATGAAATCGGGAGCACAGAGGTCTGCAGAGAGGGCCCCCCTACACACACACACCCCTCCCATGCAGAGGGGAGCTTTCTCCCTTCCTGATGCTTCCGCATTTGGGGTCCTGGGCCACAGGTAACCTTGTGTGACATGATAACATATAGGAATGTTAATTCATATTCCACGGCTCCTCTCCATCCCCAACCTTGGCCGCTTCCGTTCAGTAGTCAGCAGGACAGCTCAGCTGTAGTCTCAAGGAAGAGATGACTCAGCATAAAGAGAGAGACAGCAGTCTGTGCTTGGGTTCTGAGTTTCCAAACCCAGGCCTCAAGGGGAAACGGAAATGACTCATGTGGATAAACAGTTTGGTAGCTTGGGGGCATGTGGGATGACAGAGAGCAAGTGTGGCATCTTCCTCCCCTCTTCCACGCACACACAGAGGTTTCTGGATCCAGAGTTAAGGGAGAGGCAGGGGAAAGTAAGCAGGGTCTGGATAGTTTGGCCTCTCAGAAAGATGAGTCCTGAGGTTACCTGGGACCTTTCAGCTTGGCTCACTCTGCTACCTCATTGGGTTGCTCAAGGTCCCAATTCCAAATTCCTTGCATCTAATTGGCATAGCTCATCTTTTTCAGGCAGGTCCCAAGTCAGAGGTCAGGGCCAGGCTATGAGGAGATAGTCTGGCTCACGTGACCGCCTCTGGCCTAATCAGCTGTGGCCAGGAGCTGCGTCACATGGACTGAGGAATGGGGTGTCTGAGGCTGGGCAGGGCAAAGGCAGGGAGAGGGTTCTCCTAGAACGGGAACAGCTCCTGGCACGGAGAGACAGTACCTCAAGGCAGGGCCTGCAGGTTATAGGTGTTTTGGTGACTCCTTCACCTCATCAGTCTGTAATGGAGCCACTAAGGTGTCAGCTCCAGGAACTAGGAGTTGCGCCAGATGGAATATTTATTTGCTTTTGAATTCTTCCGTGTTGCAAGAAACTACTGCTTTGTTAAGAATTCCAGGTATTCCAGCTGTAAATTTCATGCTCCAGTCTCTGTTAATGCAGTGCAAGTTTGGGCCTGTCACCTGATTGTACTGTGCCTCAGTTTCCCAACTTATAAATAATACACCTCTTGGGAGGCTTCTGTGAAATTCATCAGCATAAAAATGCTATGGAAAAGCCTAAAGGAGACCCTACAAATGCAAGGAATGGTCAGTCCTCCTCCTCCCTGTCTCTCTTCCAGTTAGGTCCCCAGTCCCAGGCCCCCACTCCCATGCTACCCATGGCCCCCTCAGACCCTAGGTGGAGAGAGGAGGAGACCCCTTCACCCCTGGGGCAGGCACAGTGAGGGGCCCAGGCTGGGCAGGGCAGTGAGGTTCTGATGAGCCTTTCCTGTGATGGATGGCCCGCCAGCTGGAGCTGCAGTTCCAATTTGCTCCACATTTGGACAGCGCTTTACCCACAATTCAGCTTCTCAGGCCCACAAATCACTCTGCACAATCAGACCAAGGAGGCAGTGGGGAAGACAGGAGAAAGAGGTCCAGCAGCTCCTGGAGGACCCCGGGCTGGGGAGAGGGGCTGTGGGGTTGGAGTGCACACTATGTGAGGTCTGGATCCATCCTGGGCCCCCTTTCCTTCCAAGCCCATCTCCTGCAAGCTCTAGCCACCCCACGGTTCCAGATGGCATGCTTCATTGGGTCCTAGCCTTGTGCCCTCTTCCCAGCCCCCACTTCCCCCTGGAAACAAGAACAAGGATCCCTGCACTTATTGTCCCACTGCCCCAGACCATCTTCTGTCCAGCCCAGTGCAGCTCCAGCTATGTTGCAGAATCTCCAGGGCCTCCCACTGCCTCCCACCCCTCCATGGGACAGACCCACGCCACTTCCAGACCATAGAAGTTAGGACTAGTCAAACAGTCATTCACTCATCCTTTCACTTATTCCTTCCAAAAACATTGATTGAACATTCACTATGTCACAATGGTGAGCAAAACCTTGGAGCCCGTAGTCCAGTGACATTAACGAAACAATTAGAGAATTGTACAACTTCAAACCAAGACAGTGGCTGAGGAGAAAAAGATCCTGGGAGCAATGAGGGCATGGAAGTGAGGGGTCTACCAGGGTCTATGGTCTCTCTTAACTCCCTTCCTTTCAAGCTTTGTTTAGGCTCACCTCCTCCAGGAAGCCTTCCCTGATTGCTGCATCCATCTATTATTAATGGGTACTTCATGGTGGGTCTCTGGATTCAAGACCCTTCCGGTGTCTTGCCTTTCTGTTAAGTCCCCCATAGGTGAAGACACTCTGAATACACAGGGTCGGCCTACCCAAGTGTGGCCTAGGTACCACCAGTGCCTCCTCAGGACTCAGCTCAGAGGCTTTCTCCACCAGGAAGCCTTCCCTGGCATGTGACCTGGTCCTGGAGACCCTCTTCTGGCCTCCACAAGTCCCTGGACCCAGAGGGCATTGGCACTGCCCCCCTCACCTCCACCAAATGCCTCAGGGGCACCAGCTTTACTCTAGGGGATGCAAAGAGCTCTCCTGCAGTCCTGTGCCTGCCCCCTTCTTCCCCCATCTCTGCCCTCTGCTAATGATGATGTAGAGGCACAGAAAACAGGCTTTGATCTACAGTAGCTGCCTCCCTTCATGAAGGATTTCCCTGCCTCAGACATCCCTTTCCCTGGGTTGGTCTTGGTGTTCCGGGGTTCATCTCACCAAAGGCCCAGTGCTGCTGTTGCTGCGAGTGAACTGGGGAGGTGGCTCTCCCATCATCTCCACCCAGCCAGGCCCTCAGAGGTCATGCCAGTGAGGGAGTCAGGCCCCCTCAAACACAGGGGCTGGGCCCAGAGCTCATAAGGCTGGGGGAGCTGGGGGTGGAGAGAGGCGGGCTCAGTGGTGGCAGGGGCAGGCCTGAGGTGGCTCTGAGTGCCTGCCCATCAGCACACCTCTCTGCAGAATGGGTGGAGAGAGGCACCTGCACTTTCCCCCCTTGGAGTTACCAGAAGGTGGAGGAGAGAAGCAGAGAGGGAAGTGTGAGTGCTAGCAAGTTTCCCTGAACCTGGGGGGCTGGGAGGCAGATGCAGCCCATCACCCACCCTGGCGTGGCCAGAACATCCTCCTGATGAAGCTTCATAGTCAGAGTGAGCCCACTTTCAACTGCTCCAATGTGTTCGTAGACAAGAGCCACGTTGGGGACAACTGTTGTCTGTGGAGAGGAACTCACTCTAGGATCCTCAGCGATGCATTTTTTCCTGGTGAATTTCAACGAGGACTCCTTTGCCTGGCATTGATTTATGCTCCCAACCTTTCAGGCACTCATGGCTTGCATAAAGGGAGGGCTGCACACAGCAGAGGTGGGCCTGTTTAGCTGATCTCAGCAGAGCTCCGTCCGCCCACCCGATTGTGGGAGCTGGCAGGAGTGGGGAGGAGGCCGGCTCTCTGTCTGTCCTGGGGCCATGCTCACATGTCTGCTGCCCAGTGTGGGCCGTTCTGATACTCAGAGATCTGGGGGTTTGGGGAGAGGCAACAAGCCCGTGCATCTAGGAGGGCGCAGAGAAAAGCTGCCTCCAGCCCGGAGGCTCCTCTCTGCTCTTGCCTCTTTCAAGGCCCTCCCTTTTGATGACCTGTATTTTCATCTCTCCTCCCTCCCCTTCTGCTTCCCCCAGCCTCCTCCCAAGCCTCCCACGCCGGGCAGTCTCCATTCCCCTCGGCTGTTCCTGCCCATCTCTACCCTGCAAGTGTGAGTGTGCGGCTGCACTAGCTGCTCCCTGACCGGGGGCCTCTGATGGGGTTTGGCCAGTGGGAGGCACCAGCAGGAGATCAGAGGGTAGGGGGACAACGGATGGGGTGGATCCGGGCCTGCTAACACCAAAGGCCCTGGCAGCAACTGCTCAGCTGGCTCCTCCACACCCACTGATACGGTTTGGCTGTGTCCCCACCCAAATCTCATCTTGAATTATAGCTCCCATATCTCCCACATGTTGTGGGAGGGACCTAGTGGGACATAATTGAATCATGGGGCGGTTTCCCCCATACTGTTCTCGTGGTAGGGAATAGGTCTCATGAGAGCTGATGATTTGATAAGGGGAAACCTCTTGTGCTTGGCTGTCATTCTCTCGACTGCTGCTGTGTGAGACGTGCCTTTCACCTCCTGCCATGATTCTAAGGACTCCCCGGCCACGTGGAACTGTGAGTCTATTAAACCTCTTTTTCTTTATAAATTACCCAGTCTCGAGTAAGTCTTTATCAGCAGCGTGAAAACAGACTAATACACCCACCCTCTCCGGGTCCACTCCATCCCTGGCCCTTCAGGCCTAGGGGTGGTCATGACTCTCCATGCTGCTGGCTCCTAGGCACGCTCCATCTTTTTTTTTTTTTCTTTTGAAACAGAGTTTTGCTCTTGTCACCCAGGCTGGTGTGCAGTGGCACAGTCTCGGCTCATTGTAACCTCCGCCTCCCAGGTTCAAGGGATTCTCCTGCCTCAGCCTCCCAATTATCTGGGACTGCAGGTGTGCACCACTACGTCCAGCTAATTTTGTATTTTTAGTAGAGATGGGGTTTTGTCATGTTGGCCAGGCTGGTCTTGAACTCCTGACCTCAGGTGATCTGCCCGCTTTGGCCTCCCAAAGTGCTGGGATTACAGGTGTGAGCCACCACACCCAGCCTGCTCCATCTTTATTGGTTTTCCAAAATCCTGTGCACACCTTTGGCAAATAGTCCCTTCATGAAACCCTCCCGGCACCCCTGTTGAGGGTCTGTCTGTTCCTCACTGTTTCCTTCCTCTCCGGTCCTTTCCTCTTCCTTCAGTTTTCTCTTTTCTACCTTGTCTTTTCTTCCCAGATTCCCTCCTCTTTTTTTGCCCCTTCCTGGCCTCATTCCTACTGGGAAGGGGCAGGCTGGTTAAGGACCAGGCTCCAGGGATGACAGTGGCTTGGTGGAGCCTGGAGTCCCAGGCATGATGAGGCCTGCCGACCACTTGGAAAGTTCTGAAATTCAGTTATAGTTGACTAATCTAGCGGGGCCCAGGCCCAGGGCAGTTGCTTCAGGTTAGAAAAACCCTCAGGAAAGAGATTTAGAAAACAGATCCCTTCCCTCATCATATCTACTGAGGGGTCATGTACCTGGGGGGATGAATATTTCCAGGTATTTGCCCAGGACACCTCCTTCCAGAGAGAACACCTTGGGGCAGGGAGGAGAAATTTGGCTCCTCACAGCATTTTCCATAAAACATTAGTCTCACACAATGCCTCTTACAAAAGGAGGTTCCATAGTCAGATAAGTTAGAGAGACTCTGCATTTGGCAGATCCCCATGTGCCATTCTATCAAAGGCTCTGAAAAGGTCTGCAGTAAACAGTGTCCTGTTTCATATGTGTTTTGCTCAGTGCATCCAAAGCTAGACGATGGAATCAAATTCGTTTTTTAAAATGCAATCATTCCCTGAGCCCAAATCAGCTTCTTTATCTCTAAAAAGGGAATAATTCATTGTTCTGAAGATTCAAGATGCTAACCATATCTTAGATAAGACTTTCTTGGTTGCAAGGACAGGATTCATATTAAACATAAAGGGGAATTTATTGAAAAGCTGTTGGGCATCTTTGGGGGCCCCCAGGGCGTGAGTGCATCGTGAGAGCCAAGAACCAGAAGGTGCAGCATATCTTAGTGTCCACACTCCACCCCTTCTCACATCTGCTTCCTCTGTCTTCCTCTGCAGGCTTCCAGGGCTGTGGGGCCAAATGTGCCCTCTCCTGCCCTCATGGCAGCCTCAGTTCCTGAGTTCTCATCATTTCTTCCTTGCTACAATCAGAACTGAGTCTAGCACCCTTCAGGACAAATCCAGATCCCCAGGAGAGACAGCCTGATGAGTTCAGCTTGGAAAGGGTCTGTTCCTGTCCTATCAGCTGTGGCCAGCGTGCCAGGGTCACGTACCAGTGCGACTGCCACAGCACGGCCCATCTGTCCAGGAGTAGTTCTCAGTCAACGGGCTCCAGCTGGGACTCAGGCTGAATAGATGCCCACAAGGATGTCTGCTACCACATGTAAAGTGCCCCAAAGCAGGACAAGTGCTCAGCAAGTGTGGCCCGTATGATTAAGGGAATTCTGTGTCTGTCTGAGAAGAAAGTGGCGATGAGCAATAACAAGGCCTGTCGTCCATCTGGAAGAACTCCAGCCACCCCCCAAACTTTCAGGTGCATAGAACCACCTGGACATAAGACACAAACATTGTTACCCCAAAAAGGAAAAAAATTATTTGGACTATATTAAAATAAAATATTTGTTTATCAAAATACATCATTAAGAGTAAAAAGGCAAGACAGCAAGTTGAAGAAGATATTTGCAATACACATAGCCAGGAAAGGACAAGAACCCAGAATATATAAAGAACTCCTATAAATCAGTAAGAAAAAGACAATCTGATTAAAACATTGGCAAAAGATCTGAAGAGGCACTTCACAAAAGAGGATGCCCAAATGGCCAATAAACATAAGAAAATGTGCTCAACATCATTAGTCATCAGGGAAATGCAAGTTGAAGCATAAAATGGTATCACTCCACACCCACAAGCATGGCTGGGATGAAAAGAGAGATGCGCCCAGTGCTGACGAGGATGTGCATCAACTGGAACTCTCAGACACTGCAGGTGGGTGTCTAAATTGGTACAGCCACTTTGGAAAATTGTTCAGCTGTATTTGTTAAACCTGAACACAAGCAAATCCTATCTGTGATGCCACAATTCTGCTGATCGACATATCTCCATCAGAAATGTATACAAATGTCCACAGAGATACATGTCATCGAATTTTCATGGCAGCCCTCTTTTGATATCCCAAAGCTGGAAACAACCCAATGCCCATCAACAGCAGAATGCATACAAATTGTGGTACAATCATAGGCTGGAATGCTACTCAGCATTGAGAATAAACAAACCACAACTGCATATAATGGTATGAATGAGTCTCACAAATAATGTCAAGTAAAAAAGAGCCAGACACAGGTGTCTGTATAATTCTATACACGTGAAATTCAAATGCAGGCAAAACAGAACTGAGCTGTCAGGAGTCAGGATACTGGCCTTGTTTGGACAGCTTAGTAACCGGAAGGGACATGAGGGGTTTGTGAGGGCCTGTAAATATTCTATTTCTCTACCTGGGTAGACATTAAGCAGATGTGGAGTTTGTGAAAACGCATGGAGCAATTCACCTATTACTTCTACACTTTTCTACATTTATGTACCCACTAATATCATTTTTTGGGGAAAAAAAAAACCCAGGGAGTTTATTCTAAAATGCAGATTCCTATGATCCACTCCCAGAGACTCTGAATCACCAGGTCCTGGGCAGTACCTAGGAATCTGCATTTTAATAAGTTCCCTGGGTGATTCTGGTGCAGGCTGAGTCACAATCATGCTTTAAAAGCCTGGCCCTGGGCCGGGCGCGGTGGCTCATGCCTGTAATCCCAGCACTTTAGGAGGCTGAGGTGGGTGGATCACCTGAGGTCAGGAGTTTGAGACCAGCCCGGCCAACGTGGCAAAACTTCATCTCTACTAAAAATACAAAAAATTAGCTCAGCTACTTGAGAGGCTGAGGTAGAAGAATCATTTGAACCCGGGAGGCGGGGGTTGCAGTGAGCCAAGATTGTGCCACTGCACTCCAGCCTGGGCGACAGAGCGAGACTCCCTTTCAAAAAAAAAAAAAAAAAAAAAAGTCCTAGCCCTGGCCGGTTCTGGGAAGGTTGGAGCTTGACCATTCTTGGCAGCCCACCCAGTTGGCCTTGGCCTGAGGTGCTGGGGGAATGGTTGAGGGTCCTGAGTAGGAGACGGGGAGGCTGAAGGGGCAGGCTGAAAGGGACAGGAGGAGCCAGGCACCCAGGGGAGGCTGGGGGAGCCACTGCTCTCCAGAGTGCTCTCAGTAGAACAGACCGCATGTGTACCCTCAGGCAATGCTTGTCATGTGAAATGACCCTTGGAGGGCCAATCTTTCTCAGGACAGGGTGGGTGACAGAGGGTTCCATTCAATGTCCTAATTAAGTGACTTTCCAGGCCTCAGTTTGCCTGCTTTAGCATGGAGAGGCCCACTCTTGACAGGGTTCTAATTCTGGCTCTGACCCTGAATAGCTGTGTGGCCTTGTGCCAGTCACCTGCCCTCTCTGGGCCTCAGGTTGTCCACTTGTAAAACAAGGAGTGGGACTATATGACCCTGACCTCTCAGTTTACTGGCCACCTCTGCATGGCTCTCCCTTAACCCCGAGCTGAGACTCTCCTCTCATACCTCTTGGAAGGTGCTGCTATTCTTGACAGTACTGGCCATAGAAGCCTATGGTTATGGTCAGATTCATGTCTATTTTCTCCCTCCTACTTCCTGCCCTGGCCAGCCCTGCCTAAGCTGAATGTGGACTCCTGGAGGGCAGAGCTGGGGTCTTACCCATCTCTGTCCCCAGCACCATACACAGTAAATCATCCAGGACAGTAAATAAAGCTTCCTGGAGCCTCCCTGCCCTGAGATGCAGAGATTCTGCTTCCTTCTTTTCTGGGAATAGTACGTGAACACTCCAGTCCCGAGGGACAAGAGGGACTGCTGTGCTTTCCCATCTCCAGCTGGCCTGTGATGTGGCTTCTGGGGGATAAAGGGATCCAAAGAGGTGTCCCCAGCTCTCCCTCCTGTCCAGAGCCCTGGTAGGCAGGCAGATGGATGAGTGGGTGCTCCTGGCTGTTTCTCTGTTGAGTCCATTACAGGGTGAGTTATTAACTCCTGGTTTGGGCAGGGCAACTGGAGCCCTGGGCACCCTTTGGAGCTGACAGGGGCAGGCCTGCTCTAATTGAAGGCTTAATGAATGTTCCCAGTGGAGGCCGCAGCCGGTGCCTTCCCTCTGCCATCTGGCCATTTGTCTTTCCCTGGTGGGATCCCCTCTGCCTACCCAGGGAACCTCGACTGCTACTGCTCCTCCTTCTGGGGCCTGAGCACTGTCTCCATCACCCCAGGGGCCCCTTCTTTGGCCCCGCTGCCGGGTCCTGTGCCCCGGGGTCACTCTTCATTCTTCAGCCTTCAAGGCTACTCCAAGCTTTGGATGTTTCCACACAGGCCTCAGGGCCTTGCCAGATACACCTGCGTGGCCCACCAGAGTGTTCCAGAGGTGGGCAGGTAGACAGGGCTAATTACTCTCAGCTGGTCTTCCAGGTTGCTCCTAGGGACTCAGGGTGTCAATCTTCACACCCCACCACTATTTGCATGAACAAGGCACCTCCTCAGCCCAAGTTCCAGAACTGAGTAGATGGTACTGGGAGGTCAGCTGGCTCTAGAGGTGTTGCCCAAAGGTGACCCTTCCCAGACACGGAGTGGTGTAGATGGTGGAGGGAACTAAAGTCAGGGAGCTCCTACAACGAGCCAGGTGCCAAGCTGGGGCTGTGCATCCATCATCAGATCTCAACACTCAGCAACGTCTTGGGGAGCCACATGGTCCCATCTTATAGGCAGGGAAGCGGGAGTGCAGGGCGGTAACCCGTTTGATCAATACCCTACTGTTGGCAAGCAGGGACTCTGGATTGGCTGCTCTGGAGCCCAGGCAGCCTCCCGATTAAAGGCAGCTGAGCTGGCATTGCCATTCTGGGGCACTTCTCCAGGAATGAGGATTGGAAATGAGTCTGTGATCTTGCAGTTTCCTGCGTTATTTTTTCCTCCACACCTGACTTGCCTGCTCAGCCCCTACAGGGTGGGAAGGAGGCAGTGTGGTGCCATGGGAGAGCCTTGGGTGGACTGTCAGGGGACTTGGTCTCTTGCTCTGCTCTGCCACTGACCTTAGCCTTTCCCCTTGGGCCTCAGTCTTCTAATCTGCAAAATGGAGGTGAACGATCTCTGAGCTGCCCACCTCTCGAGACGCTGTGGGGCTCCTGTGAGGCCATGTGCTGTCAGAGGAGTGCCTGTGGAGGGGCCACCATCCCCCGGCACCTTCCAGGCCTCCTGCTGCCCACCGCCACCTGGAGACTCCAGAGCCACAGGGACCTGAGCTCCACAGCCAACTCTGCTACTTATTCCTGTGTGACCTTAGATATGTCACCTAATCCCTCAGACCCTGCCCTGGGGAGAGGGGGTGGTGGACCCAGACCTCATCCTAGGGAGGGCTTTGCTGATGGTTAGGTGCTGGACACTCCCGCGCCCAGGGCCAGAGCTGGGACGGGTGTGGGCTGGGGAGATTGGTGTCAGGGTTTGGTTTAGGGACTGAAATTCAACCGGAATTGGGGTAGAACCTCCTGGTCAAATTCCTGTCAAATTCAAGACCTGAAGGAAGCTTTCAGCCAGGGTTGGGATATATGTTCTGAGAGCTGCTTGGTTAAGAACTGGGGTCAGGGCCGGGTTGGGGGCTGCATGAGTGGGTGCTGTGTTGAAGGCCAGGACTTGAGCCGTGGCAGTGCAGAAAGGAGGGAAAATGAGAGTAGGGAGTGTGAGCTCCGGTCCCAGCTCTGCCCTGACCCACCCTGGGCCAGACATTTTGCGACTCTCAGCCTTAGCCTCAGACTCAGCCTTCTCATCTGTGAGGTCATCACTCTGCCCTGCAGCTCTCATAGAACCCTGGCTGCCATGCTATCCCGCAGTTCCTCATTAGGCTCACTGCTAATGCTCTCCAAGTTATGGTCTTTAATCATAACAAAGAGAGAATTGATGCCAAATTAGCATAAGCTACAAGCAGCTATTAGCTGGGAAATATGTAAATTCTATATTTGTGTCAGGCATTAGGTTTCTCCTGCTTTCCAGGTAAAATCAGCCCCTTCCAGTTGTGCCCTAGATTACATAGAAGTTTGTCCTCATGGGCGGGATTCTGGCTGCAGACACTTCCTTTACCCCACTCCTTCTGAGCCCTGGGGCTGGGAGAGGGAACCAGAGCTGCCTCCCAGTCTCCTGAGAGGCTGTGGGGAGGACCCCCCCGCCCCCGATCACTGCTACCACCTCTCTGCTCCACCAGCACCTCCCAGGACCTCTGGAGACCCTTCCTGCGGTAGTTTGAGCTATTAAATGGGACCATCGCAGCATCCAGACCCAGGGTGACCGGCACTATGCAGTAACTGTTCTAGCCACTCTATCCCCTCTGCTGGTGCAGCTTCTAGCCAGAGAACCCTGAGGTGAGGGAGGAGAGCTGGGCTGGGTGCCTGTTCCTCCCTTCCAGCACCTGGCATGCTAGTGACATGTGCACTTTGCTAAGAGACCTGCCAAGCTGTGTCACGCAGCCTGTCAGCCTCTCAAAGCCACTCTTGGGGTGTGGGGGGGGAGGTGACCCTGGGCTCCACTGACAGAAGCCATGAAAAAACAGACTTTCTTTCTGGTCCCGAGTCCAAGGTATGGGGCCTACCCCAACTTCTGCTCAGGGCTTTAGACCTGCCCCTTCTCCTGACAGAGACAGATGACAGGCGATGTGAGAATGATCTTCCTCTCTCTTGCCTGGAAGCCCCTGAATTGTTTGCTTCTCCATGGGGGTTCTGATATCATCACTCAGGGTGGCGGCTCTCAGAGCGCACTCCCAGGAGCCCAGCATAGTCACCTGGCTCCAGCTGAGAGGCCTCCCTGGGTCGCTCCGGCCACAAGGTCTTTGTCCTGGAGGCTTGCTCTGCCTGGAAGGCTATTGCCCCAAGTATCAATTCTTAGGTCCACTTTCAGGGGCTCTGGGGCAGAAATGAGCTACCCTAAATCCACAAAGATTCCTTCTGGCCAGTGGTGGTGGTGGCCCCGGGAGCCATGTGAGCCCAGCTGCAGCAATTGATTCAGGGGCATCATCACGTCTCTAAACCAGACGCCAACTGAGTGTCAGCCAACGGAGTGGGCTTCATATACCTGCACCAACCCCGGCATCACTGGCCCGGTCGCCTCAGCCTTCACATCTGTGATGGTGATGGGTCCCTGAGCTCCTTCGGGCCCTGACATTCCAAGTCAAGAGACCAGCTGGGATTAGACCAGCAAAACTTAGGCACAGAATGGGAAGGATCTGATGGGAGGGGTGAAGGGGGTGCTAGAGTGGGAGGTTTGGGGTTTGGGGGTGGTGGTAGGAGGGCAGCCCGAGGCCCATAGGTGGGGAGGTGAGGTCGAGGACACCCTCTGTCTTGCCTCACCATTGTGTTTGGGACTCATGGGACGTCTCTCACCTTTTTCCCAGCAGGCGAGTGGCTTCCAGCCTGAGGAACCTGGGCTGTGCCCTGAGCAGACACTAGGGGACACTGGGCTCCTTGCAAACTTGGCTGAATTTACATTCCAGGAAGGGCAGATGGGGAGGGGCAAGTTCAGGTCCTGCTTTCTGGGGTGGGTGGGCCTGGCTGGCCAGCGTCCTAGTGGGAGGCAAGCAGCCGGCTCCCTGCCCCAGGGCCTCTGCCTGCCGGACCCCTAACCACGCCCATGTGGGAGTGGACTCGGCTCATCCCAGCTGCCTGGAGGCACCAGCCTTGGGTCATCCCTGGTGGGGATGAAGCACCCTGAGGCTCAGGGGCTCAGATAGGGTGAGGGGAGATATGGGGGCAAGGCTGGGGTGAAAGCAGCCACCTCGCCCAGAGGGCGCCTTGCCCTACAGGTGCTGGAGCATTCGTGTTTAATGCCACTTTCCCGCGCTCCCTGTGCCATGCAGTGACAGGACAGGGGCCTCTGAGAGACCATACTGATTAGACATCCTCTCAAATTTGGGATTTTTTGGCCAGGCGTGGTGCCTCATGCCTATAATCCCAGCACTTTGGGAAGCCAAAGAGGGTGGATCACTTGAGGTCAGGAGTTCAAGACCAGTCTGGCCAACATGGTAAAACCCCGTCTCTACTAAAAACACAAAAATTA
The DNA here is from genome assembly GCF_000001405.40 of Homo sapiens. Taxonomy (NCBI): domain Eukaryota; kingdom Metazoa; phylum Chordata; class Mammalia; order Primates; family Hominidae; genus Homo; species Homo sapiens. The sequence goes on from NC_000006.12 coordinate 33,852,693, forward strand.
GCTGGGCGTGGTGGTGCATGCCTGTAGTCCCAGCTATGTGGGAGGCTGAGGCAGGAGAATTGCTTGAATCTGGGAGGCAGAGTGCAAGTTGCAGTGAGCCGAGATCATGCCACTGCACTCCAGTCTGAGCGAGAGAGCAGGATGTCTCAAACAAAAAAACAGAAAAAACAAAAAACAAACAAAAAAAACCCTGGGGATTTCTCAATTACAAACTGGGGCTCAATAACTGAAAAGGAATTTCTGTTCTGCTCTTGGGGTAAAGCCATGTGGGAGAAAGAATCTGGGTGCCCAGTGCTGGCTTTTCCAGGACATGTCAAGGGTAATGGGGGCAAGAGAAGGATATTGAGGGCCCTGACTCTTGTCCACTGGACCCTGCCTCCAGCCTCATGGGGAGGCCCTCACTGCTGGGGCTAGACCCTTTGCTCTCAAGGAATGGGAGAGAGGGTGGTTCAGGTTCAGGGTGACCCCTCACCCCTGCAGAGAGCCAACAGGTCATGCTGAGCTCCTGCTGGCCCTGACATTCTCCTCAGGGTGCTCCCGAATGGAGATGAGCCCAGGCCATGGCCCAGCCCCTCTGCTTTGGAGCCAGTCATGGCTGGGTACTTGGGGCCCACTACGTCTGCTGCCAACAGCCCTGGCCTGGGGGGCCCACGGAACTCCTAGGGACTCCTCAGGCACCTTGCTCTGCACTGTCTACTGGCCCTAGCCTGGTGTTTGAGCATCCGGTCTGAGCCCCTCTCTGTGTGGAATTATCTCCCTCTAAGATAGGGCCTGACGGTTCAACCGTCTCCCTCTTACCTGGAAAGCACAGCTGCCAAGCTTTTCACACGTAGCTGCTAGCTCAGGGCTCCAAGCACAGGGGACCTGAGTGAGTGGTGGGTGCAGGGAGGTTCTGCGGTCATCCTGCCTGGCTGTAAGCCCTAGCACTGCTCCTTAGAGCTGAGGGTTGGAGGCCTCAATTTCTTCATCTGTGAAATGGAAAGAGTAGGAGAGCCCACCTCCTGGGGTTATTGGACAGACTACAGGAGATAATGCAGGTAAGGCCCTTAGGGCACTGCTGGGTGCACTGCCAAGTGCCCAGTCAAATTTAGTTCTTATGTTTAGCAGATCTGATAGTGGAGAAGAACAGCACAGAATTTGAAGCCAGATGAATCTAGGTTCAATTCTTGGCTCTGACACTTGCTGGCTGTGTGACCTTGACCAGGTCAGTTAACCTCAGTTTGCTCATCTGTAAAATGGGGCTTAAAAAACTACTTACCTCTGGCTGGGCACGGTGGCTCATGCCTGTAATCCCAACAATTTGGGAGCCCGAGGCAGGAGGATCACCTGAGGTCAGGGGTTTGAGACCAGCCTGGCCAACTTGGTGAAACCTCGTCTCTACCAAAAATACAAAAATTAGCCAGGCATGGTGGTGGCACACCTGTAATCCCAGCTATTTGGGAGGATGAGGCAGGAGAATCGCTTGAATCCAGGAGGCGGAGGTTGCAGTGAGCCGATATCGCACCACGGCACTCCAGCCTGGGTGACAGAGCGAGACTCCATCTCCAAAAATAAAATAAAATAAAATAAACCCAAAACCCCCCAAAAAACAAACTACTTACCTCCTTAGGTTCTTGTGGGATTTGAGGGCTCACCTCTGCCACTTGGCTCTGGATTTAGCACATAACTGGTCTTCAACATCAGCTCCTCTTACCCTCCTTCCTTCCCCCGACCCAGAATCTTAACATAGCCTACCTGGTCCCCTCTTGCCACTGTGCCTCAGCTCATCTCACTGTCTGGTCCCTGAGTCCTGCCACACTCGTCCATTCTCGGGCTGCCACAAGTCATGACTGCCCCTGCCTCCTGCAGATGCCCGGAGCCTCACCATTGAGCTTCTTGTATTCATTCATAGCGCCTGCCTCCCTGCGCTGTTTTGAAATCAGATGAGACAACAGGTGGGAAAGCTCTTTGCCAACCGTGGAGGGCTCTCAGCACATGCCAGGAGTTAAGATGCTGCCTGTATTGGATGCACCAGGGGCGGAGAGGATATGCCTGCGGCTCCCTCGGCACAGAGCCCTCTGAAACAATGTCCTTGGCCCTCACCCCCGTCTGAGCTGGTCTGGAGGCTGCTCCCCGCCCGTGCTCTTGCCTCTCCATTCTAAATACCATTTCCCCCATCTAAATGCCATTTCCCCTGTCTGGGCTGGAGCCGCTGCCTGCTGTCTGAGGCGGCTGGAAATTTCTCAAATGTCGGTTTGATTTATGGCTCTAGTTAATTCTCGAGGAGGCCCGTGAGATGCCCTGAGCTCTGGAGCCTCAATGGGATAAATCATTTAACAGGTGGTTAAATATTCTTTAAGGTCTGGGGAGCACAGGCAGGGTTTAGATTTGGGGAGGGGACCAGGCCGGGGGAGAACTGGCACATTTCTAAATGGAAATAGGGAAAACATTGCGTCCACTTCAGGACCTGTGGAAGCAATTTGTCATAAGCCGTGGCTGGAGGCAGCACCTGTGGGCTCCTTCCTGCCCTCAGGCCCGGGAGGCTGGGGCTCCTGAATACTGGGGAGGGGCAGAGGCAGCTGGCTACAGGTGGGATGGGTTGGCCCCTGCCAGCTGTGCACTCCAGCTGTGAGGTCTCCCAGTTGGGAGGTGTCCACAGGACCCAGAAGCTTCCAGGTGGAAGTGAGGGTTCTGACACCACCAAACTCAGGGCCAGCCTCCAAGGTGGATGTCTGACACAGCCCACCAGTCTAGGAGGTAGGCAACGGGGAGGCCTGGAGCAAACGGATGCCACGTGTCCTGCCTGACGGCAGCAAATATGAAATCACACGGGGCAGCCAAATAGAGCAGAGCTGGGCTGTCACTTTGAGACCCCAGAATCATGTATACCTTCTACTGCACATCTGCAGGGAGCTTTATGACTTTAAGCCCCATTCCCATCTTTGATAACATCTAACCTGCGCACAGGAACCAAGGTCAGCAGGGGTGTTACCCTGTTGTCCAAGGTATGAACGGGCTCAGAGACGCTGAAATCCTACCTGAGTTAGCAAAGCTGGGTAGACACCAAATGGAATCCACACGGGGGCCTGAGAGGATACAGCTCACCCACAGGGAGAAAGCCCCAGGGGAATCAGGAAGGGGCCCTAGAGGTCACCAGGCCCAAAATGTCCATTTTCCAGGTGAGGGCAGGGAGGGGAGTGGTGGAGAAGGGAATGAAACCCCAGAAAGGAGGCCCGAGGGTGGGTCCCTGCCTGCCCCCAGCTGAGTCCTCCCCTCCAGATCTCAGTTCCTGTAAAGGAAGGTTGCTAGTACTGTCTGAGGAAGGTGTGAAAGGGAAATGGTAGTCCAGCCGGGAAGGAAGGAAGCAGTAAGAGTTCCCCAAACAACCTCCCCTCCCTCCCTGGCCCCAGACTGCACCCTGAGCTCAGTTCTTCCTGGTCTCCCCAACTCCCTTCTGTCCAGCGCAGCCCTGAGGTGCCAGGTCCAGTGACACAAGGCTCTGTGCTGTGAGGATGCATTCCTCTGGAGTGGGCCAAGGTCCACTGGCTGGGGAGGATCTGAATAGGCCTAGGCTTCAGAGCGCTCCCTGGGCTGAGCTTGGACCTCGGGTCCAGAGAGACCATCTCCAGAGAGGAAGGTTGGCTTCAGGGCTGCCCAGCTGGTGCAGATGGGGTCTGGGCCTCTCCAAGAGTGACTCCCACCTGCAGCTCTCTGACCAGACCAGAAACCCGCAGGAAGAGCTGGCGTGAGCCCAGGGCCCCATGCAGGTACAGAGTGGGCTGCCCTCTTCTGTGTAGCTGCCTCCTGCTTCCCATCAAAAGGCTACAAGGAAGGAGGTTGTTGTTTAGGTGGATAAACTGGACCCATGGCTGACAGCGGCCTCTGAGGTTACAGTGGAACCTCCCCTCAGGTAGTTCTGAGGCTGGGGAGGCAGTGGGAGAAGCTCAGGGGTAGGGGTGGCACTTGCTTTCAGGACACAGCACTTTCCTCTGCTCTGGCAAGCCCTCGGGGGCCCTGGAGCAGCCATGGACAAGTGCCGGGGTGGGGAAAGGGGCTGAGAGATCTCTGGGGCATCCTCCCTACCTGCTGCAGCCCTGAGCATGGGGAGGGCTGGGGACAGGGGTGACAGGCACATGCCACACTGCAGTGCCCACATCCGCCTCTCCACCCCACTGAGGCCTCTCTCTGCGGTTGCCTGCTGTGGTCTGGTTTGAGTTTATCACGCTTGTGGCTAGCTCCTGTGGCAGGGTGAGGTCTCAAGCCCTGTATCCCCTGGGCTCCCCTGATGTTGGGCTGGGTCCTGGTAGATGCCCCACAGGTATTTAACACTCATGTCAGAGCATGCCACCTAGCCCAGATGCATTGCCAAGACCAGAGAGGGCAAGGGAGGGGCCCAGAGTCCCCCAGGCAGCTGGCCCAAGACCCCCTGGGCCCGGCCAGGGCTGGGGTGGGAGAGGAACCAGTCCCTCTGGATGTGCAGTGGGAGGCAGCACCACGTGCTCCCCGTCCCCCCAGTCTGGGCACCTGCATCCTCCGAGCTGCCCCATCACTCTCCCCCTTATGACAAATGGAGGATGAATAATTCACGGGTGGCTCTGGCTTTATGAAGTATTCATCCCTCCCTGGCCTCCAGAGTAATTAACTATCTGGCCAGCACACTGAGTATCTGTAACAGCCCATTAGCAGCGCCTTGCCCTACGTCAAACTGCCTCTCTGGCTGGCCCAGGGTGGATGGGGTCTTGGTTCCACAGCCTGGGTTCTCAGCCTAGAGCCAACTATTGGATTTTGCAACGAGCTGGAGGGTTGCAGATTAGATGCCTTTATGGGCTTCCAGAGGGAACGGTTGAGGTTAAGGAGGGTTTTCCGCCTCTGGGGCTAGCAGGGACTTTAGAGATCTTTCTCCATGTGTGGCTGAAGGGGTCCGGAGTGGGGAGGTTGCTGGCTCCAAACTTCATGCTAGTCAGTGGCAGATGAGGGAGCCCCAGTCCAGTGCTCTAGGCACTAATGAGGCTTCCTGCCCGTTCCCTCGTCTTGCTCCAAGTGCAAGAATGTCTCCAAAGGGGTGCTGAGAGACCGGAGACTACCCCTTTACCTTGCCCCAGGCCGCCCACCCCAAGGTGCCTGGGAAGGGGGTCTGGCCTAGTGGTAGGGAGCAGGGATACAGCAGAAGTGCCTAGTATTTCCCTGACCAGAGGCTGACTCAGCAGGGCATCAGGACTGGCTGCCCTCCCCAGCCCCCTCCACACCTGAATCCACTCACTCAGCACTTCCCACTTCCCTACCGGGTTCTATGGGCACCATCCCTGTCTTCCTGGAGCACTGGTGGGCACTGGGCAGGCTGGCAGCTCAGAGACCCAGAGCTAGGGTGGAGGGGGCACCGGGGCCCGCAGGAGTCAGAGGTCAGGCCCAGGAAGGAAGTGGGCAGCCAACAGCTTCCCTCATTCTGGCTGAGGGCCCACAGCCAGCCTGGAGTTTTTGGCTGATGTTTGGGATCCGTTTCCCCAGCTGGAGCCAAAAGGATGGGGAATGAGGGGGAAGAAGCCTACTCATCTCTCTTTTATTTTTATTTTTTTTTGATACATATTTTTTTGGCAACTCTTGAACCAGAATAGGTTCAGAGACACTCCCTGCCTAGTCATCTTTTAAAGCTCAGCCCACAGTGGTAGCCTGGGGTGGGAGTTGGGGGATAGTGACTGCAAAGGGGCGGGAGAGAACTTTCCGGAGGGAACTTTCTGGGGGAGATGGAATTGCTCTATATCTCGACTGGCATGGTGAGTACCCAGGTATCCACATTTGTTAAAGTTCATCCAACTGTTCACTTAAAATGGGTACATTTTATTATTTATAAATCATACCCCCAGTAAATCAATTTAAACAAGAGCTCTGCCCAAGGTCATCCCCTCCAGGAAGCCATTCCGGGTGCCCAGGCTAGGCTAAGAGCCCTCTGCTCGGCTCCAGCAGGACCCTAGACCACTCCTGCCTCAACATTAACCAGCCTGGATTATTAATATCCGATCGTGGCAGCCTCCTGTGGCCTGTGGCCCCTTCCCCTTGGAATCCCCAAGCCCCAGCGGTGCCGGGCATGCGGGAGGCACACTGGTATTGATGTGCATGGGGAGTGGGCATGGTGTGAGCATGCCTTCTCTTTCTTGGGCTTCGAGGTAAGAATTTGGAGTCAGACAAACCTGGGTTCAAATCCCACTTCTGCCACTCACTGACTGGGTGGCCTTAGGTAAGTGACTTGCTCTTTTTTGAGCCTCAAGGAGAGATGCTAATGAGCTGACCTCCCAGACGGGTGTGAGGCTTAGAGGTATTAATGCAAGCACTCAGCACTGCCCCGGAAGGCACCACTAAAGTGCTACCCTGCTCTCTACGCCAGGCCTCCTTCCAAAGGCCTTTCTTGCATGAACTCATATAGGACTCACTGCCACTTTGTCATTGTTGCTATCCCCATTCGATGTGTGAGGTAATGGAAGCACAGGGTGGCCGAGCCCTTTGCCCAGAGCTGAGCTGGTGGAGGCGGTGGGGTGCACGCTCAGGCAGTCTGGCTCCAGTCAGTCCATGCGGCTGCTCTACTGTGTCCAATGGATGGCAGCTGCTATTTGTGTTATATTATTTCTCCTTCCCCGGTCACCAGAACCAACTCCAGTCTTTAAGTTCACGGTGACAGTTAATGGGAAGCTTGCTCAGGCAAGATCTTCTCACCACAGCGTTTCTGAGTGGAAAACAGGCTGGGCCCCACTGCAGGCAAACGCCCTCATGTTGACAGGAGCCAGGCAGATTAGCTACGTGGACGGTTCAGCTCAATTCCCAAACATTTAGCCAACACCAACGAGGTGCCAGGCAGTATGCTAGCACCAGGGAGCAGAGGAGGGCTGGGAAGATGGAGGACACACCCTGGGCCTGTCCTGGAGGGGCAGAGTATACCCAAGAGGGCCGCCATACCCCAGCCATACTCCAGTTTCTCGTTTAACCCTCACCTGGTCTAGGCTTTGGAGGGGATGTTTGTCATTCTCTTTGACCACTCAGACCCTAAGAAGTTGGAGGAAGCCCCTGCTCACCCCATATGTCCCTGTTTCCCACTGTGGAATCCCAACAGCTGCTTTCCCAGACCCTGCTGTGGCCAGGGCAGAGACACAGAGCCACGTTCCACCAAGGGACCCGAGAGAAGGGCCCCTGAGCAGGCTGCTGGGGCGAGGGTGGCTGCAGGCACAGTGGCGTGGCAGGGGTTTCAGTGTCAAAGCCTCCGTGACGGCGGTGAGATGGGATGCCGGGGCCTGCTCCCATGGCAGAGGGATCTCTGTGATCTGGCCCTGCAGTAATTTCAGACGATATTCCTAATAGTGTAGCTGCTGAAGGGCCTCAGGCCCTCCCAGTGACTCTGTGACTTGCTACGTATCCTAGAATAAATTCCCTTTCTGCTTAAACTACTTGGAGGTGGTTGCAGGGGTGGTAGTTCAGCAGCTGGGCTGGTAGGGCCCTCATCCTACGACCACCTCACATAGGGCTGCTGCACAAGCCACATGGAGGGGCATGGGCCAGGGCCTGCCGAACCTGCAACCCTGCTCCCCACCCTGGAGCCCCCGCAGGACTGACGAGGAGTGCAGACAGCGGAAGGGGTGTGTGGTGGGTATGGTGTGCTGGCTCACTCACTTCCCATTCCTACTCTCCCTAGCTGGGCTTCCCTTTCTGCCCTGGGAGTCTGGAAAGCTAAAACTACACTTCCCAGACTTTCTTGGGGTTCTTGGGTTCCAACCATGTTGAGATTCTGCCAACCTGACACAAGAGACTTTGGTTTGGAGCTGAGCTGTGAGAGGAGGAAGGAAGGGCATGAGGTGTCCATTTTACTACAGCCAGTCATGACATCGGACATCTGAAGGCCGCTTTTATATCCTGCAACTTCCGGAGGCTGCAGAGGCAGCAGCCCGCTTGCCGGCCCCATTCTGGGGTGTGCTGTTGGGAGTTGTTCCTGGAAGCTCAGTTAGTTCGTTTATTCAGATCTTCTAGTGCTTTTGTGAGCCATCCACACCCCTTGATAAATGCCCTTTCCTTAAACAAGAATCATGGGATTCTGTCACCTGTATCTGAGAACCCCTTCCACCCTGCCCAGCAGAGTCCCAACCTTCATCTGTCCTCCCCTTGGCCTGGGGGCCCCTCCTGCTGCCACTGCCCAGTCAGCTTCATCCTCCCCAGCAGAGACTTCCTCACGGCTGTTGCCAGTGCTCAGCTGTTCCCCTAGACACCTTCTGAAGACCAGAGCCATAGAAATGTAAGACTCCTCAAAGGGCATATATGCTGGAGCCCTGCAGCTGTTCCCACCGGGCTCCAGCTAGGAGAGTTCACAAGCAGATGGGCTTTCTACCTGCAGACAGGATGTCGTTCAGGATTTAATTGGATAGAGAAGACTCCTCTGTAGCTAGTTTAAGCAGGAAGGACTTACTACTGGGTATTAGTTTACACAGAATTGTCAGAAGGGCTGATGACACAGACTCTGGGTTGGGCTTCCAGGAGCAATTCTTGAAGCCTTGATGCAGAAGTGGGTTGCCAAGAGAGCTGCTGCCTCTTCTGCAATCGTGAAGCTGCAGAGTCTAGAAGCTTCCTGCAGCTGTTGGCTCCAGAATTACATCCTGCCTGCCACGGTAAGGAAACTGCTGAGTCAGATAACTACCTGCTGAATCGAAAAGTTGCTGCTACCGTTGCTGGTTCCAAAACCATGCTGCTTCTGCCACTGTCTACACCTGAAAAGTGAGTGCCCCACACCCTGTCTCTTTCCTCACATGACTCAGCTCCAAAGTCAAGTCTCATGCAGGTGCATGTATATTGGTGACTCCAAATCACACCTGGAACCCTAGCTGTAAAGGAAGTCTTAGTACTGTTGCAGGTGGAAGACAGGTTGGGTGGGCCAAGCTGTTGCATCTGCCCTCTTGCCTTCCTGCCACTCCTGACAACATCCCCAGGGTATGCAGGACTTGAGGGCGAGCCGGGGCCTGAGAGATCCATGAGCTGGGAGCACCAAGGGACTGATGTTGGGTACGGCATTCAGCTCTGGATGGAGGGGGGAGGAGGGCAGTGGCACCACTATTCAGATTAGGGATGCAGAGTGTTAAAAGCAGGGGCCCCAGGTCAGCTGCTCCACATATAAGCAGACGTGAGTCCATTAGGGACAGAGAAGAGCCCTCATGCTCAGCAGCAGGAGCCCTGCAGAGCCCAGCATGTAGCTGAGCAAGTGTGATGTCCACATAGGGACCAGGAGGTGGTGGTGCCTGTGTGGAAATGAGCCAGCTTCCTGTGGGGTAGGCTCCAGTCTGCTGCCAAGCACAGAGCCCTCTCAAGAGCACTAGAATGGGTACAGGCTGCCAGGAGACCTAAGGGAGTAAGGGGCCACAGAATCTCCGGACTAGCTTCAGGTTCCATTGGCCTCATTCCCTAAGGTCACATGGATGCCAGGTTAGAAGGATCAGGGCAGAGATGGTGCTAGAGTTGGGGGAGGTTGGGGTGGGAGGAGACTGGGCTTGTGGCCACTCCCAGGAGCACATTTTCCACAGCAGCATCTTAAATAAAGAAGCCTGTTGATATTAAGACTGTGAAGGTTCTGACAGGGGTACTGGAAGTGTGAAGAGGATGCAGGAAGGTGGTGGTCCAGGAGAGGAGCCACTCCCTCTCTGCTTGGTGTCTTGGGGTCCTCATCTATGAAGATTGTTATCATGCCTCTCACGGGGACTGTGATAAAGTTGGAGATATGAGTTAATACATGGAACGCTCAGCACAGGCTTAACACAGACTAGGTGTTCAATAAATACTATCATCTTCATTAAACATTAGGCAGGGAAAGAGCAAGCCAGGTGAGAGGGAGTGCTTCTCATGTACACATTCCTCTAATGCTTAGAATTCTCAATTCTCAATGCCTTCTCAATGCTACACCTTCCCACAACCCTTACCAACCAGGCTGGGAGCTCCCTGGTGGGGTAGGACCAAGTCTTGATTCCGGCATTCCTAGCCAGTGTTCTAAGACACATTCTCATTGGACAGATACAGGTCACATGACTACTCCTGCTCCATCTCTGGGCCAGGTGTCCAGGTGCACCAATTGGCTTAGCCCAGGTCATGTGTTCCACCGCAGGGGGTAGTGAGTGTTTCCCCAGATGTCCAGGATCCCCCCAAAGAGAGCAGGGGCTCTTGGGAAGAGGGAAAAGACGGAGGGGAGAAGTTGAGGGGAAGAACCTGTGTTCACCATGGATGCCCGGAGACCACTGTGTAGGATTCCTCCTGTCTAGACCAGTCCTTCAGCCTGGGGGTGGGAGGGCCGTGAAGGGAGGGGCCCAGAATCCTAGGGAAGAGGCCCCTCAGGCAACTTATGTCTTCACATTCACGCCAAACAGTCTCCATAGAACCTGCCCATTTTGCCCTCTCAGCCTGCTGCCCCTGTTGCGTTGCCCCCACCCCTAATGGCTTTAACAAGGATTCTGGGGGGAGGTGGAGGAGGAAGGGCAGGTCTGTAGGCTTGTGGACAGGAAGACCTGAGAAGGGCCTAAGACACTCTGAGGAGGGACCCTTGGTGGATTTCTCTGGTCCTCACGGAGCCTGCTGTGTCATCCTGCACAGCCTCACCCCCACCGAGAGGCGCTTTATTTATGCAATCTCTTTCTTCAGGGCAGCCATCTTGTCCACAAGCCTGAGCACCTCCCAGATAGCTGTTCTCACCAGAACCCCCCACTAATCTCTGAAAGCTGCAGAGTGGAGCGGCTGCTCCCTCTGGGGAGCTCCTTCTCCCGCTCCTTCTATGCTGCCCAGGAGCCACCCAGTCCTTGCAAGGGTTTCATCTGGCTCCGTGGACTTACATCCTCCTGTGGGCTCCTGAGGCCTCTGTCAGCCAAGTACCCTCTCCTACCCCATGCTAGGCCTTCCAGGCCTTCGTGTCATGTGCGGTCCCTTACCAGGAATGCCCTTGCCCTCTCCCTCCCCTCCTCGGAGCACCCACAGCTGCTGGCACCTGCCTCCAGCCCTAACCACACTTAGGACCCTGTGCTGCCGTGGTCGCCTGGCTACTGTCTCCCACTGCAGGAGGCAACTCAAGGCCAGGGCCTGGCTCTAATGGCCCCAAATTAACACAGTGCATGGGACACAGTAGATGCTTCAAATCTGTTGAAAAAAATGAATGCACACATGCAGTATCACCCAGTGATGGCTCACTCTCCACCCCAAAGCCCTCCAGGCGACCCTTGATGGCAACGGGGTTTCTTAACTCTATAGCAGCAGCATGGGATGCTGGCTTTACACTTCCTGCCCATGGAAGTCCCCGGTCAGAGAAAGTCTATTATGAATGATCTTGTTTGTGGGCTGTAATGAGCACAAAACCAGGTGCCTGGATTGTTTTCTTGACTAATCTTTCCTGCAGAGGTTGTGCAGGGAAAATAAATGCACGTGAAGAACATGTAGGCAAATCACAGATTCTGAATCTCTGCTGGTCTGTGTGTGTGTGCGGGTGTGCGTGAATGGGTAGGTGTGAATGTGTGTGGGGGGTAGGTGAGTGTGTGGGTGTGAGTGTGGGTGAATATGTGAGAGAGGATATATGTGTATGAGTGTGTGTGGATGATTGTGTGCAAATGTGTGCTTGAGTGGGTGGGTGTGAATGTGTGATGTGTGTGTATGTGAATGTGTGGGTATATGTGTGGGTGTATGGGTGTGACTGTGTGGGTATGTGAGTGTGGTTGTGATAGAGGCAAGAGGCAGAGAAATCCTAGGCAGACAGGGGTGGGTCCCTGGTGAAACCCCACATTCAAGCCAAAAACAGCCTGAAACCTGAGACCCAGAGTGAGAACTTCTACTCCTGTTTGCCTGCTCTCTCCTGATTGGTTTTTTTTTTTGAATAATGCCTTTTTTTTTTAATAATACCTTTTTACCAATCAAACGTTGTCTTTCAAATACTACCTGCAGCCCGCCCTGCCCCGATCCTGTGCCTGTAAAGACCCCAGACTTAGTTGGTAGAGACTGAGACGGCCTGACTTCAGGGAAGAGACGACTTGACTTCAGAGAGAGACACCCTGACTTCGGGGAAGAGACAGCCTGACTCTGGAACAGAGACAAGCTGACTTCGGGGAAGACAACCTGCCTTTCCCATCCCCTCTCCAGCTCCCCTCTCCGCTGAGAGCTGATTCTGTCACTCAGTAAAATTCTTTGCTCTCATCACCCTTCAACTGTCAGCATGACCTCATTCTTCTGGGATGCTGCACAAGAGCTTGGGACCCACTGATTGCAGGTACTCAGAAAGGCTGTCACACTGGTCCTTTGCCCTCCAGCCACACCATGCAATGGGGCCAGGGGCCAACTGAGTTAGTAACATGCCGCCATCCATCAGGCTGTGGATGGTGGAACTAAAAGAGCTAATTAGCACACTAACACCTGCTCTGGGTCTTTGAGATCATGGGCATCCTTGCCTGGGTGCTGCTGCATTCCCCTTGAGGTGACACGCCTGGTCTGGCCACAGGCCTCACACGGAATTTGCTCCTGTGTTGGTGCTTGGAGTGGCCGGCTGGATCCTGCACTCACTCGCTCCTGCGAGGGGCTGAGTATGGCGGGCCAAGTAGACAGGGCACCTCTTCCGTGAGTCTGGGAAATGGGCTGAGAAAAATCATGCATCAGTTGTGAATGTATGGATGAGTGTGTGTGTGAGAGAGAGAGTGTGTGAGACGGAGTATGTGTGTGAGTGTGTGTGGGGGGGGTGTGAATGTGTGTGTGTGTATATATATGTCGTTTAACCTGGTTCCATCCCTCCACACCACTCCATCCCTGGTCCTTGGGAACATATCTGGAATCAAAATAGAAATTAACAGGGATAATAGGGTTGAACATACCCATTTCTGTCCCCCGAAACCAACCACTGCTACTTCAGAAATTGATATGGAAATGTTAAAATCCAGACAAAACTCTAGAGCAAGAAACAGCCTTCAGACTGTTAGGAAAAATAAACATTACACAGGACCCATATGTCCATGCGCATAACTTAAACAAGGATTCATAGAAATTTACTCCTCCCAGCTTGTCACACACTCATACACTTGGATATATTCTACTTGTTTCTCTCTCTCTCTCTTTTTTTTTTTTGTAATGCTGGTCACAGCCCATGAAATTGATTTCACTACACACCAATGAATGGGTTCTTATCTTGCTGTTCAAGTCATCATCTTTGAGCATCTCCCCTCCCTAGGGCTTTGTAAGAGTGAATATGAGTAGCCAACTGTTCTGTGTGCTTGGTGGAGGAACAAGGGCAGAGGTGAGGTGCAGAGATGAGGATGAGAGAGTGTAGCGAGGGTGTAGCTCCCTGAGTGGAGACGACTAGCTCTTATAAAGGCATCAGCCCATGAAGACTTGATTGGCCATGGGCTGCCCCAAGAAAAGGGGAGACTGGCATTCTGCTGCCAGCCTGAGGGTCACAGCTTTGTAGGCACATTGTAGGGAATTTCCCAAAGCATGGAGGAGGACCTCACTCCCTTCATTCTTCCTCTCTTCCTCACTCCTTGTATTAGTCTGTTCTCACGGTGCTAATAAAGACATATCTGAGACTGAGTAATTTATAAAGAAAAGAGGTTTAATTGACTCACAGTTTTGCATGGCTGGCAAAGCCTCAGGAAACTTACAAACATGGCAGAAAGGGAAGCAAACACGTCCTTCTTCACATGGCGGCAGGAAAGAGAATGAGAGTGAGGGAAGGGGGAAGCCCCTTATAAAACCATCACATCTTGTGAGAACTCACTATCACAAGAACAGCATGGGGGAAACTGCCCCCATGATCCAATTATCTCCACCTGGTCCCGCCCTTGACATGTGGGGATTATTACAATTCAAGATGAGATTTTGAGTGAGTCACAGCCAAATCACTCCCCTCACCTCCTCTTGTCCTTCTCCTTCCCTCAGTTCTTGAGGCCAGCAGCAATTCAGTGGCTCAGTCACTACCAGGATCTGGCCAAAGGGGCTTCCTGTCTAGATCCTGGCCCACCTCCTGGCTCATGGCCCTGGATGAGCCCCATGCTTACCCTGGGGTGCTGGCCCTTGCTTCTGAGAGTCCTCAGATGGGCTGATGGCTATGCTGGGCTAGAGGCCTGTAGGTGAAGAGCCTCAGAGCCCTGCCCATTGGTTACTGGGTCATTAGTAATGGGGGTAGGGAGGGATCTGTAGATGTTGGTATTTGTTTTAATGCTTTCTAGAGCACAGCCCATCCCAAGCATATAATTTTCATTATATGATATCAACATTTAGCTTCAGCAATGGAAATGTCAACATTAATTATTTTCAAGGAGTCTTGATGGCTCTGGGAATAAATCAATATAAATAATGTTTCCATAAACTCTGAATCACGCTCCTAATAGTGTTATAGCTATAATTTTAATATTCAAAACAATTTTTCTTTGCATCTTAGCAATTAATTGCTGCTAAGTGCTCATTTTTTGGGATCCTTATTGCTGTCAGCTCAGAGCCAGAGGCTGGGGTCCCTGGCCCTGAAACCATTCCTAGCTCTCCTTGCCCAAAGAGTCAGGCTTGGTAGAACATCTCTTCCCCCCAAAAACATGCTTTTTGCTCTCAGCCCATTTAGAGTTTACTCACCCTTTGGCCTACTCACTCCAAGATCCCTGTTCTGGCTGCCACACCTGGCAGCGTGGCACTCACCAGCTTCATCCAGGACTCCTCGGGTAGACAGTGGGGCAGGTGGGGCAGTCCAGGGAGTTGGGCTTACCCACTCACCAGCTGTGTGACTCTGGACAACTGACAAGTGGCAGAGCCTAGGGTCATCTACCAGGCAGAGTTCTTATTTGCAGGTTACAGAGAATGACTCAGGTGGATATGAGGAGAAACAGAATTTATTAAAGGATAGCACATAGCAAAGGCAATTGACCAGGAATAGCATCTGAAATTCCACTGAGAAGCTGGTTCCAGAGGATGCCACTGGCACCCCGGAAAGGTCCTGGTCCCTGTGGTTTGCACAGCAGATAGGGCCAGATGTTGGGGAGCTGCTGGTTTCTGTTCTTACAAAGCTGCCTTTGAAAACCAGACATGGTCATGGCCACCTCCATCACCAGAATGGGGGGTTTTCCCTTCCCCAGCATGCTGCTTGAGGCCTGGGTGCTCCACTGACGTGGCCAGGGACACCTATCACAGCCAACCTGCAAAGGAGTATGAAAAAGTGAGTACAGGATGGGCGCGGTGGCTCATGCCTGTAATCCCAGCACTTTGGGAGGCCGAGGTGGGTGGATCACGAGGTCAGGAGTTCAAGACCAGCCTGGCCAAGATGGTGAAATCCCGTAACTACTAAAAAACTACAAAAATTAGCCAGGCGTGGTGACAGGTGCCTGTAATCCCAGCTACTCGGGAGGCTGAGGCAGAAGAATCGCTTGAACCTGGGCGGCAGAGATTGCAGTGAGCCGAGATCGCGCCACTGCACTCCAGCCTGAGTGACAGAGAGAGACTCTGTCTCAAAAAAAAAAAAAAAAAGGAAAAGAAAAGAAAAAAGAAAAAGTGAGTGTCTGGGATTTTGCATTTCTGTAAAAGGAGGCAGGCTTTCTGTTTAATAGAGCGTGGGGAAGCGTCCCCACACATAAGAAGATTTCAGCTGCTTGGAGTCAGAAAGAAGGGCAGACAGTCCCACTGTGGCCACAGGCCTCTCTCTGCCTGGTTGCCAAAGATCCTCCACAGCTGTTGTGTTTAATGTCAACATTCTTCTCAATGAAGAGCTATACAAGTGCAACTCCAAACACCTCTCTGTCCAATCTGACTTCTGCCCTGAGCTTCCACTTAGGATTCGCCTTCCCCCATCCATAATCTACAGGGAGAATGCACTGATGAGGGTTCTGGTCCCCATGACAGTTATATTTCTCAGGGTAAGTAAATAACTGGGGCCGTGCATGGTGGCTCACACATGTAATCCCAGGCTGCAGTTGGGGGATCACTTGAGGCCAGGAGTTCAAAACCAGCCTGGGAAACACAGGAGACCCTATCTCCACAAAAAATACAAGCTGCAGTGAGCTATGATTACACCACTGCACTGCAGCCTGGGTCACAGAGTGAAACTCTGTCTCAAAAAATAAAAATAATAAACAAGACATAGTTGGTATTTTGAGTTTAGAAATTGGTCTCTCATGAGGCTACAGCCATTGGACAATGCCCCTAGGCCCAGGTTCTTCTGAGCTGCCAGCCATTTAGGTTCCCCTTTACCAAGGCTGATTCCTGTGGGGATCCCAGCTGGCACCACCCATGACCATGAGCCATCGGTGCCTTTCCATTCACACAGCCACAGGCTCTTCCTTAGCTACCATGCAGCAGAAGCAGAAATCAGAACGTGTAGACTGTGGATTCACTCACAGAAAGGCTTAAAATCCCGTTAAAGGATTTATTGAAACATCAACCTTCACTTTAAAACAATGAAATTTTATTCAATTGGGACTCTGGGAATGTCCAGAACCCATGGCTCCTCAGTGCTAATGTGCTGAACGCTGGGTGCCTCCCAGTTCTGCACTGTGGGATGGACAAATGAATGAATGAGTGAATAAGTGGATGAAGAGCCTGTCCTCCTAGCCCAAGACAGGCGTCCAGCAGTCTGGGTGAGGAGAGGATTAGGGGTAAATGAATCTTTTGAGCACAAGATGACTGCTCCTTTGCTGGGGATGGGGCTGGGAGGCCAATCCAGGTAGTGGGTGGATGGGATGATCTCCTGGATCCCTTTGTGGGAATTTTTCCTGAAGATGCCCGAAGATTTAAGATTGGAGTCAAACAAGGAGAGCAGACACAGAATTGATTAAAGCAGCGGGGGATGGGATGGTCCTGCCCTGTGCGCATTGCTTTAAAAGGCCTAACAAAGGCATCAAATGCTTTTTTCTTTATGTATGAAGAGAAAAGAGGGAAATGTATAAGCTCCTTTTTTTCAAATGTTGTTCCTTCCGCCAAAGAAAAGATACAAGTATTTGTACTATAGCGCTAGCTGTCCATTTGATTACTATACCCAGGACAACAAATTTATATTATTCCTGAGCGAGATCTTTGGAGGTTAACTTTCCATCCCATAGTTCATTAATCTCTGCCATCCAGGGTTCGAGTGAGTACATTGGCTATGCTGGAGAATGTTTTTAATCTCCAAATTTACTCAAGAAGTTTCTTCTAACGGTTGCATTATTTCAACCTCATCTGCTTCACTCCTGTTCCAGGTCTCCTCCCATCCTTCCTACCAGGCCAGCATTTCTACTCTGTGCAGCTACCAGCGAGGAGGGCCTGTGGGCTCAAAGACCCAACAGGAATTCCTGCAGAAGCCCCATAGCTTGAAGAGGGACCGTGGGATGAATGAGCCTGCATGCAGCCTGGAATGCAAAGGTTGTGCTGCTCTCCCGCAGCAGAGGGAAAGGGAGAGGGGAGAGGAAGGAGAGGGGTAGGGAGGCCACAGTGGGACAGTGGGAGGGAGAGAGAACAGAGGGCAGGTGGGCTGTGGCCAGCTGCGGGGCTCAGGAGGAGCCGCAGGCCTGCCAGCGTGTTTCTCTGTGTTAGAACCGGCCTGAGAAAGAAACTACCTGGAGGTGGGAGTCGCGGGAAGCTGAGAAGGGCTGGCAGCTGAGCAGCTCTTGGACGTGGCCCTCGGCTCCTACCTGTGCTTCCCTGTGCAGGGAGAAAGCTGCAGGATGGCCAGGGGGTCCTGCTAGGGACAGAGCTCCCCACTCATCAAGGCCTGGGTTGGAGGGACCCCTGGGACAGTGCAAGAGGAGGAGTTTGGGGTAGGGGCAGAGGGCCTGGCAGGTGGCCCAGAGCAGCAAGCAGGTGCTCCATAGAGAATGTCCTCATATCCTTCTGCTGGGGAGAGGGACCTGACTCCCTAGTGCTCACGGGCGAGGGCCAGCTCTCTGTTGGATGAGCCCCCCACTGCATCAGTGGCAGCAGTTGTGGGTGTGAGCCCCAAATACTTCTGCTGTCTATTCAAAATGGGGATACTGGCAGGTTGTCTGCACCTCCCAGTAGTGCCGGGCTAGCTGGTGAGATGGCCCTGGGGAACTGCGCTTCCCCCAGTATGGGGTGTGGGTGAGGGTGGACGGGCCAGTGGAACTTCTGTGCTGCTGCTGGCCAACTCAGGCCTTCACTAGGCAGCCTCTCCTCTGTGGAGGACGGCTGAAACTGCAGGAGTTGAGTTGGAAGGTGAGGAGAGGGTCCCAGGCCTGGAGCAAGAACATGGCCATGCGTGTCTGTCCCTCCACTCCCTTGCGTGGGGACACCTTCCCAGAATGCTGCCCCCACCCCTCCTCCCACATCACTTTCCTTCCCCTCTCCAGCCCCTCCCCTCACTTGAAAGCCTGTACCAGGGGCTCCTCTCCTCCAGCCCCTTCAGCCAAGAGGCTCCAAGTTCTGGAGCAAGTATGCTCCCTCCCCTCCCCTCTGAGGGGTTTGTGGGGCCCTTGGGGCCTCCTGGGAACGTCCCAGGTGCTTCGGCCCAAGATCTGTGCTGATTCAATGCCACCCCCACAGCTGGGCAGAGCCTTGAGATGGACACTCCCTGCAAACCCTGCCCAGCCTAGAGCTGAGCACGGGGCTTTGGGGCCCCCCAATGGCTCTGCTCAGTCATTCTTCAGGGCCAGGGACCACCTTCTGGAGCCTGAGCCAGAACCTGAGCCTCCCTTCAGGCTCTTCTCTCAGCCACACCACCACCCCCCGCCTGCTTCTCACCGCCCAGCCCACATCAAGCCCTAATTCTACCCTTTTTATTCCATGTAAGAGCTTGCCCAAAAGGAGCTCTCGCCCCTAGCAACAGAAAAAGGCTTCTGTTCTTAGAAATACAGCAGCCATTTGTCCATGCCTGGAGACCCTCTTGTTCTGCCCTAGTACATCGCCTTCCCAGCTGTGGCCAGAAATTGGCTTTTCTTCCATTTCTACTTCCTTGCTGAAGCCATCTTCTCCACCTGTCTGGTGTTCATTGCACCAGGCATCCTGCTATTGCTATTCTATACTGGGGTTCTGGAGCAGCAGGAGTGTGGCCCCAAGGCAGGAACGCCTCCCATTGCCTTGATGACATTCAGCAAATCACTCTTGCCCTGGGGACCAGGTTTTCCTTCTGTAAAATGAGGGGGAGTGGACCTCATCATCTCTGATTCCTTCCAGCTTTAGAATCTGTTTCTGTGATGATGTTGGGGATTGTGCAGACCTAGTTTCCTTTGTTTACAAGATGTGGAGACTAAGAAACCCATAGAAGTGTGAAGTATAGAGTATCAAGAGCACTCCCTCTGCCTGTTCTGGGGTGTACACTGTTACCCACACTTCCAGGGAGAAAGCGCCCTGGTTGAGGGAGTGGTGCCAATGTGCAGACACATCCCAGCCTGGGACCCAGGGCTGCCCGTGCCCATCCCCCAATAGCCCTGCTGCTCCCTTCCCCCTCGCCTCCCTCCAGGGCTGTGGAGAGGAAGAAACGAGATGCTCCCTCTTCAGATGCCCTGCCCATAGGAAGGCCCATGCAGATCCTCGGGACTATGCTCTGTTCTGTTCAATCCACCTGGTGGGTCTGACCACCAGGACATGGCCCTGCCTTCCAGGGAGTAGACACTGTGTCTGCACTGTGCTCCTCTCTTGTGACAAGAGCAGGCTTGGTGCTATGGAGGCTTCCCAAGGCGTCCTGTAGGAGCATTAATCACTGAAGGAAGGGCCAGGGCAGTAGCAGGCCAGGGACAGTGGGCCCTTCCACGGAGCACAGAGCAGTGGGCCCCGCAGGAGAGGCAGGTAGGGGTGGAGGTGAGGCGCTCAGGAGCAACGCAGCCCTGTCTCCACAGCCCGGCAAGGGATTTTATGGAATACTTGAGAAAAAAATCATCAATGAATATGATGGATGCCCCCCAGCAGAGGTGCAGGGGTCCCCCCTTTTGGATCCAGGAAGCAAAAAGCTGGGGTCCTGGCCTGAGTCTGAGCAGAGGACAGTTTTGAACAAGGAGGTCCACAGGGCAAGAGGAGGGTGGGAGTGCTCCCATGCACATGGATCACTGTGCTTTGGAGTGTGTGTCCCCACTGATGGGGATGAGGATGAGTGTGAGACCAAAGGCAGCCCTCTTGGGGTAGGCAGGGGCCAAGGCCCACAGGTGGGGGCTGGGGAGGATGTGTTCTTAACAGGCGTGGCCAGACGCCTCCTCCTTCAGAAGACCTGGAAGAAGCAGGTGGAGGGAGAAGCAGAGTCACAGAGGCAAGGCAGAGACTCAGAGGCCCGGAGACTGGGGTGGCCGCAGGCAGGGCCTCCCCAGCCCCACTGCTTTCCGAGCTAGCTATCTCCAGGAGGCCAGCCTGCCCACAGGGCCCCAAAGCCCCAACCCCCAGGTGGCCCTCCCCTCTTGCAGCTGCCACAGTTTCTGCAGGGCTGCTTTGTCAGACCTCTTAGAACACAAGCAGCAGAACTAGGAAGGCCCTCAGAATGAAGGAGACGCAGGCACCGTGGGAGCCCAGGGCCCCTTTCCATTGCACCAGTGCTCCATCCTCCCACATCTCCCAAAGATCAGCCCTCCTCAGTGACCCCGGGAGCCCAGGAAGATCAAGGATCGAGACTGTCGCCCTGGACCTGCCTGCTGTGTAGCTCTGGGTGCAAGTCAAAGATCAAGCTGAAGTAAAGGTATGCTCACTCAGGGTTCAAGGGCTTATTATTAGTAACAATAATTCCCTACATATGTAAAATCTCACACCGGACATACGCTTTTTACATCATCTTGTGGCAGACCAGGTTTCACTAACACTGGCCTCCATCACAACTGTTTGAGTACTGACTGCGTGGTGAAATATTAAAAGATAAAAAAGTCAGTGCCCTTATACAAAGGCTGGAATGAAACAAAAAGCCCATCAAGAGTTTTGCCGTGGCCTTTCCTGGGTCTTAAAGCATGACATGGGAATTCTTAATAGGACCCATTTAGGATTAAACAAGCGTTACTGGGGTTCTGAAGAAACTCCCTAGGCCACCACAGACAAGTTTGTTGGGGATCTGAAGGAACTCCCCAAACCTCCGTGATTTAGCAGGAGACAAGATAAGGGTAATCACCCCAGCACCTGGACCCATTTACATTAAGTAAATTTACTAAGGCTCCAGAAGAAGGCCTTCAGGACTCAGACCTTAGTTATAGATTAAAAGAAGTTAATCACTTATGTCTTTAGAAGAATGCGCACTTATACATAGCCATATAGCTTAGAAGATATACAAGCTCTGAAAAACTTTGTAATTTTGAGTTGGTCTGGCAATAATTTCCAGGCCTTCTACCTAAAACCGGTTACAGAAATAAAAACTTCTTCCTCCCCAGTTCACCTGCATCTCGTTATTGGGCCATGAGAAATAGCAGCCCGACCCTCAGTTTGATCCAGGAACAATCTCACCAGGGCTTGCCATCAGCCCAGGACAATTGACAAGGTAAGTACTTTATCTCCATTTTACAGCCGAGGAAGGTTTGAAGAGGTTAGGAGGCTTGGAGACCACAGCTCCAGTGGTGGGATAGAGGGTAGTGGGCTACAGTTGAGAAACGGGGACCGTCGTTGCTCCTCAACCCACTTTTCTCAAGACCTTCATAGGTCTTTTTCAGCTCCCTGCACACCCAGAACAGGAGCATTTAAGAGAAGTGTTGCTTTTCATTTGTTCTTAAGACACTGCTCTCGGGCACCAGATACACCAACCGAGCGATTCTCAGAACCCCTAGCATGGGCCACAAACCAAACACGCAGAGCCGCAGCGAGGACAGAGGGTGCCGCGTGGCCCTTCCTGACATTCTTTCATCTGCACACTGTACCGTCAACTCATTTTCTGCACGGAATGAAGATACATCACTCTGCTCTGGAAAACTACATTTAGCATCTCCTTCTTTTTGTGGGGCAGGGAAGTTTTCATCGACAAAGCGTTTGTATTGCAGATGGCTCACCATATGCCACGTTCCTGCACGTTATCACCTTGTAAGCAGATTCTGTCAGGTTTTAGGAGTAAAAGCTTAATTAACAAGTGGTGTGTACAATTATGTACTTAATTATCTACTGCTTTTATTTCTTTGTTGTTTCTTGTTTTCCAAAAGTTTGGTAACAATTACAGGCAACTGTTGCCTAATGCAATTTCTCTCTGCACCTCTTTTTTTGTGTGTGTGTGTGTGTGTGTTTTTTTTTTTTTTTTTGCCATTTGTATGCTGAGAGGGGGCTTTCTCTTTTCTCCCCCCATCCACCAATTAGAACAGATAGACGCAACATGGGCCACTGATCTAAATCTCTGAGGGGTGGCCCACGTGTGTATGTGTGGGCATGTGAGTGTGTGTGTGTGTGTGTGTGTGTGTGTGTGTGTGTATTTTATTTTAAAAGAGTTTCCTGTGAGGTTGATCTGCAGTCCTGGTTAGAAACACAGACCTGAGTCTCCACGTTGCTGACTGGGCTTTCAGG
This sequence comes from Homo sapiens, assembly GCF_000001405.40. NCBI lineage: Eukaryota > Metazoa > Chordata > Mammalia > Primates > Hominidae > Homo > Homo sapiens. The sequence continues at coordinate 33,875,064 of NC_000006.12, forward strand.
GGATCTCATTCTTTCTCCATCTCCCTTTGCTGGCCCACCCTGGAGGCCAGTGGGGTTGGCTGGTCTAGGCTGGTGAGGAGGACAGGAGGTGCTGGGGGGACAAGGGACAGCCCTGCAGCACGGTGAGGGCAGAGGCAGCTTTGGGGAGCTGAGCACAGAAAGCAGGAAGAATTGTAATGGAAGCACAAGCAGCAGCAAGTTGGAGGGAACTTGCTGGGCTGAAGCCAAACCCGGAATGTGGGACTTAAAATAAAGTGAGTGGATTCGCTTGAAAGCACTTCTGCTCACATCCCTCTGAGCTAAGGAACTTCTAGAAGCCTATGCCTCCAGCACAGCTGTCTTTCATACAAATCCATGCAAGAGGGTGTCCTGTTTTAGGGAACCTCCCACAAGAGTTGAAAACTCAGTTATCAGCATGTGGTGACAGAAATGGCCCCACAGCTGACAGCGGAGGAGGCTGAACCGTCAGGTAGACAGCCCATCTGGCTTCCCAGAGGGCCGAGGGCTGGCCCTGGGTTTCTCAGCTGGCAGGTGGGGTTCCCTGGGCCCTAGTTCTGAAGCACCCTCCCCACCACACCCACCAGTGTCAGCCAAGGCTGGGTGCCATCCAAGAGGGCTAGGGAGAGTGGGTTGGAGGAAGATGCAAGGGCAGAAGAATTGCAGAATCAAGAGATCAGGGCTTCTCTTTCTCCAACTAGAGGAAGAAGCCTGAGGGACACTTCCCTGAAATGAAAACAGACAGAGGCCGGCCCCAGCATCACAGACATGAAGCCCCTGTTGCCTGCACGCTCACCGAGCTCTGTCACACCTCCTCTCTGTGCATCTGTCTCCTTATCTGGCAGCGGCTGGGTGAGGTCATCCAGCTCTGCCAGGCCTACCATCTCCTATTTCTTAGAGAAGAGTCCACTAGACTCCAAAGGGCTGTGCTCTGGGGAAAGCACAGCGGAGGACACTGTTGGGCCTGTCCTTGCCTCTGTGGTTTACCCAGGGCCTAGAACAGTGCTTGCCATGTGATGAGGGAGCTCAACAGGTGTCTGTCAAGTTAATGAAAATGTAATAGACATGCCATTTGCTGATTTGCCAGGCACATGGCTCCTTCTAAAGATAGCTGCTCTGTCCCACCGGGAGACCCCCAGGTCTCTGTCTGTGCCTGGTCCCAGCTGACCTAAGGGCAGCCCATCAAGGCACGTCAACCTGAGATGTGGTCTGGGATGAAGAAACGACACAGGGCAAATGGGTTCTGCTTCTCAGAAGGTTGATCTGGGAAGTACTCAGAGCATGAGTGATTAGCATTGGGCATTGAAGCTAAAAAGATCACTGGAAAGAAAAGGAAGAGGTGAGTAATAAATGGCTGAGGCAGCAGCTGCAGTCCTGAGTGGAGAGAGAATCTGGTGCGCCAGGAGGGGAGGCCCTCTGCTCCAACGTCCGCCTGCCCTCAGCATCCTGCATTGCTTCCCCTGGCAGACCCTTCCCTATGCAGAAATCTTTCCCTGCAATCTCAGATACCTTCAGGGCAAGCCCTGGGAAAACAAGCTTGAAATGATAGAGGCAGGAGGTGGATGCATCTTCCCACACCTGGGGTCCAGAAAGCAGCATCTGACCAACTTCAGAAACCAAACAAGAATTTGGGGACATGTGAGGGGATCATTTATCCAAGCTGGGATTTAGGGAAAAGCTCCAAACGTTACTTGAAGGGCCCCAGTAGAAGAATGGAAAGTTAATTGCCAGGACAACTTCCCCACTGCAGGGTAGGGTTGGGATGGGTGAGAAAGTAGGGGAGAAAGTGGTGACAGGTAGGAGTAGAGACTCAGAAAGCCTGAGGAATGAATGGGCACTCTTGTTCCCATGCACAGGATGAAATGGCATCTTGGCGCTTTTGCTGAACAAGGCAACACTGGGTCTGTCTGACCTGAGGACACTCCATCCCAGCAGGACCCTAATGGAGCAACCCACCTGGTCTTTCACCTGTCAGAGGAAAGCACCTCTTCAAGCACATGGCCAGGGAGGCTGATGGGGCTGGAAAGCAGGAACCATACACCACCTGGGTCTGTGCCTGGGAAGGTGAGCTCTTCCGCTGACCCTATACCTGCTACAGAGACCCAGACAGCAGGGCCCTCTCCTAAGTGACTTTCAGCTGCAGACACGGCTTCCATCATCATGCACCATTCCCTAATCTATTCCCTCCAGTGGGGAGGAATCCAGACTGCAAGGCTGAAGGCCACCTTCACGGAGAAGCATGGGTGGGCCAGGACAGACCCCCTCCCCAATCCGCTGCTGGCCACAGCTCAGGGACACATTGAGTCATGTAGTACCCTTCCCTCTTCTGTCCAGAGCCATTCCTCAGAACTGCCTTCAGGAGGCCCTGACCACTGCATGCACACGCATGCAGTGGAAGCTGCAGTAGGGTAGAGGACAGCTAGGAAGGTCAGGATGGGGCAGTCAGTGAAATTTGGGGACTGCTGGAAAAGGCTTGGGACTGTGCCTTCCTTGCAGAAGCAAAGGAGAGAGAGATATGCTCACTTCCAGAGGTGGAATCCAACTACCAGGACCAGGTTAGGGACCTGCCCATGGGGTCCCGGCTGCTCTCCATGCTGGTGATGGTGGTGTTCCTAGAATGACATCACACAAGTGCTGAAAGTGGGGAGTGGTTGGGAGGAGAGCCCCATAACTCGCTTGCTCTCGTGGGTGTTTCTCAGTCCTACTTCCCTGCCCCACACCAGAGGGTTGCTCTTCCAGCCTCCCCAGCCACCCAGCCCCACCACCCCTGCAGAGCCAGCTTGCCCTCTCTAACCCTCCCTTCTCCTGCCTCTCCCCCAGGTCTGCTGCTACCACCTCTTGGGGGTCCCCACCCTGAGCTCAGTGGGCCCCCAGCCCACACCACAGGCTGAGGGAGGCTTGGTTGTCATGGTGACGTCCAGGTACCCAGAATAAAGAAGGGGCTGCTGGGGAGTGGCACAGTCATCTGTACATCAAAAACAGTTGCTGGCTCTGCTCCTTTCCAGCTTTGCACTGACCTGTCTATCCAGGCCTCACTTGGGCCAGAGCCCAGCTTCACGAAGCCTTGCCTGGCCTTGTCAGGCACAATCAATTGTTCCCTCATCTGATCAGCCCTTACACCCGTCCACGGCAGGCTGGCCACTGCACTATGCTAACTTGAGCTGCGTCTGTTCCCTGGCCAGGGTGGGGTGCTCCCCTGCGGTCTACTTTAATGAGTCCACCCCCACCACAGCTCTCTGGGAGGGTTCCTAGGCAGACTGCACCTTGGCTGAGCCAATAAGTGGAACCCACCCCCCCTTCCTATCTACTCCTTTGACCCAGATCAAGCATCAGCTCCCGTGAGCTCTTCTCCCAAGAATTTTAGTCCTGTTCATCTCTGTGTTGACACCGTTCATGTCCAATAAGCTTCTCTTGCAGTTGATGGGTGTGGGGTGGGGTGAGGGCAAGAGGGCCCAAATGGGCTGCTGAAGCCAGGCCTGGGAAGGAGGGGCTAGGGAGCAGTGGGGATATGGGAAATGAGGGCAGGCCACGGCATAAGGAAGGGGAAGGCTGGCTTCCTGGCCCCTTGCTGGCCAGACACACTGTCCTGGAGCTCTGAGTAGCTTTAAACCATACCCACCAGGAATTAAGTGTTGAGAGAAAATGAGCCTGCAGGTGCTGGGGTTTGGAACAATGCCATGTGAAGAGGCCTCCTTTCAAGGCTGCTGGATCAGGTGACCTTGAGGACATCTCACACTGAGAGGGTGGGGTACAGCGTGTAAAGGTGTGCCTAATGGATGCCAGTGTGTGGAGGAGGGCCCACTCCATCCCAGGAGGCAGATGTTGGTCAGGAGCGTGAATGGGGGACTTAGCTCCTGGTCATAGATATGTGCAGGCGTCAGCTGTAGGACTCTGGTGAACAGGAGAGGCAGGTCCAGGTGTATTTACATTTCTTTCTGACTCTGCCTAATTATTTCTCCCAATTGCTCCCACTTTGAGCCCAGCCCAAGGTTGTCCTTTGATCAACACTGCCATGCCTCCCAACGCTAATCTGCCAACCATAAGCGTCCCGAGCTTCTCTCGCCCGGACATTAACCATGAGTCCTCTGGGCTGGCATGTGCAATGGGCCCAGCCGGAGTGCTGCTGGGAAACCTGCTCAGGGGGCGAGCTGAGCCTCCTGGGATAATTCTGACTAAATGATTCTTCACGGAGTTGACTTGAAATGTGATGAATGGGTCCCCAGTGCTCTTAAAGCCTCCGAAGTCAGAGCCACAGAAAAGACTCTGGGAGTGGCCTTGAGTCCAGCCCTGGAGAAAACCAAAGGTTGGAGTCATGAAGTAACTGCTTATCCACTCAGTGACGGCAGAGTTGAAACTAGGACCCAGGACTTGCCTCCTTCTTCTTCTCATGCCACAAAGATAAGAACATGCATTTCCTGACATGCAATTTGCTAACCTCTTCCCAGGTTATGTGTGTGAAAGTACCAGGCTACCAGATGGCGTTGAGTCCGAATTAAGGTGGTGTCTCATTGCATTTCACATCATGACCAAGCAATGTCTTACCACCCCACAAAAAGCCAACTGAGGCTTCCTTGAGTGGAAAGACCACAGTGTTGAGGGCAGGGGCTCTGTGAGCAGGTACCTAGAGCTAGAAGTCAAAACAAGGAAATGTTTCGAGGGAGGAAGGCAAGTTAAATGTCAGGCCTCTGAGCCCAAGTTAAGCCATCATCATATGCCCTGTGATTTGCACGTATACATCCAGATGGCCTGAAGCAACTGAAGATCCACAAAAGAAGTGAAAATAGCCTGTTACCGCCTTAACTGATGACATTCCACCACTGTGATTTGTTCCTGCCCCACCCTAACTGATCAATTGACTTTGTGACAATACACCCTCCCCACCCTTGAGAAGGTACTTTGTAATATACTCCCCGACCCTTAGGAAGGTGCTTGGTAATATTCTCCCCACCCTTGAGAATATACTTTGTAAGATCCACCCCCTGCCCACAAAAAATTGCTCCTAACTCCACCACCTATTCCAAACCTAGAAGAACTAATGAAAATCCCATCATCCTTTGCTGACTCTTTTCGGACTCAGCCCAACTGCACCCAGGTGATTAAAAAGCTTTATTGCTCACACAAAGCCTGTTTGGTGGTCTCTTCACAGGGAGGCGCATGACATTAAAGACAAGGAAGCTGCCCTCTTTTGTGTGCCCCTACCCTCTCCTACCCTCTCCCCTACCCTCTCTCCCCTACCCTCTCCCCTACCCTCACTCTCCCCTACCCTCAGCCTGAATCTGCCTTTGGTTAAATGCCTGATGGAATTTTGCAAAAATGAGAGATTTGCTCGGATCACCCCAAATTCCACTGGGTGGAGGATGGGCGGGGAGCTCCAGCAGTGAGAGCGTGGCAATGGAACTGCTTTGTCGAGCTGAGACAAGCATGTCTCTTCTGGACAGCAGATGGGCCCTCTTTGTGAGCCTGTCGCTGCAGACCCGTCTGGGTCCCTGTAAAAAGTAAAGGTTCCTCTATCAAACACTTTCCTCCCCGTCTAATTAGGAATAAATAGTAACTTCTCTTAGAAGCAAAATTTATTCAAAGACCTGTGCTAACATTCTTAAATATCTGCTAGCCGTAATAAAGAAATCAATATACTTTATGTTCTTAGCTCCCACAATTTAGCCTAAATATTTGTCCTGGGTTGCTTATACTGGTCCAAGCAAGCATTAGGTCATAGCCTGTTCCTCTTCCTTATTTGAAGGTGTTTTTACCTTTCTCAGCATTACACAAGTTACTTCCTCCTTCCTTTATTCTCCTCTACCTTTGCCTCTTTTAAAAAGTTCTCAGTTGCTAGCCAATCAGGACAAATACAGAACGTGAGGTCCCGTTCCAGCCAGTGGAAACCGGATACAGCAGTAGGGTGGACGCGTCAGGTTATGAATGACCCTGTCTCCTTCGTTCGGTGTACTCGTGGCAAAACTGCTGGCGAGTGTACCCTTCCTCCAGGAAGTAAAAATGGCCTTGCTAAATAAATTTATGTTCAAGTACGATTTCTTTACGGCACCGGAAAACAAGCATTTCAAACAATTCAGCTGCTAAGGGGAGAACTATGCTCTCAAGATCACACTCAGCTAAAAACCTCACAGGTCCTCAGGTAGTGGCAACAAGGCATCCTAGCTCACATTGATTCCTTTGGCAGTTTACAGGTTTTAATACACATTCCCATGTTATTTTGAGTCTCTTAACCATGGACGAAGAGTAAGGAGAAAAAAGCTTCCCTATGCAGGTGGGAAGACTGATCTGCATCCACTCAAAAGTGAAGTGGAGTAAAACGATTCCAGGCCAGTCCGTCTCCATGCCACACGAGGCCCCGTGCCCCAGGGCATCCATGGGAGGCCACAGCTGTTGATCATAGTTCTTCCCTTTGCCCACTTTTGTCTTTACAAGTAATCATTTCTCTGTTTCCCATCAACATCTCTGTCCCAGGCAGAGATGTCACCCTTCCCCACCCTAGGCCAGACTTGAGGCTGCTGTCCCTGGCACCCCCTGCAGAGCCTGCCCCTCTGGCCCCCCCACTGAGCAAGTGAGTGTGTTCAGCAGAAATGTTCCTCAGCTAGCAGAGATCAATACATCAATAGAAACATCAGCCTGAACATAAACAGAGGGAGGTTGAGGGGAACAGGGGCAGGGGATAAATGCATTCTGCAAAGAGAAAAGCCAGACAGCCCCATCGGGATCTGTGCTCCTGGGAGCGTCTCACCTGCATTGTTAAAGAAGGGAGAGAGACTCATTACTTCAGGCCCTGCTAATTAAGAATCACCATCATGGGAGGCTGAGGCAGGAGAATTGCTTGAACCCAGGAGGCAGAGGTTGCAGTGAGCCGAGATAGCACCACTGCACTCCAGCTAGGGTGACAGAGTGTGAGACTCCGTCTCAAAGAAAAAAAAAGAACTGCCTTCAGATTGGCCTAGGCTGAATTCTGCCTTCATTCTAGGACTGGCGAGCTGGCTCACCTGAAGGCAGCCTTTTCTATCTTGGCCTTACAGGAGCATTGTGGGTGGGATTCCTAGCCATTCCTTTCTTGGGGCTCCATAAGTACTGGGAGTGGGAGCCCCCTGAGCCAAGCATGGTGCCTTTGAGCTACAAACACCTGGCAAGTGCAGGACGAACTGCCGTGGCCGGACTCTGAGCAGCTTAGATATGCAGCAGCCAACTAGCGAAGAAGCGGAAGTGTAACTTGGATTCCAGTGAAGAATGAAAGGCCCCTAAGCAAGGGCAGCAGTCCAACTATCCATGTCGACACAAGTGATGGGAACTAACTCTGGCTTCACTCAGCCTCAGTAAACCTCCAAAGGCACCGTTCTGGAGGGCCATCAGCCTGGCGCCCACAGCCAGCATGGGGAGCACCTGGATGAGGTCTCCTTTGCAGAACTTTGGGGAGGAGGGTGGAGAAGAATGCTTAGCAGGATGCCAGCACCCTCTGGCAGGGGCTCCAGGATGCTCAGTTCTGGGCTCTGGGCCACAGAAACTTCTATCCTTTCCTTTAGCGAATTTGGGAGAATACGCCCAGACCAAGACCAAGAAGCAGTTTGCAGGTTTAGTTTAGTTTAGTTTAGTTTAGTTTTGTTTTGTTTTGTTTGACACGGAGTCTCGCTCTGTAGCCCAGGCTGGAGTGCAATGGCTCAATTTCAGCTCACTGCAACCTCTGCCACCTGGGTTCAAGTGATTCTCCTGCCTCAGCCTCCTGAGTAGCTGGGATTATAGGCATGCACCACCATGCCCGGCTAATTTTTGTATTTTTAGTAGAGACAGGGTTTCACCATGTTGGCCAGGCTGGTCTGTAACTCCTGACCTCAGGTGATCTGCCCGCCTCGGCCTCCCAAAGTGTTAGGATTACAGGCATGAGCCACCGCGCCTGGCCAGCAGTTTGCCAGTTTCTATGGCACAGCTACCCTGAAGAGGTGCAGATCATCAAGTCTGGGTGGATTCTCTGTCACACATTCTTTGATAGTGTTTTTAAAAAGGAATTGGGATTCGAATTGGCGGTGGCTTCTAGTTTGCGGTTCAAGTTTGACCGCTGCCGGCCAGCGTCCTCTGGCCATGGACACCCCGGAAAATGTCCTTCATATGAATATCAACCACTTTTACTTGCTGTGAGTCAAAGAAAACTGAAAATGGTGGAAGTTTTATTAAAGAAAAACACAAATGTAAATGCAATTGATTATCTTAGCAGATCAGCCCTCATACTTGCTGTTAATCTTGGAGAAAAAGATATAGTCGTTCTTCTTCTGCAGCACAATACTGATGTGTTTTCTCGAGATGCATATGGAAAGACTGCAGAAGATTATGCAATTGAGGCTAAGAATAAAATTTTCAAGAAATACAGGATCAACTTACAGCAACTATAAGATGTACTATGGAGACGGAAGGCCATGCACAAAAATACAATGTGAAGCAGCACACAAAATAAGGCTTGAAGTAGAAAATGCCGTGATAAGAAAAACTATTAAAAAGCAAGATGACCAAATTGAGCGGCTTGAGAAAATCCTGCAATGTTCAAGTTTGCTGCAGCAGGTATTGCAAGAAAATGGAACTACAGAAGTAGATGAAGCTTCTTCTGAATTTAAATCTGGATCCTTGCAGGGGTCCCCAGCCTGCAAACCATGGACAGGTCCATGACCTATTAGGAACCAGGCTGCACAGCAAGAGGTGAGTGGCAGGCAAGCGAGTGAAGCTTCGTCTGTATTTCCAGCCACTCCCCGTTGCTCACATTATCACCTGAGCTCTGCCTCCTGTCAGATCAGCAAAGGCATTAGATTCTCATAGGAGTGAAAATCCTATTGTGAAATGCATGTTCAAGGGATCTAGGTCACATGCTCCTTATGAGACTCTAATGCCTGATGATATGTCATTGTCTCCTATCTCTTCACGATGGGACCATCTAGTTGCAGAAAAACAAGCTCAGGACTCCCATTGATTCTACATTATGATGACTTGTGTAATTATTTCATTATGTATTACAATGTAGTAATAATAGAAATAAAGTGCACAATAGATGTAAAAAAAAAAAAAGGAATTGGAAGGAGCAGACAGACCTGCTTAGCATTGTTAGGGTTTGTTCATCATGGCAGGTCTTTTCCAAATAGGCCACCACGTTGCTGATTTTCATTCCTCTGGGAAGTTCTCCAGAGTCCAAATTCTTGCGTCAATTACTTCAAAACTCAGTTTTATACCTGTTACTTCACTTATGTCAAACCACTCAAGGAATAGTGGCGTTGTTGGGGCCAGGAGGTGTTGCGGAGCAAGAGAGAGGAAGGAGAAGCAGTTTTTGGGGACTGGCTGGGTGGGGTTGGACACCCAAGAGTTCAGAATTTGGGCATTTGGGGAGCAAGGGGAGGCCATCCCCTAAGATCCTGGTGGTGGCATCCACGCCCCTGAAAAATCACTTTTGAAATCTGTGCTCTAGCTTAACAAAGAATTCTCCTCTCAAGTATCAAGTGACCCAAGGGGTACTCTGGGTTAAATAAAAGGGAACAGCCAGCAGAAACTGTCCTAAGAAGAACCTGGGGTTCTTGGGGCAGATTAGGAAATTAATACCAAAGAGAGGCTTAGGGCAGCTGCTGCCCAGCCTAGTAACCAGAAGTGGTCTTCTGGGTCTTGAGGTCTTCAGACCGGTAAGTCAGCGTCCGGTGAACAGCCTCAATTAGAGACCATAGCTCTCAGGCCTTCTGCTGAGGATGCCTGAGGTCTTTGCTGACACCTGTTCTTGAAAAGCATGGAGATCAGGACAGTTTGAGCTTCAGGTAGATGAGCAGAGAGCAGAACAGGGCTCTGAGCTGGGTGGCCTCCTCCTTCCTCTGAGGAATCATGGGGAGAGGATGATTAAAAAGAAAGGATGTCTGTGGGGGTAGGGAGTGGGCTTGGGAATATTCGGGATCAGTGACCCTCGGGTCCTCTACCTTGGCCTGATGTGGAGTTGCATTTGCTTTCCCTGAGTTTCAGGCTTGTACACAGGGAGGGGTATGTGAACAAGCAAGCCCTGATGTGCTGAGGACACGATGGCGGTAGCAGGCCTGGGGACTCGCCATAAATAGCCCCAAGATGCATCAGGAATGGGATGGGGCTGTTGGTAACCTCCTTGCTCAGCTAATGATAGTTATAGCACCCTACAACTCAGGGGCACTTGATTTATTTACCAGGTCCTTCCATACCCATTAACTCATGGGAACTTTCCAAGGGTACTATAAAATGGACAAGTAGAGGTGACTGGGTCTCAAGAGAGGTGACTCACATGATGAGTCAGTGGTAGGACTGGCACTGGACTCCACCCCAGAGCTCTCAGCTCTGGCCCTCTTCCCTCCTACTCCACCATACTACAGAGGGACAGTCCCATAGGAAGACCCCCAGGTCAACCCAAGAAACAGCCACACGAATGTGAGGGTGTCCAGAGCCGCTCTGCTTCCAGGCACCTCCCTCCTCATTCAGACACCTTCTAAACCCAGCTTGGAAGGATGCCCTCTCACCAGTTGCTGCATGCCCTCACTTTTGAACTTTGTAGATTGGGAGCTTGAGGGCACACACCACCCCCCCTGCACAGGACGAGAGGTCGACAGGTACAGGCAGCTAGGAGCAATTCACACCCACCAGTAAGTGGGGAAGAGGCTGGCTTAGCCCTTTGGGATACCTGGCCAGGCCTTGTGGAGACCCAGCTGGGCTCCTCAGAGCAGGGACAGCCCATGGGCTCCATAAACTTCAGTGACTCATGGGTGACCACCCTGATAGGGCCAGGGAGAGGCAGAGAGGTAGCCTGCCCTAATCACTGCCTGAAGGCTCTGACATCAGAGAGGTTTGCTGGCCTCCCTCTCAAGTTGGCTCACTCCACCTTGAGGCTCTTTAGGCTCTTTGTGGGTGCCCTTTGTCCTGGACCTGGGCTCCAGCCTTTGGGGCTTCGTGGATGGGAGGAGTGTAGAAGTAGGGGAACAGCCTACACTTAATATCTTAAATTTCAAAGTCTTCTGCTCCTAGCAAGGCTCATGGGGCAGGTTTGAGAAAGACTTTGATCTTGAAATAGGTTGTTGGGTCGTCCTGAGTCCAGGTCTGGGGTTTGTCAGGTCTTGGGTCTTTGATTTGCTGTGAGTGATTTTCAGTACCCTTATGTCTTCATAAAAGGCCCTTCCCAAAATTAGCCAGGTGTGGTGGCACACACCTGTAGTCCCAGCTATTCAGGAGGCTGAGGCAGGGGAATTACTTGAACCTGGGAGGCGGAGGTTGCAGTGAGCCAAGATGGTACCACTGCACTCCAGCTTAACGACAGAGCAAGCCTCCGTCTCTTAAAAAAAAAAAAAAACGAAGTCCCCTCCCAGAGTTTCTGTAAGGATCAAATGAGATAATGGGTGGGAATGTGCCTCACCATCTATATGGTGTTGCACAATGGAAATGGATTTTATCGTAAGGGTTTTGGGGCCCTGTGGGCAGGTGCTTTTGCAGAGGAGAACCAGTATACCAAGGGCTGTCAAGACAGCCTTACTTTCTCACCTTGATGTGGGGGACAGAGGGCTTTCCAAATTTTAGGGGCTGCCAGGCTGGACAGGGAAATGCTCAGCATGGTTAAAGATCCACAGAGTAGAGGGAAATGAACCTTCACTAGCTGTTCAGCGTCCCAGGCCTTTTTACTGCTCATCATAAATTACCATCCTGTTTTATTTTCGTTTTATAGCCTCTTCCAGTCTGTTTCTGGTGATTCACTCTCTGCTCTGGGCCAACTATGTTAGAAATGGTTTCCTGGTCTTTCTCTTTCTCTGTCGACACCTCAGATGGCTGGCGACTGACCCAGCAGCTGGGGAGCTTCCATCAGCACCCGTTGGATGAAGAAACATCAGAGCTGACAGCTGAAAGGTGACAGCAAAGAATCGAGATACGTAGTGTCTGCCCTCTAGCAGCTTCCACCAGAGGAGGGAGGGAACCGGAAACCTCACATTTGCACAGGCTTGCAGACCCAGCTTCTGAAGAGGAGTCACTACTTCCTGGGACCTGCGCCTCCAATTCAGGCAGCTCTCAGGAGGTGATGACACGTTCTTCAGCGTAGTTGGCTCTCTCTTGATGTGGTTGGTCCAACCTTTCAGTATTTAGAAGTGTTAGGGAGACCTCCAAGATCCTTTCCATTGTCAATATCTTGTGGTTCTGCCATTGTGAGAAGGAAGGGCCCTGCCTGGGGGTTGGGAGGCTCTCGTTCTAGTCCCAGTTCTACTACCAGTGAGTGGCCCTGGGCAAGTCTCTTTCTCTCACCAGGCAACAGTTTCTTCTTCTGTAAAGTCAAAAGGCCAAAGCAGGTCACCCAAATGCCTTCTGGTTTTGCCATTCTACAAGCGGTTACCTCATCTGCACAAAACATGCAAGTATTTGTTTGGACACTGACAGATTCCCACAACAAATTAACATCCTGTCAAGTGTCTTTAATGAAATGCTCGTTTTTCAAATGAAAGCAATGGGTTAGGGAAGATTTGAATGATGTTTGCGAGCCTTTGATATAACATTTTTATTGAGATTTTTTGTGTGTCCCGATTGAGGAGAAAGCAACATAATGGCAAAGTTGTCTCTCCTGTCATTTTTCTAATAGAAGAGAATTTTTGTTCAACACAATTTTTAGCGTGAATTGTCAATTACCATTCTCCCAGATCTGTTTGGCAGCATGACCTTGGTTGTGGCCTGTTTTGTGGACACGAGGAGATAAAAGATAAAGTAGCATGTGCTTAGTTTGTGATGAATAGAAGGACACAGGTGGGGACTGGCCTTACAGCACTCACAGTGGCTGAGCTGGGGGTCTGGAGGGAGGGAAAGGGGTCTGCCTTTGCCATGCCAAATATAAGATTGCAGCAGGCCACTTACTCAAAAATATTGTGAAAAGAGTAATGCAGGATGCGGGGCTAGAAGAGAGACAGGGTGGGCATCATTCACGCTGGAAGGTATTGGGGTGAAGGCAGAAGAGGAGGAGAGGGGATGCAGGATGGGGTAAGGGCAATCCCTCTCTGGGCCTCACGCTCCTGATCTGTAAAATAAGGAGTTTGGACTAGACAGGTTCTCTGCTTCACCTGTCTAGCTGGCTCAGAGTGGAGAACAAGGAAGAGGGGCAAGGGAAGAGGAGACCCAGGATGCATCAGAATGGGAGATCCTGGCTTGGCGGCACCCCGGAGAGCTTGGAGAGCATCCCCAACGATAGGGATTGAGGCACAATCTGCTCTCAAACTTGTTGAGAAACTGATTGATACGGAAACACTGCTCTCTGGGGTTTACTTATAAAAAGTAACTCCCCACCCTGCCCCCCGAGAAAGGTGCAACTTCCAGGGTGAGTCACAGAGCCGGTGAGGATCCTCCACACTCCGGGGTGTGACACCGCAGACAAGCAAATGCCAGTATCATTCTTCTCGGGGCAATGTTAAAAGTCTGTTCAACTACATTCAAATTCCCATTTCAAGTGTAGGCTCCAAAATCACATACCAAAGTGTAACCCTTTATGGCTCCATCCCCCGGAAGAAATACACAAAATTCATAATTGTGCATGCGTGTGCGTGTTTAACATCAGCGGACACTAAGAAACAATAGGCTTTTCATTATCTTCCTTTTTTTTTTGTTTTTGTTCTTATTCTTTAAAAGGATTATATGCCAGAGAGTGCAATGGCAGAAGGCAGAAGAGGAGATACAGAACAAGAAGATGGTGGGAGACATTTTGCAATTTATCAAGATATGAGTACAGTTCCCTCTTTGCAAATGCCCAAAGCGCCCTACATTGAGCTTCTTAAATTACGAAGTAATGTTCTTAATGGCTACCCTGAGGCAAGGCTATATCTAGAAGAGCAATTTTTAATCATTAATGTAAAATTATCCTGCTCAGATGATTCCAGTGATTCGAGCCAGGAGTTTGAACGGCCCCAGATGTGCAGCTTCTAGACAGCACATCTGAGGTGGGGTGGCGGGGCCGGGAGAAAGATGGGACTTATGTTTCAGAAGAGGCCTGCCTTGGCAAAGCCTTGCCCCGGGAATATGTCTTTACTCAGCCCCAACTTAGGAGGTGGGTCCCCTGTTGCTGTGCCGAGGGCTGGTTGCCTGAGTGTTGTCCATACGCCACTGCAAACTTATGGAAAAGTCTGATTCTGCTATTTAGACTTCCTCCCCTTTCAGCAACCTACCTCGACTTGGCCCTTCTGGGTTTTGGCAGAGAATAATCTATTATAATCAAAAACACTGTATGATGAATAATACCATCTTTCATTTGTGTAGCACCTCATCCATTCCCAAAGTGCATATATATTTTATTAGACACAGTTAATTCTAGATAAAATAAGTAGCTCACTAAGTCAGTAAGTCCCATTTCCTGACAATTCTGGAAGAAAAGTTCGGTTCTCTTAGCTAGTGGAGGGTCTGAGAGAATCCCTTTAAAATGACTAGATAAAAGAATAAACTGAGGTCTGGAAGAATGAACTTGCAAATATACCATTTAATGTAAATGAAATGTTTAAAATAAAATTCAACGTAGTGTGTCAGGCACTGAGCCTGCTATAAGGAATAGAAAATAGAAGAGTCCCAGCTCCTGAGGGGCACATGGTTTAGTTGGGGTAGGGGGGTGGTGGTTGGACTATACTCAAATTCACTCAACACAAATCAGAGATTACACTAAACCAATGTTCCACTGGTCCAGATCCACTAATTCTTTCCCTGTACCTCACAGCACCAGACCTCTGTGCGAAACCCCCCGGTTCCTGAGCTTCCCTGTTGCACATGGCTTGCCCCCCAATGAAATCCACGGGGCCTTGTACTTAAAGTCCCAGACCACCCTAGTCTCTGCCTACCCTCCTCCAACCCACCACTCCTTTGTACGGCAGGCCTCAAGGATTCAGTCTTTCTCCTTTTCTTTGGGAGAGATCTGGGCTCCCCTCCTGTCCCCTGCTTCCTTGCTGTTTTAAGGCTTTTAACTGCAGAAAAATTAAAGAGTCAACCAAAGTAGAAACATCTAGAAATGACAAGATGCTGTTTTTCATATGAAGAGGATGGCTGGCCAAAAAAGCAAGCCTGCCCCTATGGGGAAGACTTCCTGCCCGCCTTCCCTGCAGGAGGCTGGCCCAGGGCTTTGAGGGGAATCATGGTGAACTACAAGTGCTCCCTGCTTTCTGATGCCCCCCTAGTGGGGCCAAGGCCCTCCCTGCTCTTGGGGCCTTGACACCCCTACTCTCCCAAGCCTGGTGATCCAGTACTGATGCTTGGTGAGCCCGCCAACAGCGCTGCTGCCCCTTCCCTTGAGGACTAAGCTCCGATTTTTTATCTTGCCCAGATTCCTATCTAAGGGGTCTGGGGAGTCATGCCCTACCAACCATACATTCTCATCAGACGGATTTTATCTGACCCTGTATATCATGACTGACTTTCCAATCTGACTGTGGCATAACAAGGAAGAAAATCAAAATGTTTTACCCCAAAATAAATCTCCTTGCCATATCTCGAAATTGTCCTGCAAAGTCTCTTGTGGGAAAAATCCATATTCTATAGGAAATATTTCCTTTCCCCTTTGTTTTCCTTCCTTCCTTCCCAGATCCAGGAGATAATCAACTAAGAGCCAGGTACCCTTTTAGGTCCGATAAGAAACATTTTACAACCTGCTCTCTCTCTCTCTGAAGTCTGCTATCTGAGAGATTCCTCTGCACAATAAAACTTGGTCCCCACAGTTCTGTATCTTAACATGAACCTTCCTTTCCATTAATCCCAGGTCTCCAGATAAACCCAACCAATTGTCAGTCAGAAAATGTTTAAATTTACCTATAGCCTGGAAGCCCCCACTTTGAGTTGTCTCACCTTTCTGAACCAAACCAATGTATTTTTAAAATGTCTTTGATTGAGTCTCATGCCTTCCTAAAACATATAAAACCAAGCTGTACCCCGACCACCTTGAACACATGTTCTCAGGGTCTCCTGAGGGCTGTGTCATGGGCCATGGTCACTCATATTTGGCTCAGAATAAATCTCTTCAAATATTTTACAGAGTTTGACTCTTTTAGTCAGCACCCTTTAATCACCAAGGCTTCCAAGCACACTCCCATTTGGGAACCATGCTGTAATGGGGCCCAGACCCTGTCTTCAGGTGATCTGAATTGGCGCTTCTGAGAAAGCAATTTGGGAGAATGATTTCCCCCCTCGAACCCAAGCCTTCCTTCTCTGGCTCCCTGGCTGAGGCCAAAGTATAGCCCAGACCTGCTTCCAGATCTATCCTCCTCCTGCAGTCGCTCCAGCCACTCCACCACTCCGCCAGGGCCAAACTGCACTTCTTCCAGCCTGATACCCTCTTTCCTGCTGGGCTCTACCGGTCTGTCTTCTGCGGTGAGCAACCCTCACCTAACTGTCACAGGCCAAGGGCATAGTTCACCACCTTGTTTTCTCTGTCAACAGCTCTTCCTTCAGACGATCACAATGCACATCTGTGTTTTAAACCTAAGGCCCTCTAATTTTTACTCTATTTCCAACCACTAATTAAAAATGGACTCCTCCTCTCTTCTTCCCTCTTTCTTAGTATATTCCCTTACAGTTTATCATGACGATCTGTGAGAATAATTGTCGTAGAGGGCTTTGGAGGGACCATTTCTGCATGTAGATGGACTGGGGCTGTCAGTGAAACCTGGATGGTTATAAGCTTTCTATTTTAATGAATTTATACGAGTACAAATATATCGCTTCAGAGCCACCTTTTGTTTGCCTCAAGAAATAGCCAATTCATGTTACATTTTTAAAAAGGTCTTCCACTATTAATTAAAAGGAATGATTTGGGGTGGGGTAGGGTGCGAGTGTGGCAGAGATTGGTTGTGACCACCTTCAGCTTATTAACTTCCACTTCCAGCAGGTTCCCAGGGGGGCCACCTATTAAAGACTGAGAGGACATTGCTTTTCCAAACCTCCTCTCTTTTTACTGCTCGGCTCATCTCCTCAGCTTGGGACCTCAGCGGGCAAGGGCAGAGTAGGAGGGAGGGCCCCGAGGGGTGGCGGACAGGCTGGTAGTCCAAGACGGTCTGGAATGGAATAGAATATGAAGAGAAATGCAGCCCACCCACTCCTTCGGGGAGAGGAGAGTGCTGGTGGAGAAACTCGGGGCCTGAATTTTTCTTGAGGAATCTAAGAAGATCCTTTGGCTTCAAGGCAGATGGAACCTGGATGGTTTAGGGGAGGAATGGGACTTGACAGCGGCGCTCAAAGCTTCTGGGCAGGGCTTTGATCTAATTGACAGAAGTGAAAATAGTAGACCTTGGCTCCTCTCTGCTCCCATCTCTCTCCTGCTCAAAGTCCTTGGTCAGGCACTGTTCGTTCCTTCCAGCCCAAAGACTTGGGAAAGTAATTTCTGCAGACCCCTCCAGAGCTGTTTCTGACCCCACAGACAATCTGGTGGGTGAAGAAACCTGAATTAGCGGAGACTTTCCACAATAGCCCTCAATCACTTCTCTTCAGCTCAGTTCCAGACCCTTTACAAAGTGCGTGAAGGCACCATTCCCCAAAGCGCAGAAAGAAGGCGCAGCCTGCCAGCAGGACAGGACATGTGAAATCAGGGACGTCTGGGGAAACCCTCTAAGGTGATCCTCGCCCCTGGCCTAGAAGTCTAGGGAGGCGGAGGTCCCCATACACCCACCTCGGGGGGTACCTCAGGAACAGAGTAACCGTCCCGCGGGGCCGGCTGGTGGAGTGGGGCCGTTCCTAACGGCTGCCTCCGTCCTGCCTCGCGGTCTAGGGAAGGGGTCTCGGCCACCTCCTCCCGCAGCCTTCCAAATCAAGATGGACTCGCAGGAGACTACACCCTGCGTCTGCAGAACCTCAGAATACAGAACCACCAGGGGTTCCTGGCCCATGGCCCTGGGAGGATTGCTGTTGGGGAGATGGGAAGGAATCTAGGGAGGCCGAGGCCCGCAACAACCATCCCCGAGGACCTCAGAGCACAGTCTTCCCCCCTCGGGGTTGGCAGGGGCAGCCTGGCGCGGGGTGGGGAGAGGGGCCGGGGCGGGGCCGGGGCGAGGGGGCGGGGCCGGGGCGTAGAGGGCCACCAGGTCCCTCCCCACACGCCCGCTGTCCACGCGCTGCGGCCTTGGAGTAACTGCTGTTCTTAAAGGCTGCCTCCGTCCTGCCGCGCGGCCTTTAGAGGGTTGGAGCTGGCAGAACCGTAACTCCCTCTCTGAGGGTGAATACGGGCCTTGATTGCCAGAAGGGCCCTCGGCCGGGGACGCGGGATGATGCGGGGCCGGGAGATGCTTTCCTGGAGGCTGAGAAACCTGGAGGGAGACCCCCAAAACTTCTCAGTTCGCCGACCCCTTGGTCCCAGAGGGAGAGGAGGTGGGCTGTGCCTCAGCAGGGTCGCAGGCATTGCAGGGGCATCACGTTAGTCAGAGCATGTTGGCATGGAGGCCACTCAGCCCAGGGAGGCAGGACTCACGCCCCAAATGGAAGGCACGCAGTCGTGCCTGCCTAGAGGCGTTAATATTGTGCCACACTTTGGGGGTGAGGATCTGGCAACTTTATACCTTTTTGAGTTGTCTTTTCAAGTCTGTAGGATCAGCCCACAGCTTGGTTCCTGTGAAGTGAGCTTGCTGTGACTGCTTCTTCAGGGACAACTGTGGTCATCTTGGGGAGATGCCTTGGGGTCTGTGGCAAGAGGCAAAAAGGAGAATGTGTGATACTCAGAATGCATTAAAGCGTGCTCTTACAGAGCAGAAGTCAGTGGCTGCTCACCAGAGAGGGGCCTGGGGGTTGAGAAAAGCAAAAAAATGGATGGGCTTCTATCAGATTTCAACACTGATGAACTCCAGTTGGGGGGCAGGTGCCAGCCAGGGCTATTAAATAATAACAGGAGGGGCTGCCATAGGATGACAGGATGGGGGAGGGTGGGGAGGGGAAGAGGAAGGGGACGTGCTCCAAGAAGGCACCCAGCACCAGTGGTCTCATTAGCTTTTTGCTATCAGTCCTCAACTACATTTGGGGGACAGTTCCTGACCAGGCAATCTGTCAGCAAAGGGGTGCTGCAATCTGTCAGCAAAGGGAAGAGGGGAAGTTTGGGGTCTTAACTGGCTCTCTACTAAGATACCCAGAGGAATGCCTTCATTTGCATAATAAACCAGAGGAAAATTTGAGTCTGCCCCTGAGTTCCAAAGGTTCTGGGTACCAGGGCTTGAATCCAGCAGTGTGACTATTCGTGCCTCAGTTTTTTCATCCTGAAATTTGGAAAGTCGTTCTTTCCATTGTGATATTCTCTAGCTAGAACCCAGAGAGGATAAGAAACTGCCTCATGGTAGCCTCCCAGGGGAGAAGGTTCTAGTAGGAGATGGCCTCAGAGCAAGGACTTCCAGCCTCCCATCCTCTGGTGGTCTGGGAGGATCACAGGATGTCAAGGCCTTGCTCCTGTGGCCTTGATTCAGATTAGCTGTGGTTCAAGACTGCCTGTGTGGCACATGTGGATACGTGCAAGGTCGCTGAGGCAGTGCTGTGCCCTTAAAGTTTATCTGCTTTTCCAACCCAAAAGCAGACTCCCTAAAGGGTAGGGAATGCCTCATTACTCACTGGGCCCTCCTGCAGCTCCTGGCATGGAACTGACACATAGTTGGCACTGGCAATGCACATACTTACTAGATGTTAAAGAAGTCCAGAACCAGAACCAGAGGCACATAAATAGGATCTGCATCAGCAGTGGGTTAGAGAAAGGGTGGGAAACTAAGTGAAATCTTAGAATGCATCCAAGGAAGTAGATCAATTTGAGCTTTAACTACTGGAGAATGGCCCCTGAGAAGGCCCCATTTGTTCACACGTATAGCTAATTGTATATACCTTTGAGGAATGCAAGAGCCGGCAGGAAATTCCCCTCCTCCTGAACCACAGAGTATTTCTGGGTGGGCATCGATTGTCTATGGGCCATGGCGTAAGACCCCCACCCCCCGACCCCCCGGCAACAAAAGTATCTTCTTGCTCCCTAAAAAAAAATGTATGGAGACTACATATCCTTGCCTGTCTAGTCAGCCTTGGTTAATTTCATAAAGTAAAGGGGCCCTGAGCCTGCCTGCCCGGCCGAGTTTAGAGTTGAAAGGGAAACGTCTTTGAGGTGGAAACCAATTGCATGGATCAAATGGTCCTGATGGTGCATAGAGCCTTAGGTTTGGAAAGAAGTGAAGGGCCTTGCCGCCTTGCTGGGGACTTGAGCCTCTCAGCCATTGGTGCTCTCTGGAGCTGCCCGCCCACCAGGGGCAATGGCCCTTGTTGGCCTCCAGGCCCCCTCCTTCCCTGGATGCTGTGCTGTTCTCCTCTTGGTCTTGTTTCATTGGCTGTGGCAGAAACTTTGGTCCCAACAAGGCCCAGGAAACAGACCCTAGCAAAGACCTGAGGCAACTGGGTGCCCCAGGACCACAGGAACTCATGTGTGCTGTGAGGGCTTTAAGAGCTTTGAAGTGGGGAGTCTCTGACGTGGATCAGGGCTATGGGTGCTGATGCTGTCAATAAGCCACACGCAAAGGTTGGGTCAATATGACTGCTTCTCAGACCCTCTTCGGAGGCAGACTCTCCCTCACCTGCCTGGCCAAATTCCCTCTGGGCAGAAGGACCCTAGGGAGCTTTTCCTGGCCCATGTGGCAGAGGCCCAGGCTCCCACTCAGACAATGACCCCTTGCTTTGCCCACTGAAAGAAGTCCCCAGAAGATGAGCTCTGTTACAAGCAGAACAGAAAAGAAACAGTGGGATTAGGGCTCCAAAAACCCTCCAGAACTATCAGAGAATTCTGGACAGTGGTCCCTGATGGCATCTGTGTTAGGGGCTGGGAACAAGAACCCCTCTCACAGGCACCTCTACAGGCGGGGTTAAGACTGTCAAATACTGGCCGAGGCCAAGGGAGACTCTGTCATGTCTGAGGCCATAGGCATGTTTTCTTCTGGACTTCAGCGAGAGGCAGAGCCCCCAGCCCCATGCAGTCACCTCAGCTCTGCCTGAGAAGAAGCGAGGGAAGCCCATTCCTCCCCATCAGTTGGCCTCTGGGGAGGCAAAGTCAAGTATGTGATGGTTCCTTACCTGTGCAGGGAAAATGGAACTTGGGAGTCAGCTGTCTGAAGGCATCACGCCTTGTATGACCCTTGCAAGCCCAAGCTACCTACCTGTTCCTGTACAGAAACCCTCCCTGGCCTCATCCTGTGGGTGGCAAACCCACATATTCAGTTATTGCTGTTTTCTTCCTTCCTTGGATACTTGTCTCCAATAAATATTTACAGTGGGACCCACAGATGAACCTTAGCCCCAAACATAAGATAGCTATGTCAAAAGGGGTCCTGGGACAGTGATACCCCAGGGGGGTCAGGCAAAAACAGAAGCAAGCCTCTTGGCCACCTCCTCCCTTAGCCTTCTGCGTAAAGATGGACTTGCAGGAGGAGAACACACCCTGCAACTACAGAACCTCATGGTACGGAACCACCAGGGGATCCTCGCCCACGGCCCTGGGTGGAATTGATGTTGGGAAGATAGATTAGTAGTGAGGCGCATCACCCCACTGTGACTCACCTTCTTCTGCCCCCACGCCTGTCCTTCAGACCATCTCCCTGCTGCGGCAGAGCCACTGAGTTCAGGGAGCAACTGTGGGCAGATGAAATTGGGCTGTGGTGGGTGTGGGAATCCCTGTGGACTTCCAAAAGCACTTCGGTTTCTGCCCTGCTTGGCGTGGTTCCAGAACCCAGGGTGGTGGCGAGGTGGGAGCTGGCAGAGCGCAGGGAAGAAGTTCCAGGATCAGAGCTCACCTTTCTGTTCTTCACCCTGATCTGTTCTTCCCTGATCAGTCCTCCCAGACTGCACTGGAGAGTGAGGCCTTTGCCTGTTCGGATTTGCTGCCTCGTGTGTTTCAAGCTGCCCACACTTCACAGGCTGCTTCGAAGCCCTCCCTACCCACCCCGTGAGAAACGCCCCTGGGGAGAGGCAGAGATGGGTCTTTTAGTCTTGCAGCCCTTGTTTGTTTAAAATGTCAGGCTGACTTCTTCTCAATCCCAGAAATATTTTACTGGCATGGCTTCAGCAAACATGACTCAAAGCCTAGAAGGACATGGCCAGATCTCACTGAGTGACCATTTAGTCCAACCTGAGGACTGATGTTAGGAGGAAAAATTCTTTCTCCAGGTCAAATTAGACTTCTGCAGATCAAATAGGATACCAAGAGAAGGAGGCACTTTGGCCAGGATGGGGAGGGGCTAAAGAGCAGGAAACAAGCTTGGGGCGAGCTGGAAATATGTGTAACACAGGCTTGTAGGAGCACAGGCTTCCAGTGGCAGGGAAATCTCCAATTGGGTGTGTAGTAAAGACTTAAACCTGTTAAAATAAATTGATTAGCCAAAGATCTCTGCTCAGTGCTCTTTAAACTCTAACATCTGTTCCCAGTAAATAATTCACATAGCAGATATTAACTAGGAGGCTTAAAAGGAGGAGATGGCAGCTTAAAACATGCACTGAGATGCCTCTTTGCCTAAGAAATGCACACCCAAACCCACACCCAGGTGTTAAGGAAAAAGTGCTGATGGTGCTGCTTCCTCCCTCTGTCCCTTGTTCCAGGCTGCACACCTGGTCCTACCCCTGTCCCTAGTAGGCTGGCATCTTCACAGCTCCTTCCTCCCACCCCAGGACAAGGGCCCCTGGAACACTGGCCCGCAGCCACAATAAGGGTGTCCATGGATTCCTAGGACTACAAGTGGTGGAAGGCAGCCCCTTCTCCAACCCTCCCTGTCACACATACACCCTCCCCTGCAGCAGGCAGACAGCTCTTGTTTGCTGAGGCTCTGCTGGAGTCCTCCTTACCTGTCCCTCACCAAGGGACAGATGCACCTCCGATAATGGGCAGAAGTTGGGTGTCAGTGATGGGAAGATTCTAGACCACTCCCTAGGAGATAGCCCCTTCTCTTCCCTTAAGCATCTCCCTCCCGACTTGGTTTTCTGGATATTCCAAGAATATCCTTTTCCTTGCCTCCTTTGCTCAGCAGTTTCCTGCGGAGTTCCAGTGTCTTCAGCAGATCACCATTGCTTTCAACTTTGGAAGGAGCAGGCCTTCTGGGGACACCCAAGACATTCCTGGGCAGAGTAGGTGGCTAGCTTCTCCAGGTAGGGCAGCCCAGCTCCTGTCTGCATGGAGTTGGAGCTGCCACCACCAGGCCTGGTCAGGGGCCCAGGGTAAAGCTAGTTCATACTGTCTTTTCTGGGTGAATAGTTCGAGCTCACTGAGACTACCTGGGAATTGAGAAGATGCACAGGAAAAGTACTTTATACCCTCGGATGTCTACTCTCTATCAAACATTGCAAGAGTTTTGTAAGGACAGGGTGGCCTGGCTCCACACTCACTGGCAGGTGCTGCCCTCAAGGGGCTGCTCCTCCTTTCAGGTAGAAGAGGGTTTCTCAGGTTCTGCTGGTGAACCAAGGTCGCTGAGTACCATCTTCATTGGCACTGTAGCCCGTTTGACCCAAGGCTAGAATCCAGCCCGGGCGGGGACAATGCTTTCTGGCTGGCACCCAAAGCAACAGGTGGGAGAGCTCTGGTGGGAGTCATGTGTCTGCCCAGGTGAAAAGATTCCAGAAATTACCCACACATCATTTTCTCCGTGAATTACCTGAGCATTAATTCCTGAAAGCTTTGATCTCCAAAAGGGCCTGGCTTGATTCTTTCAGAATCTCTCAGTGCTATGTTATTGCAATAGCCATTTTCCTTCTGATCAGAGGTCATTGGAATAGAACAGAACTGTATGGAGTTCTCTTGGATTGAGAAGTGGAAGAGTCACTGTGCACTCTCTTATTCCACACTTTCAGAGCCAAAATCCAGAAAGAAGGGGCAGTAACCCTCATAGGTACTTCACTCCTGGGAAACCCCCTCTTCACTAGAGGTTGAGTCAGAGACCTAGTGAGTTCCTTGGACTCCCGCAGGCAGGGCTTAGTGGTTGGTGATCAGTGCGGATGGGCAGGAGGGTGGACTAAGCAGAGTCACAGTGGGCTTACTAATCTGTGCAGGGCTGCTGTGGCATGGGGGTAGAAGCTAGCTGGCTTCATTTTTGAAGAACTTTTAAGTCCATGAGACTCCGGCTTTCAACAAGGGTGTAGGATGGCCAGGGAAGTATGCCGGGCCTTGGCATTTCTATGTTAGTTGGAAGGATCAGGCTCGAGGCATCTAAACACAGACTTGGGCAGGTGCTGTGAAGAGAAGGACCATCTAACATTAGAAACTTCAGTGGAGGTGGTGAAGGATATGCAGTCTCCTTGGGGATAGAGGACAGAACTTCTTTCCTAGGGCGGAAAGGAGGGGGTCCCTTGGCTGGAGGGCAATGTGGCCTCTCTGGGCAGAGTGGGTTGTCCTTGGCTGGAAGGAAGGCTGAGGGGTAGCTGGGATGGGGCTCCAGACTCGGTCACATGTCCTGTCATTTAGAATGGCAGCTGTGGAAACCTCCATCTGACCAGTATTTGGAGAGACTTTAGATGGATGATGGGCTCAGTGGCCGATGGCCAAGTTAAGTGGCTCTCTTATCCACAGGGATCAGCATTTCTTAGCCTCTATTGAGAGGTGCCCTTACTCCAAGAGCAGAACACATGAAGTGAATGAGAAACTAGAACCCTTCCCCATGCATCCAGCAAGAAAGCATTGCCTGACACACATTCCCGGACATGGTGGGGGCATGCCTCTGGAAGCCAGAGGTGGGCTTAGCTAGGCAAGTGTGGATTGGTCAAAAGCCAAACTGTCCTGACCCTTGCCTGTCCCCCTTGCTGCGACCCAGAGGCTTACTTTCTCTCTCCAGTTACTGGTAGGAGGCATCTGAGTGTCCAGCTAAGGGTAAGCATGGCATCTGCAAAGGCAGAGTGTAGGGCTATAACCATGTAATCAGTGAGAGAGGGGGTAAAGGCCTCTGCATCCTGCTTCTTCTCCATCAGTGCATGCTGAACCCAAGGTCTCCTGGTCTCAGAGGGGCCAGTGCCGGGAGTGAGTGCTTTCCTGTTGTTATTTCTAGATTGGCTAGAAATGCAGGCAGGGCCAAGAGCACGTGTCTCATAAATACACGTTCCTCTCCCCCACCGCCTACCGTCCTACCCCGGGCTTCCCAGACCTCTTCTCAAGGCCTCTATGAAGTGCCTCACGGCCCTCTGGCCCAGGCCTGCTGTAGCAACATGGAGAGCTCTTCATCGTCTGCTTCATCTGATCAAACCCTGCCCTCTGTTCAGGTCTCAGTTCCAATGCCATTCCCTGGATAACACGTTTCCTTCAGGCAAGGCAGCTGCCAGGGACATGTCTGTGAGCCACTCCCTCATAGCACCCAGCACAATTTGAAACCCAACATTGATTTGTGTGATTATTTGATTAATGTCTCCCTCGCCTCCAAGACAGACCTCACCTAATTGAGCTGAACATCTTTCCCGGCCTCTGGCACTTAATAGGTACTCAATAAATATTTGTAGAATGCATGAATGCCAGGGTCGATGTGAGTTCTCTCCTTTTCCGCACACTCACCTGTGTAGCCCTCGTTCATTGGGCAGTTGGTTTGGATGACTTGGCTGCCCTGTACCACGAGGCGAGGTGGCCCAGGGAGAGAAGAGGGATGAGGCGCAGAGGGAGTGGGAGGCCCGTCTGACTGTCATGGGCATAAAGGTGACGGGGGAGGAAACCCAGAGAAACTTACAGAACAACAGTGAAGGGCTGGCAGAGGAAGATGGCCCAGTATCGGGGGAGGGGGAGTGAGAGGAGGTTCGAGAAGAAGACCAAAGGAGTAACGTAACGAGAAATGTCTGTGCCATTGCTGGGGGCTGGGGGCAGAGTTGGAAGGGGCGGGCAGGGCTGTTGCTGCAGATGCCACGAGGGAAACGTTATTGGGTGCTGGCCCAGGTGTGGGCAGAGGCACCCTCGAGGGCTGAGGTAAAGTGCACACCCAGCATAAAGAAAAGGGAACCGAGGGTTTTAAAGCTGGTGCAGCCTTTCTGGAGGGCCATCTAACAAAAAATATTTAAATAGAAATAAAAAGCAGAGCCATTTTTGAGACTCTCTCCAACAGAAATAATACAGAACGCCATGAGGATAAGCATAAAGGGATAGTTGTGGCAGCCTGGCAGTGTTTAAAAACACGGGGAACAACCTGAGTGCCTGCTAAATGGGGAGCCCTTACACTCATGGCACATCCACAGAATGGGGTGCAGTGCAGTCTCACAGAGTGTGGCTGGGCATGTACACTGATCTGATGTGGAACCATGTTGGTACATGGCTTGAAATGAAGCAAGCTGCAGAATAATATGTGTACTGGGATCTCATATATGTTTTTGAAACCAACTCCTACTTATGTGCATAAAACTACATTATGTTTGCGTGTAGTAAACTCTGGAAGGACACATGCTCCACCTTTAACACCATTCAGGGCAGGGTGAGAGGAACTCACACATTTGACTCTTCAGTGTTCTTGAAATAAACATGGATTTCTTCTGTAATAAAAAGGAAAAGGAAAGGTTGTAGGATGTGGCAACGAAGAGGGGACTGAGTCTCTGGGGGATGAGACCCATGAGCTGGTGGGAGAGGAGGCCAATTATGCCAGATGAAATGGACAGGAAGGGTGGGCGGGCCTTCCATAGATTGGGAAGATCCTCCAGATAATTCTGATAAATGGCAATTTTGAAAGAGGACGCTAGCTTAAGGAAGGGGGGTAGTGGAGGGAAGGTTTAAATCTAATGGGAGGTAGGCTGTCGGGGAGGGAGGTGAGGGCAGAAGGAACTTAACATAAATCTGGGGAGAGGGATACTTGGCTGCAGGGCCAGCCTGGGGTAAGCAGAAAGGCTGGCATGTCCCAAAGCCCAGGGAAAGGCATAACCCTACAAAAGGGCAAGGAGCACATTGGAGGTAATGGGAGACATGGACAGATGACGTGAGGCTGGAGGGCTAGGGGGGAGTTCACAATTGATGGCCGAGGTGTTTATCAGTGAACTAAGAGTGGATGTTGTCAACTGATAGGGACGAGAGTTTGAGGGTAATGATAAACTCTGGGAATTGGGGGAAAAGGGCCAGCATGAATTAGCAAAACTGACTGGTAGGCAGCAGCAGAGGGGGCCCTGCCCTGCTGAGCTGTGAACTATACATTTGTGATGGAAGAAACTGGTAGTTATGCATTTTTCTCTTAGCAGAGCTACAGTATAAGGCTTGAGAAAATGAAAGGTTCCACTGTTCCAAGGCTGGAGACCAGCAAGGCAAGCCCAGCATAAAGAAAAGGGAACCAAGGGTTTTAAACAGATTGACCATGAGGTAGAGAAAAACATGATATGTAACCGAAGGGCTTCAAGTTGGGATGAGCAGCCATAACATGTTTCCAGAGAAGGGAGTGGTGGGAAGCCAAGGCGGGGGATCCACAGGTAATGCTGGGTTCAAGGTTTGGCTGTGGGGATGGGTTGCAGAAGTGGAGATGAGCAACAAGTCCCCTTGGGGGTTGATACAATTGTTTAGGCTGAGCCGTATGGGGCAGAGATAAAACTGGTGAGTCTGAGGCCAGAGCTCTCCATTCATTCATTCATTCAACAAATATTTATTGAGCATCTACTATGTGCTAGGCATTCTTCTAATAAGCTCCTGTGGGGATGTAAATGTGGAAGTACATCGGGTTGTTGATAGATGAAGATGGGAAGGAGATGGTCATGTGGCATGAGAGGGCTCCAAGAGGAAGAGGAAGCATCACCAAGAGGAATTAGAATGGTCAGGAGCGGGAGGAAAGAAGCCAGTAAGGCACAGTCCTGGAGGCCTTGCCTGAGGGAAGATAGAAAAGAGAAGAGCCTTACTGTAAATTTCAGAAGACTTGGAAGAGGAGCCACCCTCAGGGAAAGACAGGTTTTGGATAAGGGGAAGAGACGCCAGGAAGCGAGTGTCTGCGGCTTCCTCATGCAACGTGGCCTGCCTTCCCAATCCCCTCTGGGCTCACAGGCTGCTACCCAGCCAAGGGGAAGGGCAGGGTAAAGAGCAGGGGACATCTGTCCTCAGATATCACAAGGCTCTATCCCCAGGATTATGGCACTCTCCTTTGTGACCAGCTCTGGATTTTGGCCCTCGCCCACTGAATGCAAGTACAGAGAAACAAGAAGGCTAAAGAGGAACGGGTGGAGCAGATACAGTGCCAAGAGACAGGGTTCCGTGAGGAGCCAGACATGGTGAACACAGAGGAGCAGAAGCCCCAGGACATTTCTGAGGGAAGAGGTAGATGAACACAGTGGCAGGGCTGGAAGACAGTCATACCCCGAGGAAAATGTGACCCCCAAAGAAGTCAGGGCTACTGCAGGGCAATCACTAGACACATCTGGTTCCACCAAGTCTTAGGGGATCCCGTTAGACGGCAGCAGTCCCTCTGATGGCTTCTTCCTGTCGTTGGGCCACTCTGAGGCATGAGAAAGAAGAGGTCCGGGGGGCAATGGTGGGTCAGTGGTGCAGAAGAGCCTGGGTGGAGGTGGGCGGTGATGGCCTGGGCTCGCTCTGTGGCTCTCAGGGAGGCTGCCTTTCCTTCCACCTCGACACACCGGCCCTCTCCCACATTTTACTTTTCAGATGGAGGCTCCACTTTTTAGTGTCAGCTGCTTTTTCACCGGTCCCGTTCCCTCTACCACCAACCTTGTCATTTGACTTGAGTATCCTGGTCTTCGTCATTTGGCTTGACTATTCTGGTCTTCATTCCCTGTCCCTTGAGGTGTGGGTGTGGCAGGTCCCCTATGCACTCATGTCCATCAGCATGACAATTGCAATCAAGTTCTGCTTTTTAGGTTCCAAAGGAAGCTGGAGATGACCTAGAGCCTTTGGCTTCTCCGCCTAACATCCGCTTGGGCAGGTGGGCTGCTCTGAGTCTGGAATGGTCTTTTTGGAATGGCTAGAGGCAGGAGCCATTTGTGGGGGTGTGGAAAGTCACTGGTGGAAATATTTTCCTCCTTTTGTCCTGGAAAGCCTTTGGGATGCCCTCAGGGCTGGGTGAAAGCCAGCCAGAAGGTGATGGGGTGTTGCCCTTTCTTCTCCCAGCAGGGAAGGGGAGAGAAGGAGAACACGAAGTGAGGCATGGGAATGAGACAATGGTGGGAAAAGAGGACGCTGGAAGGAAGATCTACTCTTCCAGTCTGCAGGTGGCCCCCGAGGAGCCGCAGTAGGTCATGGTAGGGGAGAATTACAGGCGGGGAAAGTGCAAAGCTGCTTAGAAGAGGGTCCAGGGTGGAAGGGTGGAAAGCAGAAAGTCCTGGAAGTGGATCTGCTTCCAAGGTCGGGAGTGGGAACGTGGACGTGTGCTCACCTCACCTGCAGTTAAACTCCAAGGGGCTCCTTTGAGGAGAAAGAGGGGACACCGTTGCGGAGAATAGGGCTCCTTCCTTTTTCCTCCCCACCTCCCCACTGCGCAAATGCTGGAGGTTTGAGCAGTTAGGGTTCTCAGAAGGGCCTCGCAGATAGCACCAGTGGTTTATTGGGGGTTGGGAGGTGTGTCTTGAGGCTGGGCCATGAACTGGAAGTGTGGAGTGACTTTTTGCCTGGCCACACCCCCCAGCCACCCCTCCCGGGGCTTGGCCTTGGTCACGGCCCATTCTGGAGCCTTGGGCTCAGCTCATGAGTGCACACTGCTTTCTGCTGGGACCAGCAGTCTCACAGTTGCCTGGAAACCATTCTGGTTTTTCACAAACCTTTGCCTGCCTTTCATTCACCACACACAGGAAGAGCCTGCAGCTAGCAATGCTATGCACACTGTGTGGCCTGAGCTGTAAGAAAGGCCATAGCTAGAGCTTCTGCCAGGGCAGGGGCACTAAAGACAGACTTGCAGTTCAGCCACAGGACTAGGCCTCTCTGCTGCTGAGCTCCCAGCGGGGTCCCACTGCTCCCTCCATTATCCTTATAGGGCTCTCTCTGAGTGGATCTAAACCCTTCTTCAAATTTATTTTTAGCATAGAATACTCTACAGACAGAAGAGCTTACCTGCTTTATTCAATGGGTTCTTGCAGCCCAAGGGATGCCTTAGCCCTGATATTGTAGTATTCGTAGGCTGATTCATGATCCCTGCCGACATATCCTTAAAAGACTGGATAGATGCTACACACAGCTCAGCCCAGCCCTCTTCTTTCTAGAACACCCCCATCCCCAGCTGCCTGACACCCTTCTCTGGACTAGAAAAAGCCTTGTAACATCTTGCTTCACCGACAACAGAGTGAGTGGGTTTCCTGTGCGGAAACACCTTGCTTGGGTGAAGTGTCAGATGAGGCTATATTTTGCTTGGTTGTTCGTCCTCCATCATTCTATTGGCCTCCTGTGCTCAGCGGCACCCGGATCCTCCTCCTTATCTCAGGGCCACACCTTACACTTGTCCACTCGGAATCTGTCTTCTACTTCCCTGCGCCCTGGGCTGGTCCTTCTGCAGCTTCTCTCCCTGTGGTTGAAAATCTAACCACCCACTGTTGTCATTTCTCTTTTGTGTATCCCATTTCCCCATTGAAAATAGCATTCAATAAGACAGGTTCCAGCATGCCTCCTCTGACCACCCCACTGGTAACAGTTCTGCACTCAGAAACACACATGCTCAGCCCTGCTTTGGGGTTTTGCTTTTGGTAAACCATTTCTCTTATCCTTACAAATTTTTGAAACATCATCTTTCTGTCTCAGATTGCTTCCTCCTTAAAAACCCAGCCCCCAGGGACCTGCCTGTTTCATCTTTACCCCATGCCTCTAGTGGCTTTCTTGCTTAGCCAGGTGACACTTTTCAGACAGTTTAGGGATGGCATTGAGGTGGGAGGAAGGCAGGCTCTCTGGATCCTGCCCACCCCTGCCTTTCCCTTAGCCTTCCCTGCGGTGGTACAAACACACAGACCCTTTCAAGTGAGGGCTTCATTGGCAATTCGTCCAGACAATACAAAAGGAGGGTCAATAAGGGGAAGGGACGAAGGCTCCAGGAAGGTCACTGGGTCCTTCTAGTTTACTTCCTGGTCCCTACTGCAGTGTCCATGACGATCCTCAGTCTGTCTTGGGTGTCTTGAATGGTGCTGATATAGTCCCCCTGTTTCTGCTCTTTCTCACATTCTTCTCCAGGGCCTGTTCCCAGCAAGATCCCTGTGCCCAATATCTTGCATTTGCATTGAAGAGGCACTGGCTGCGCCAGGAGAATGAAGTCGGAGAGATATCTCTCCAGGCATCTCCCTGCTGGCTGGCGTGGGCTGCCTGCATCCCTCAGGGGAAGGCATGGCTCTGGCCTGGCTGCCCTCTCTGAGTCTGTTCATTGTATATGGAACCTTCTTTACCCACCTTGCACACCCTTGCTCTTTCAGGTTGTCTTCTACTCAAGGCAGCAGGTCCAAACTTTTGTCATGATAAAGAGTCAGATCACTGAGCTCTGCCAAAAATACCTGGTTTGGTAGGGTCTCGGCTCCTGCTGGCTCCCTGGCGGATACAGTCCTTCTCTCCAGTGTCGTTTCTCAACCTCTTAAATCCAGGTTTCCTCTCCGTAAATGGAAAAACCTCATGCTCTGCCAGCAATTCTAATGCACCTTTCAGGCACTTTGGGAAGCGCACCTCACCTAGGATGACTCGCGCCCTGGAGGCTCGGGAAGGACAGGCTGTTTGCTCTGCAGCCCATCTGCCAAGGTTTTGCCGAGCTCTACATTGGGTAGCTTGTATTGCGAAAACACTTGTTGGCTTATTTCCTAAATGCAAAATTCTAATATGCTTTGATTCAAAAGGAAACTCCCTGAGATTCTGAGGCCCTTCTGAGACCTCTAGGTAGAATGGCTGGATAGGAGGCCTGAATTCTGGGAGAAGGGTGGGACCAGGGATGGGAGAGGTGTGAGAGTTTCCCACATTCTGTCTTAAGAGAAAAGCCCCAGAAGGAAAGAGATTAACCCAGAATTTTGGAGAAAGTTGTCATTAAGAGGCAGGTGGAGGGACTGGTTAAAAAAGGGTGAAAAAGTGGTGGGGTCGGGTGTAGAAAGAGAGCAATTAGGAAAAGTGGCACTCCAGGAAGTTAAGGGACAAGTCTCAACAGAGAGCATGGGTGACAATGTCAAATGCCACCTAAATATTATGTGCTGGAGGCCTGAGCAGTGTCCTGTGGATTTAGCAAGGCTGCTGGTGAGCTCAGCACAAGCTGCTGCTGTGGGGTGAGTGGAGGGCGCATTGGTGCCACCAGGAGGGAAGGAAGGAGTGGCCCACTAGCAGCCTTAGTGGAAGATGCCCTAGAGAGGAGAGGGGTTGAGGATTTCTGGATCGAGGGAGAAGACTGCAGGGCTCAAATCCTGGAGAGGCTGGGGAGGAGGGTCCAGGGCCAGACCTTGGGAGAGAGGAGGCCCTGTCAACTGGCACATGGGAAGGTCAGGAGGCAGGCGAAGGCCGCTGGGCTCTGGGCCCTACTGTCCTCAGTGAAATAGCTGCTGAGGATATTTTCTGAGTGTCTGGCTAGTGGTTGCAAAAAGCCCAGAGGAGGTTGCAAGAGGTGAGGCAGCTGATCAAAGCAAGTGGAAGGGTAGGCCCCGAGGCCCAGCTGGAGAGGGAGGCAGAGGTTCCTGGCGCTGTGGCTGTGCAGAAGCAGCTTTCCTGCAGCCTGAGTGCCTGTGGAGCTGGGGTGGGAAGGCAGAGCGGACACTAGCCTGGGTTGGGGATTGTAAGGAGGCTGAGCTGAGCTGTAGGGACAAAGGCCCAGCGATGTGGATGCTGGTGAGAGTAGCTCCAAGAAGTGAAAGAAGGAAGGGAAGCCTGGATGTTGAGAACCCAGAGAGACTCTGGAGCCCTCCATGAGGTTGGAAAATGGGAACTTTTTTCTTTTTTTTTTTTTTTACAATGACTATTTGATTATCTTTGTAGTCAGAAAAAAAAAGTTGAAAAGTCAAACTGCCTGAATGCCCGTTAACAGTATAATGGATAAATAAATTGTGTATTTCTACAATGGAATACAACTGCATGATACAGCTTCCAAACCTAACTGTCCCACATAAAAGGGCTAAATATTATTAGCAATCATTTGTGTAAGGTTCAAAAAACAGGCAAACGTAATCTGTGGGGTTAGATTCCAGGTTAATGATTATGTTTGGGGAGGGAGGTCACAGGAAAGTCCAGGGAGGGAGGCTGGTACTATTCTGATTGCTGACCTAGATGTTAGTCACATGGGTCTAGTCAGTCGTTGAAATGCACTGGCCTGGAAATTTATGACACGTGTGTGCATTTTTCTGTGTGTTTGTTCTACTTGCATCAAAAATTGACTTAAAACCAAAAAGACTAACATGAAGCAATTCCACTGGGGTTCGAGGCCAGTCACTTCTGCAGTCACCTGTAATAGATGTTGGTCCACCCTGTGGTCAGCCAGAAACAGCAACTGTCAAAGTGGTGGTGATCCTTCCTGTCCCCTGCTCAGGGGAAAGAGCCTCCGCCTCTGTCCCGGTCCCCTGCCCTCCATCCAGATGGTCAACCACACCGTAAACATGAAAGGCCATTTCCCCTCCGGAAGCCTCTGCTCTCCACCCATGGCTCTGCAAGTTGCACCCTGCACTGGGGGGCTCATCTGTGGGGCAGAGACCCAGCCCCAAGCAGCAGGCTGAGCAGGGTGCCAGCTGCCCTGGATCCACCCAGAGGGGGATACCTTTTTGTAATATACCCAAAGATGTGCAGTGGATTCAAAACAGCCCTGCTGCGGGTTTTGGGGGCAAATGTTTCTGAGGCCTTGCAATGTCTGGACCAGAAAAAGGATTCTGAGGCTTTCATAATAGTGTTAAATTAACAATAGTCACAGTGCCTATGGTGGGTAAAGAGGGTTCTAGTGCTCAAAGTTCTTGGGTGTACATCATCTGTGACCAGGGCTTTGCCCAAGTTCTGGCAAGAAGGGTAGAGGCATCACTCCTGGCTAAAGTGTCTAAGGTTTCTGGAAGACAACCCGGGGTGGCCAGGCTCTGGATGTGAGAAGGCCGATTTGGACAGGGTGCTCCATGTTGCTTCTCCCTCACCTCCGTGTGTCATCGGCAGACCGGATGGACGTCTGTCATTCATTTGCAAAATGTGTGTGTCTGGGGTTCTGTGTGTCCCGCGCTCATTCTAGCCTGATGGAACCCTTCTGTAGCCCTGAACATTCTTTAATTCCTGCTTCTGAGGTCTGTGAGGAGCCCCTCAGGTGTGGGTGGGGAATGAGGCCCCCTCTCCAGCCCTCTTTCCCAGCAGGCTCCCTGCTCCCAGTGGCCTCTAAGGCTCTGCATTTAGCTGCCTGTGACATCCAGTTATGGGCCTAGTCTTTTTGTTCTGCAGGACACTTTTTGTTTTGTTTTGCTTTGTTTTGTTTTTTTCATTTTCAAATATTCTCCAAGGCTTCCTGTGGAGTTTTTGCTCTTTAAACAGTTCCTTTTGATATTTTTCCTTACCAATGACCACATTTCATCATCATTCCTCTTCCTGAAATGAGGTATTTTAGGGGTATATTTGGGGCCCACTCTGCCACCACAGCATTAAATATTATTATGTGGGCATCGGGAGCCTCAATGCCCCGTCACAGAGCCCTCCTACTCCAGGGTCTGTCACTTTGGAGAATGAGCCCAGTTCCTTTCCTCTCTCTGTGGATTTGAAAACTCTATATTTGAGGACGCTGCCAGGTGTCTTAACAAAGAGCCGCACCTCGGCGTGTCATCCACATGAGAGAGTTGGCAGTCGGAGCCAAGAGAAGGACATTTCATCCCGAGGGTGGGTGGGAGTGGCCATGCCAGGGACGACGCATTGAACTAATCACCCAGAAAAGTGATGCCCCTGGAAGGACAGCCTTCTAGGAAGCTTTGGGGACATTTCAGGGCAATTAATAAGATGGGATATTGTGATTAAGGAAGACACAGCTTTGCTGCAGCTGTTTGCTTATCTACGTACAGTAGAACTGTGTGTTTACCCGACCCGTGGGCACCTCCTAGTCTCTTATCTTGCTGCAGAGTTTTTACTCTGTTGTGGCCACTCACCACTGACCAAGGCCAACGCCTGAGTTCTTCCACTCGCCTTCATCGATACTCCACGCCAACCACTCCGTGTCAACACTTGCTTTTCTAGCCTGGTGGCACTTGTGGAGAGATTATTACATACTTGCCTTTTCTGCTACGCCCCAGGCCTGTCAGTTGTCAGATTAGGCAGATCAATTTTGTTGTTGCCTCCCTCTTTTTGAATGCCTTTCCATGTCTTCCTGATCACTGATTGTCACAGGGTTGGTGGCCATCAGAATCTCATGCAGTTTGATGCTGATTTGTATTTTTTTCCTATTTTGGTTGAAAAACTGCCCTGATTCACGCTTCACTCCCAGCAGCTTAGAGCCATTCGTCCAGCCTTTGCGTTTGGTCTCAGAGCCCCACTGTGTCTTGCAGCTTGCAATGGAACTGAGGATGTACAGGAGAGTAGGATGAAAACACTGGGGCTGAAATGCACATCTCCAGGCATGGGGTGGGAGGCATAGAATGGAACTGCTGTGTGACCAGAAACAGCCTCAGGCCTGTGGAGAGGGCGGCAGTGGACGCTTGCTAAGTGTGGATTGATTTGGAGCTGGAGATCCTGGAATCCAGGAGCAAGTGAATAAAGGGGCTAAGGAGATAGCGAGGGGGAGGCCGAGAGAAGCAGCCTGAGAAGATGCAGACCTCCATGGCGGTTCAGGCCAGCTCAGGGAGGCTGAGGGACGGGCATTGGGCCTGGGGGGGCAGGGGGGAAGGATGCCTGGGAGATGAGGCCCACTTTTGGACCACATGTGACCAAAGGATCAGCAATCCAGTAGAAACCTGTCTTCTGCAGCCACTCTTTTGTAGCTCTGCAGGCTGCCTACTCTGGGGGCCTTGTCTCTGGCTGTGGCTCCAACTCCTGCCCTCCCCTCCCTACCTGCTGCCTGCCTGCCTGCACCAACCACAGTCCATGTCAGCCCATTCCCAGGCAGGCGGTAAGCACCTCTTCCCTGGAAACTAAGGTGGACACACACTGCCTGTCTCCCTCTGACTGTCCCCAAATCCAGTGACCTGAGCTCCTGCAGCCAGAGCCTCTCCCGACCCGTTCCTTATCCCAGCAGCTCTCAGCTGGTGTGGACTCACAGGCCAACCACCACAGGCTTTGGAGGCACACAGAGGACCACAGAGGCAGAGCCTCATTTCCCGCTGGATCGTCCTCTGCCCGGTGCTAGGGATTCCATGGTGTCATTCAAGAGTGCTGCGACATTTTTTATTCTTTGGTATCTAGGAATCTGCGACTTCCCACTTTTCTTTCTCATTCTCTGTCCACTCTTTAAGGCCTGGCTGGAGCCCTTCCCCTTCACGAAACCCCTTTTGTCCACTCCAGCCCACACAGTCTCCCCAGTCCACTTTTTTTGCAGCCCAGATTCATTTAGCCTTTATTATGCTCAGTTTAGGCGTCACTCTGTTTTACTCTCTAAGAGTTCCCTAGGCATTCTTTTTCTTTCTAGCAAGATGATAAACTTCTTGAGGACAAGACGTTCTGCCCCACCACCCCCCTCCTGACCTGGGGGGATAAATGAAGGGTTTTGGTAGCAATCAGGGAAGCTGGCCTACATGCTACCTGCCTGCGTATGTAATGGTGGCTGATGGTTCAATATTAATGGATACTGAATAAGCCTGGCACCTGCTGGAGACAGCGATGACATTTGCTCTCACAGCAGATGACAGGGTGATTGATGGCAGGCATCTCTGGGTGGAAGCGATGAGTTCTCCAGGGGCGATGAAGGGGTTAGACTGGGTGCTTAGGGCCCTCAAGGGACCTCAAGGGAATGTAGAGAAGCCTCAGGCAACCCAGGGTCAGGGGTGAGGGGACCAGGAAGAGAAAGTCCGCTCAGGAAGGGTGTAGGCTCGGACACTGTAGGAGGCAGATCCAAGAGGCTTCCTAAGTCAGACCTCTTGTCTAAATTGGATGGGCTGAGAGCTTTGGAGTCACTGCTTTGCATACGAGACCATGGGGACATAGAATCCGTCATTATCCCTGCCAGCTCAGCTCAGAGGTCAGAACTGAGGAGGGAAGTGGTCAGGTTTAGGGTACAGGGAGAGAAGGTAGGACGTCCCCTCCAGGGCCTAGAGCTGGGGACCACAGCCAGGCTCTGGCATGCCTGAAAACAGGGCACATCGCAGGTGGTCGGTAAAGACACGTGGGATTGAACTGAACAATGAGGGATTAATAGATTCTTCTTAAAATTGTCTTATGGTTTAAGGAGGGAACAGAACAGAGTTGGAAGTAGGGGACAGGAACTCAGATGTGATTTTAGCCAGGGCTTGGTTTAAGCTGTTGTGCTTCTTCTCTTGTGATACTAGTTTGAGCCAAGGGCAGCAGGGGCTGCTCCTGGTGAGAGGACGTGGGCAGGGATCCCATCAGAGACAAGCCAGGCAGACACTGTCCAGAGAGGCCTCTCAGGAGGCCAGGACAGCCAGCTGCTTCTCCTTAAGGAGGAGGCCTCTGCTCCACCCTCCATTCCTCCTCCCCTGGGCCTCTCTCCCTTTCTCCCTGTGAGATCTTCTGCTACTCCAGCCACAGGAGGTATAGATCCATTCCCAGAACAAAAACTGTCTGGCTGCTCCTGAAACACTTTTTCTCCTATGCACTACTGGCTCATCCTCATGCCTCCAGCTCAGCTTAGACATCCCCCTTGAAAAGGTCTTCTCTGAGTTCCTGTGGCTCCTGGGCCCATGCCCAAGGCTGCCCTGTCACACTGGTCCCCGTATTTTCTTCACAGCACTTATCATTGTCTGAATTTATCTCATCCACCTCTTCTCTTTGTTGGGTATCTCTCTTGCTTCCTTAGAAGGGAAGCTCCATGCAGGGTTGTGGTCATTCTCGACCATGTTGTGCCCCAGCTTCTAGAACAGGGCCCACATAGACAGTGGCCAGTGAGTATTTGTTGAATGGATGAGTGGGTGGATGACAGCACTTGGGAAGGCACCAAGTCTCAAGTGGGGTGGGATTGGGGTGGGGTCCTAGCAAACCTCCTTGTCTCTCATCCAGGACAGAATAGAGCTGTCCTGTGGGGGAGCTGCTCACTGGGGAGAGGGCCTGTTGGGCCCTGGTAGAAAATCCATTCTGGGCCTGGGCCGGCCACTGCTTGCCCCCTGACAGATGGTATGCTAAGCAATCTGTGAAATGGGATGCAACACAAGTTTCATTTGAGCCTGAACCCCCAGAGGCAGGGAGAAGAAGAACCAAAAATGTGTAGTCCTGCT
Source organism: Homo sapiens (assembly GCF_000001405.40). Taxonomy (NCBI): domain Eukaryota; kingdom Metazoa; phylum Chordata; class Mammalia; order Primates; family Hominidae; genus Homo; species Homo sapiens. Next base: position 33,913,218 of record NC_000006.12, read on the forward strand.
CCCCTACCCAGGCACAGGCCTGGTGCCCTCGAGGGCCAGACAGTGCAGAGGGGACTCTGAGGGTGGGGGAGAGAGAGGCGTGGTCCCCGGCCTCTGATGGAGTGGGAAGTGTGGTGCTGTGCACAGTGAACCTATGGGGTTTACTAGACAGTGGCCTGTCTAGCAATGGGCAGCAGGGAGAGAGCAGGGTTTCCAGACAGGCCTTTAGTTAGGTGCCCAGGCACAGGCAGGGCTGTCACACCTGTCTGCCCCGGCCCCCGAGCATTTTGGGGATTTTGGATGGTGGCTCACCCTGACCTCTTTCCAGCTTTAGCACGAGAGTCCCAGCCCCATTTTCTTTCCTAGCTAACTGTACCATCACTGCCACATCAGGGCCCCCAATACAATAAGGAGTTAAAGGAAAAGAGGCTACCTTGAGATCCCCCTCTACCCGCCAGCCCACAGGGTTCCCCCACCTCAGAGTTCAGGAAGTATTGGTAAATGGAGGCAGGAGTGGGGCAGGGATCCTCGGGGGAAGATCTTAAGAACTTCACCATGGAATTAGCTGATGACACTGGTGTCTTTCTTCTAAGGGGTGCCTATCCTTTTTCTATGCTTGCTAGGGAGCTTGAATCTTTTCTTTTTAAGAGAGAAAATTTCTGGGCTTGGGAAAGAGGAGCCTCAAGCTGACACTGGTCTGAGTGGGAAAATTTGGGGCTGAAGTCCTTCCCTTGAAAATGTGTCTGCTGGGCAATGCTGAGCAAAATTCCACAAAGGAGAGAAAGGGTGGAGGAGGGCAGATTGCCCTTCACCTACCTCTGCGTCTTCTTTGCCTGCCCAGCCTTAGCTGGGCCCCACACCACTAATGGAATTTCCATCCTCATCCCATAGCATCCCCAAAGAACATTCAAGTCTGAGCCTCAAGGAGCCTCTGCGACTCGGTGTCTAGATCCAGGAAATGGAGAATGAGCCGTGACTTTGGATGCTTCACTCTTGTCCATCAGGCTCGGAATTGGTGAGCATCTCCCACATTACCGTCTCCAACGGAACAAGGTGCCCCATTGGACATTTCCTCTGCATGGACCAGCCATTCTCCAAATCTGCCCCCATGTCACCCCAGCTCCCCATCGCAGTCACTTCTCACTCCTTGTCCCCTGTCCCCCTGAGTGACAGGACTTTTGCCAGTTAGGTCCTGTCCCTGTTTCTGATCTTGGGTCCATTCCCCATGGTCCCTTTCTTGCTTGTGCCTTGGGATCTCAGGCCTGTTGAAGTAGGAGGCAGGACTCAACTTCAGACCAGATTGAAGACTGGCTGACACAGAAGAGGCACCAAAAGCACCTCTCTCTCCATAAGACATGCCCACCAGTGCCATGACAGTTTACCATTGCTATGGCAATGCCCAGAAGTTCTCACCCCTTTTCCAGACATTTCTGCATAATCTACCCCTCAATTGGCATGTGATCAAAAGTGGGTGTCAAAATGACTGTGGAACTGTCCCTGAGCTGCTACTCTTGACATGCTGGTTACAGGGTAGCCCGGCTCTGCAGGGACAGTCACGGAGCTGAAAAACTGCTGCCTAATGAAGCTGTTTTCTTCTACCACCGGCTCACCCTCAAATTATTTCCTGAGCGAACTCAAGAACCTTCCTGGGCTAAGCCCCAATTTTGGGGCTCGCCTGCCCCTGCATCACAGCTTCCTCTTCTGTTCACAGCTGCAACCGCCTACTCAACCTTCTGCGGTTCCTCTCCCTGCCCCTCCACAGTGGCTGCTGATGGGAGCTCTGGCTCCCTGCGTTTTCACTATCTCCCAGTCAAATGCAGAGTCCCTGTGCAATTTAAATGCTTCTCAGCTAAGAACAGAGAAGGGGATAGCATAAGGATATTCAAAAGATTCAAGAAATCTCAAAAGTGATCACAAAACATTTGTCTCTGACCAACCAGAAACATCGACGGGTGAGAAGGGCATTTCCTCTAGCTGAATTCTTCATGGGTCTTCAGGCTCTGTTTTCACTTTGGATTTTCTGGAGTCTCCTGAAGGTTACCTGAAATCTTGTTGGTCCTGAATATTGTATGTGGAGTCCCAAGCTGCAAGAAGTCAGTGGGGCTGGACGGGAGCCAAAATCAGAGACTCAAGCAGCACAGCTGGGCCCCATTGAAAGTGAGACCAGCTGTCCCAGTTGGAAGCTGGGGTATAGAGCTGGGGATGGGTGGAGGCAGTGACAGGCTCCATGTATTGGTCATTCAGACTCCCCAGTAGCCTCAGGACCCAACTCCCACAGGTCAGAGAAGACCTGGTGGAGGGCCTTATGCAAACCTCAGTGGGTGATGCAGGAGGGAGTTTTCTGAGCAGGAATGCCAACAAAAAAGGCCTTCAAAGGAAGGCCCTGCTTGGGACAATCCTGCCTCTTTATGGTCTGGTTCACAGGTTCCCCTGGGTGGGGTAATGGAATCCAAGCTAAGGTGTCTGACTTCAAAAGTTTTCAGAAATGCCACTTTTGTAAGCATCAGGGATTGGGTTTTCTGAGATGCAAAACATCTTTGTTAAGGGGTTAAAGCATCCTTAAGCTGTTTAGGTTTCTGGGGATACATAGACTTAGGAAGTTAGAGCAGGTGAAGTTGAGGGGGATGGGAACTAAGAATTAGCTCAAAATAGTCACCAATGCAGAAACCCAGGCACTTGGGACCCTGACAGTGGGGAAGGCAGAGGAGTAACTGTGGGGACTTGGGCACCCTATTAGCAGAATGGGGTAACAGAGAAGGCAAGAATTGCTTCCCAGGAGACTGGGCTGGGAACAGGAAGGGGACTAAAATGCTGTCCCTGGCTGAAGAGTGTGGAGGTATAGAGGAGCTGGTAGCAGGGCTCTGAATCCATACACGAGAGCAAGGACCAGTGGTTTCAGGGTGGGATAGGGCTTTGATGTCTTCATGGACTTAGGGTAATATTCACCACCATGGTGAATTCCACAAAGGAGAATTCACACAAAGGTCTCGGACCAGCCAGTTTCCATGTGAAAAAGCCATCTGGGAGCAAGGGAACAAACCCAGGAATACAACTGTATTGGGGGAAATTCAGCCAGACATAGGGCAAAATTCACCCCCAATATTTCATGTAGGTTCTTTTCTATTTTCCGTAAGTGTCGGCCGGTCTGAGAAATAAAGGGACAGAGCTCAAAAGAGAGAAATTTTAAAGCTGGGTGTCTGGGGGAGACATCACATGTCGGCAGGTTCCGTGATGCCCCCCGAGCCGTAAAACCAGCAAGTTTTTATTCGTGATTTTCAAAAGGGGAGGGGGAGTGTATGAATAGGGTGTGGGTCACAGAGATCACATGCTTCACAAGATAATAAGATATCACAAGGCAAATGGAGGCAGGGCGAGATCACAGGACCACAGGACCGGGGCAAAATTAAAATTGCTAATGAAGTTTCGGGCATGCATTTTCATTGATAACATCTTATCAGGAGACAGGGTCTGAGAGCAGACAACCGGTCTGACCAAAATTTATTAGGCGGGAATTTCCTCGTCCTAATAAGCCTGGGAGCGCTATGGGAGACTGGGGCTTATTTCATCCCTACAGCTTTGACCATAAAAGACGGCCGCCCCCCGAAGCGGCCATTTCGGAGGCCTACCCTCAGGGACACATTCTCTTTCTCAGGGATGTTCCTTGCTGAGAAAAAAAATTTAGCGATATTTCTCCCATTTGTTTTTGAAAGAAGAAAAATATGGCTCTGTTCTGCCTGGCTCACCGGCAGTCAGAGTTTAAGGTTATCTCTCTTGCTCCCTGAACATTGCTGTTATCCTGTTCTTTTTTCAAGGTGCCCAGATTTCATATTGTTCAAACACACATGCTCTACAAACAATTTGTGCAGTTAACGCAATCATCACAGGGTCCTGAGGCGACATACATCCTCCTCATTTTACAAAGATGATGGGATTAAGAGATTAAAGACAGGCATAGGAAATCACAAGGGTATTGATTGGGGAAGTGATAAGTGTCCATGAAATCTTCACAATTTATGTTCAGAGATTGCAGTAAAGACAGGCGTAAGAAATTATAAAAGTATTAATTTGGGGAACTAATAAATGTCCATGAAATCTTCACAATCCACAATTATTCTGCCATGGCTTCAGCCGGTCCCTCCATTTGGGGTTCCTGACTTCCCGCAACACAAGTGGAGAGAGAGGTGGCCTGACATTATGGCTAAGTTGATATGGAAGCATTCTGGTTTGTTCTAGAAAAAATGAAAGAGGTGGTGCAGGTAATCATCAGCTCCTGGTTCTGTAGCAAGGCTTTTGCTGCAATCCCAGGAGGTAGCAACCTAGGCTTTGGTTCTGAAAGAAGAGGGTCTACCTTCCTGAATCATTTTTAGGAGTCTGCTGATGGCCAGGCTTGGTGAGTTGGACTCTGTAAGGAATTTTTATTTAAGTGAGGTCTGGGTAGGAAAAGAGAAGGGAAAAACTTGACCCTGCCTGCACCAAAGGATTCTGGGAAGGAGAATAAAGAGAAAAACCCTTCTTCATGTTTCTGCTTCAGAGCAGGAGAACCATCACAAGCTAAGTAAAGTCAATGAAGGGCGAGTGGCCCTATGGCCACCTGGGCACACACCTGCCCCTTGGCCACCTTGCATAGGCAGGCTGAGGAGGTCACTAAGGCTTGGTTTTCCTGACCTGCCCTGATTCCACATGCTGTAAGGAGGACCCAGAAGGCTGTGTGGCTACAGAGGTGCCCAGCATGGTGGGGGTCACTTCAGTGTGGACACTAGACTGGACCGCGTGGAACTACAACCAGCTCAGAGCGCCAGCCAGAGTGCTGTTCTGGCCAGAAGGAGGAGCCAAGACCCACACCCAGGAGGACAATGAGCCCCTCTCTGCAGACAGGAGCCAGCCACACCTGGGGTCTGGGGAGACTCTTCCTGATTCCAAATGGGACTGAACTTTAAACCAGACTGGGCATTTGAGCAATTTTTTAAAAGCTGTCAACCAAATAAAGGAATGCCATTTTCTTTACCCAGTCATTGTGTTGGTTAAAGGTTGCAGACCTGGCTGCCTAGTGCCCACCATCATTATCAGGGTATGTAGCTCTTCAAGCTCCAAGAGGCTTCCTTAGCTGCCAGCATCCCCTGGTCTTTTCCAAGGTGTTGACAGGGTCTTTAGTGTTGAGAAACAGGGAGCAAAGTGCTGACATTGAAAAACGGGGCCCAGCCCCGGCCAGGCCTTGGGCTGTAAGTCCCGTGTCCTGCCAGACGGTCTAGGACCCAACAGTCTGGTGGATCAGCCAAATGTGCACCTCTGGGCTTGGACTTCAGAGGCTGAGCCTGGCTTACGACCACCAGCTCACACCCCCCAGCTCACGGCCCCCAACTCGGGGTCCAGATGACCTCAGGAGGCTGGGTCAGGGGACTGCCTCCTCAGGGTCAGGGGACAAGCCTTGTGGTCAGTGGGTTTCCATGGCAGCCCACAACCAAGGGGAGTAGGGCCAGACAAGAGTCAGCGATCACACACTAACCCCTCCTCCAGGGCTGGGGAGAACTAAGGGAGCCTCAACCCAGACTGAAGGTTACACCATAAAATAACAGACACTCAAAGAGCCTGGGGATCTCCTGACTGTGCTCCCAGCCTAGGACTGTGCCTGGAGTGGGGTCTCCAGAGCAGGGATGATGGCACAGGTTGGGGGGGTGGGCGGTGGGGAGGAGATGCCTCATGTCCACAGTGAGGAGCCACGACATCCCAGGAGAGTGGAAAATCTCCCCCGGGACTTGCTCCATGGGCCAGGCACAGCAGCCATGCCCACTGCTATGTGGAGGTAGGCAGTCCAGGGCTGGGGCCCAGGCCATCGGGACCCCATCCATCTTTCTGCTATCCTTAGTGTGTCACCTCCATCTTCGTGGTCACAAGTGCTGATGTTCCTCAAGGCCCCATGCCCAGAGGAAAGAGATAGAGGCCAACAGGCAGGCTGGGCCTGTTTAGGCCTCACACCTTCTGCTCACATCTCCTCCAGCAGTGCCACCTTGGACATTCCCTGAGCGCAGTCACTACTGATGGCCAGGGAGGAGGGGTCCTGGGCACAGCATCCTGACCATGTCTTGACGTAGCTGCCTCTGCCATCAGCTTTTCCCCAGGCCTCCTTGTCCCCTCCTCCCTCCCTGGAAAGGCCCCTCATGTTGAGAGCAGAGTCGTGGCTTCACCAACCTTCCTGCCGATTGGGCTGTTACTGCAGAGTCGGTGGAAGGTAAGAAGGACGGTCCCTGCCATTACAAGAGGGCCCTGCAGTGCAGTGTTTCAGGATGGGGCCACACAGCGCATTGGAAAGCACAAAGGAGAGGAGCAAATCCCAGCCTAGAGGGGGCAACAGGCAGAGGGAGCTTCCAGGAGGTAGAGATGTCTAAACTAAGACCTCAAGGGTGGACAGGAGCAAGCCAAGTGAAAGGATCTGGGAGGGCAGCGGATGACATTAGGAGCTGGGAGGAACTAGCTGGGGTGTTGCCTGAAGAAGTTGGGGGCAGGCAGGCCAGTGTACACAGGGCTCTGTGGGCCCAGCAAAGAGGAGTGACCAGAGGCACGATCTGGTGTGGGCTGGAGAAAGGCCTTGGCCTGCAGGTGGCACAGGCCAGGCTGGAGGCAGAGGGCTGTTTAGGAGACCATTTCGGTTATAAAGCAGGGATGACAGAAGCTGGGCTCGGGAAACTGATGGAGACAGAGACTTGGAAGACACAAGGCTTAAAGACTGATGAAGGGGTAGAGGTGGCTAGTGAGAGAGAGAGAGACAGACAGACAGACATAGGGAGAGAGATGGACAGAGACAGAGAAAATGCGAGCCTGGGGAAACCAGGTGCACAGTGGTAGCTTGTGCAGAGGGAGAGGATGGAAGAAGGGGGCAAATTATAGGCAGAAGAGGCCATGTCCATTTGCAAAGGTTGCGTGCAAGACCCTGGAGGCCCCTGAGGAAGAGAGATGGAAGATGTGGGTATCTGGCCCAAAAGCATGGAAGGGTCCCTGAAGATCCAGCCACCGCCTAGTTATGCTGTTTGTACAGGGGCCATTGCAAGGGAGGAAACCATCCTGCCACTGGGAACCAGGAAGACGGGTGAAAGGCAAGGAATATGCAAAATGAGTCTCAGCTCTCCTTTGAGACACCTTCCGGCCCTGGCAGAGTCCAGTGGCAGGTGGGTGTCTGGAGCCCTTCCCTAGGAACTGCCTCCTTGGCCCCATCCCATCTCCTTGACCCCCTGCACCTTCCTGACTCCCAGCCCATCCTGGCTTCATTGTGAGCAGACTCTGGTTGGGAGGTTTTGAGGCTAGCAGGGAAGGAGGTGATGGAATCTTGGAGCCTTTCAGGCTCTCCTCAATAATGAGCTTGGGGCAGTGCCCTGACCCATCACAGACACATCCCCCTCTAGGGATCATTTCCAACATGAGTTCAGCCACCCCCAGGGCTAACCCAGAAAACTCTCTCACTGGGCTCCTGCAGAACGGGGTGGAGGAATCAGAAAATGCAGGACCTTTGAATCATTGAGAGGCGGCCATTAAGAGTTTTAGGAGTTCAGCCTGGGTTGTCCCAGGTACCAAGAGAGGAGAGGGGCAGGGTTAAGCCCTGCTTCTGGGTGTTGCAGCACATGGCTTGTCCTGAGACACCTCACAAGCCCATTTAAGACACCCCTGGCCTGTTCCTGAAGGCAGGTGAGCCACTGGGGTTTGTTTTAATAAATCCCCTTTTCTCTTTCACCAACTCAAGGAGCTTTGGTATGAACCATGCCCGGTAACAGGGACTGTGCAGAGGAAGAATCCCAGCTAGCCTATGGATGAAGAGCTCAGTGAAAGGAGGTAAGCCCAGTGCGGGCAGGGCTTCCCAGGGCTGGAGTGCAGACAGAGGCAGGAGAGCAGCCCAGGATGGAAGAAGGGTGTGCCAGGTAGAAGCAGGAAGGCTTGAGTGGCCAGGGAGGGGCTGTTTTAGTTTCCTTACCTATAGAATCAGAATAATGATCATTCACTTATTCATGCATTCATTCATGGAGTAAGTCTTTTGTGATGCACAATCACGCACCCAAGGCCTTGGGAATACATCTGTGTACAAGACAGACAGGCACTCGCCTTCCTGGACCTGATGTTCTGCTGAAAGGGTGAGACACAAAACAAACGCACGACAAGTTAATATTATGTCCAAGAGCTGCAGGTGCAGCAAAGGAAATTAAACCAGAGGAAAATTGGACAGAGCTGCGCTGGACCATGAGGAAGAGGGAGCCATGTGGGTACGAAGGGGGGAAATCCCAGCAGAGCAGAGGCACGGCCAGCCAAGGCCTCGCTGCCTCGATCGCATGGGCCCTGAGGAGGCGGGGGTGATGGCAGAATTCGACTTCAGTACGGCCCTGACGTCTAGGCCCTGTGAGGGCTGGGAGAGGTGCTCCCATTTGGAAGGGAGGCCTCAGGTATTTAAACACTGGTGGGAACGGCAGGTTGGGGAGAGGAAGAGGGGCAATAATGGGAGGGAGGTCAGGGTTCCTCTCCTGTAGCTTCTCTTTCTCTGTGAAATAGGAGGTGTGGTTTCTGCCAAGAGGCAGAGGGCTCTGAGGATGAGAAGGGGCTAACTAGAGGCCAGCTAGGTGCCCATAGGCCTGCTCCAGGTAGGATATGTTATGTGCCCAGCAGCTCTGGGAACGGGCCATGGAGGCAGCTCACTGGGTAGCCGGACTATGGATGTGATGGGTGTGGGGCTATGGCCAAGCGGGGTGGAGGTGAGGCAGGCCCAGCAGCCTGAAGCACAGAGGACCAGAGCGAGGTCAGGAGCCCCAGTCAAGAGAAAGAGGAAGGACCCAGGAGGAAGGGTGGATGTGGGTCGCTTTCTGGTGGGACAGAATCAGGGAGTGGAGGAGCCCCAGGGAGTGGCCTCAGCAGTGGGCATTGACATGGAGGCCAGCCCAAGAAGAGATGAAGCACATCACTGCACCAGCTACCCTTACTGCTATAGCTGGAATGTTTATCACCGCCGAAACTCCTGTTGAAACTGAATCCCCAGTGCTGCAGTATTGGGAGGTGGGCTTTTAAGAGGTGATTGGGTCATGAGGTCTCTGCCCTTATGAAAGGATCGATCCACTCATGTATTAACAGATTAATGGGTTAGTAGATGAATGGGTTTTCACTGGAGTGGGATTGGTGGCTTTATAATAAAAGGGAGAGAGACCTGAGCTGGCCTGCCTGGGAACTCTGCAGAGGCCCTGCCCCAGGAAGGCCCTCAGCAGATGTGGCCCCTCGACCTGGGACTTCCCAGCTGCCATAACTGTAAGAAATACATTCTTTATCTTTATAAATTACCCAGTTTCAGGTATTGTATTATAAGCAACACAAAATACACTAAGACAATTACCAAAACCCCAGGCATCCGGCTTTGTAGCGTCGTGGCCACCGAGACCCTTTCTTTCAGCAGCATAACCGTGTATATAAACACAGCCCCAACTAGCACACGAAAAGGAAACTGGGTGATGGGGTGGTTACATTTTTAAGTTGTTTAAACACTTATAAAGTGAGAGCTATTTAAGATTTTTATGAGTAACCAGAAATTTTCACAAAGCACTTCATGTTATGCAGGGGAAGAGAAAGCTGGGAAGAATAGCATTTATTTAATGCCTACTATGTGCCTTCTCCAACCGGTGGGAAGTGACAGCCTGTCTCCTCCTTGCCAGTTCTCAGCCTCTCTGAATGAGACAGCTTGGTGGGCCCATGGGGACAGCCACTGGGGAAGCTCTCTGCCCAGAGACACAACCCCCACTGGGCCCGGAGTGGAGGCGCAGTCCTGGTGGCATCCCTCCTTGAACTGCCTACTGAGCCCCCGTAGAGCTGAGCCTGGGGAGTGGAGGTGGAGGAAGCAAAAAAGCAGCAGGAGGCCAGGGAGCCTATGTGAGCCCACCTGGGGTCCCAGAGACATGATCCCGCTGCTGCCCTCATTCCTAATCCACAGAGGCCCCTGACACCAGCCCTGATGGCGGGCAAGGGCTACTTGGGAGGGAAGAGAAAGGGTAGCTGGGGGAGGTAGAAATGGGGCCTGAAGAAGAGTCTCGGCTGGGCACAGTGGCTCATGCCTGTAATCCCAGCACTTTGGGAGGCCCAGGTGGGCGGATCATTTGAGGTCAGGAGTTTGAGACCAGCTTGACCTACATAGTGAAACCCCACCTCTACCAAAATACAAAAATTAGCTGGGCCTGGTGGCGGGCGCCTGTTATCCCAGCTACTCGTGAGGCTGAAGCAGGAGAATTGCTTGAACCCAGTAGGCAGAGGTTGCAGTGAGCCGAGATTGCTCCACTTTACTCCAGCCTGGGTGACAGAGCAAGACTCCCTCTCTCAAAAAAAAAAAAAAAAAAAAAAAAAGAGTCACACGAGAGGCCGAGCCACTGGGAGGGCTAACCCTGGGTGGGCCGGCTCCTGAGTGGATGCTCCCGGGATCTGCAGAGCTGGGGAGAACCATGCTGAGTCCCAGCCCTGGAAGGTGGGGGAGTCTTGTTGGCCTTGTAAGGAGGTCACCATCTGCCCTGCCTCCCTGGGTGCCTGGTTCCTGAAACTCTTCTAATCACCTCCCCAGTTCCTCAGGTTTTAGCCCAGCAAACACTCAGAGAGTTTCCTGGAGGAAATTAGAAAGAAGAAAGCAAAGAAGTAGAGATGGTTTACCAGGCACAATCTGGCTGACTGCTAAGGGCACAAGACCCAGCCCACGGGATGGTGGGCACTGTAAACTGCTCCCTCCACACCCCCAGCCCTGGGCAGCCTGCACATGTGAAAGTCCCCCCCATGGAAAGGTGGGCTCCATGGCAATTCCAGCATCTGGTGTGCTCCTCGGGGCCTGGCATCCTGCCACAGAGGCTGTGGTCACATGGGAGTGCTTCCTGGGCCACAGGCAGGAAGGTGAGCCCACAGCCGTGTACCCCTGGCACCTGGACAAGGCTTGCTGGGGTCCCCTGCCGGTGGAGTGCTGCCTTCTTGGGACAAAGGCTGGACCTGGAGGCAAAAGAAGTTCCTCTCTGAGTGCACGGGGGCCACAGCTCAGGTACAAGAACATGAGAGCCAGAATAGTTGCCACCTGTGGATTTCAGGAAGTGCCTCAAAGGGACCAGCATGCTCCTCTTCTTGCCCTTTCCTCCTTTGCTTTGCTGGCCAGAGGCAGACAGGACCGATGGCTGCCACCTTGGACCATGATGTGGGAGCCACGTTATGAGAATGGCAGAGCAACCAGATAGCGTTGGCACCACCAATCCCAGCCCTGGACTTCCCATGGTAAGGAGAGAGAGAAACGTCTTATGGGAGCCACCATCATTCTCGTGCAGCAAACCTGATCCTAACACACAGCACCAAGACCCTGCCTCCTCCTCTCCCTTCCCTCCCAGTGCCGACGAAGACCTACTATGCAGAGAGGATAGAGGAGGGACACAGAGGCCACTGGAGGTGATTTGAAAAGGACGAGGACACCTGGGAACAAGGCAATGAAGGTGGCTAGGACAGAGGCATGAGGACAGAGCCTGGGGAGGACTCATTAGTGCAGGGCTGACAGGCAGAGCCTTCCCAGGAACTCAGCCAGCAGAACCTGACAGCCATGATTTGGGCCTGCCCACTGCCCCAGGGGCCCTCCAACCCAGTCCTCCCCAGAGGGCTGAGGGCCCTCCCTCCCCATACTCAGCAATACTCCAGAGCCTACTTCCCCATGGAGGCCCAATCCCCTTCCCGGACGAGGCAGCTGGTGGTGTGTGGGTGCTGGTCTGGTGAGAGAGGGACTCCTTGGAGACTGAGGCCATGGGGGAGGGAGTGTCTGTCCATACCTGCAGGTTTGTCCCAAATTTAGACCCCAGGTCTGGAGGTGAACACAGCCCCACCTGATTCCTGGGAAGCCACGCTATCTATGCAGCTCGCTTCTTAGAAGCGGGCTTCCTCTCCATCCCCATCGAACTCAGTGCAGTCAATGCCTACTGAGCTCCTACTGAGTACACTACATGGATGTGGGTTCAGGTGCTAAGGAAATAAACCAGGCCCCACACTGCAGTCCCCAGGGCGCAGTGCCCTGACAGGTTGCCCCAAGACTGTGGTGTGCTGGGAAATGTTGAACACCCAGCTCTCTGAAGGAGAACACCTGGTTTGTGGCAGTTGCAGGTTTGTAGTGTTTCGTGATCTAAATCATCCACCCTGGCCAATTCCAAGTTGTAAACACAGAGTCCTTGAAGTCAGGAAGGCCCTGGCCCGGCTCCCAGGCCCAGCTCCAGCACCCCACTGCCAGGGGCTGCTCGCCTCCGGTCCCAGGTCCTCACCCCACCACCAGCAGGTCTCGGCCCTGTGCCTCATAGGTTCCCAGCCTTCCCCTGCTTGGGCCCTGGGTTTGGCTCTGGGGCTGACAGCCCGTGCCTTGACTGTGGCATGTGGGCTGTGGCTGCCAGGTCAGGAAGAATCAGTGGACAGTTGGTCACAAGCACCCTGGTCCCAAATCTTGAAATGCTCACGTTCTTCAACTTCTTCAACTACTACCCCACCCCTCCAGGCCTTTTCCTCTCTCTGACAGCTTCACTTCACCCCAGTGTCTCCTCCTCCTCCTCAGAAGTGGCCGTTCCCCAGCATTTGGAGCCCAGGACCCCTCCCAGCCCTGAAGCATTTGCCTCCCAGCCTCCCCCGAACCTTGCTCCCCTACTGCCACCCCCTGTCTGTCCCGGAGGAGGCCTCATAGACACTTGCTGCGTGCCACTCCAAGGAGGCTGTGGTGCTCCTGCCAACTCTCCAGTGGCTGCCACAACTGCTGTCTTCAGGAGGAGGAGGGATGGCCCCCTCAGCCTCCCTGCCTCTGCTATCTCAGCCCCAGCGTCCCGGCATCATCTGCTCCACCTCCAGGCAAGTCAGAGCCAGGCTTGCCATCTGCCTGGCAGCCTGGGGCACTGTGCCTTTATGGCTCCCGGGTAGGACGTGGACCTGGGCCCCAGCCCCTGGGCGCCAAGGTGCCAACCCTGCAGGGGAGTTGCTTAATGACCTTCATGAGCAGTAATTACACCCCAGGGCCCTCTCTTAATAACCACGTATTCTCCCTGTCAATGTGCCTTAATTGAAAATGAGTAGGCGATACAAGTTGCTGTGAAGTTGGCTGGCAAGCCCTTAACGTGATATTAATTGTAGTAATTAGTAGTCACTTTGTGTTGGAGTCATCTATAAATAGGGGGTCCATTAGTTTAGCAAAAGAGCATGATTTAAAATGCAAATAAAAGCCCAATTAGACAGATAAATCGCTTGTCTTTTCCAGCAAATTATCATCTTCCAGAAGGACGGCAGCCACTTTGGGGCTGCACTGCTCAGTTCAGGGGCTCTGAACTCTTTATACCACCGGAGTGGCCCTTTTGATACACTGTCCCTTTAAACAGGTTTGCACCAAGCTTCCTCAGGAGGCTGTCACTCTTAGAGCAGTCCCTATAGACTCTTATTTTATTGGCACAACTGGTGGTCAGGGCCCCAAGTAGCTCCTCCCCCTGTATGCTGATTGGTCCCCTTTGGTGACACAGAAGCACATTTTAAAGGAATAGTAGCACAGTGCGTAAGGCACTAGGAGAATGGGTGGGGGGTAGGAGGGGTCTACTCTTTGAATTTGGCTCTGCACGGTCCAGACAGAGTGAACCACCAATGCTATGTGTTGTCCTGTGACCCAAAAAAGTTAAAAATAAACTCACACCATTGTTGTGGGGCTGGACAACTTACTTTCCGCTTCTTTCTCTCTTCTACAAAAGCTACTTACGGTGGTTGCAGAGATTTCTCTCTCTCTCTCTCTCTCGCACACACACACACACACACACACACACACACACACACACAGTATTTCTCATAGGCTTTGGGCAAACATTTCAGGTGCAAACAACTGGAAGTAGAATGTGGCAGCTAGGGAGGTGTTAAGAGGGCGCAGCTTCAAGGCCAGAGGGGAGATTTCTAGTTCAACCTTCCTTTGACTAGAGCTTCACCAGTTACCCAACACTTTCTCCCAGGCCTGTGTTTCAAACTTCTCAATTAAAGAGGCTGTTGAGATGTGCGTGGGGACATGGGTGTGAGTTCTTCCCTCTCTGGCTTGTTGAGCTTCTGGAGAACTGGTGTCCTGGGCTCAGCTCGGAGCCCTTCCTGTCCCCTCCTTCGGCCTGCCACACCCCCTCCCCACGAGCCCTTCACTCCTTTGTGGCCAACTGAGGCTACCCCTCAGACAGCATTTGCATTTTAATAAGACCCAAAGTCAAAAGATAAAACAGCTATTCCCAAACACAGGGAACACTAACAATTGTCTCTTCCAGCAGGAGTTTCATCTTTGTCCAAAAAATGAGGAGAACACAGGAAACTTGAAAGTATTATCCTTGATTATATTATCCTTTTATGATTCAATGTTTGCAGCAGGTGGTAGTACTTGCTATTTTTAATGTCCTATTTGACAAAATAAAATATTGGCAACCCTGTGTTGGTCCCAAAAATATTTTTTGGAAATTTTGCCAGGGTATGAAATTCAAATGTCTGGAGCTGCTGAGCTAGAAGACTGAATCAGGGACTTGAAGCGGGTGAGTCACAGCTGCCTGTGTGTGCAGGAGTGTGTGTGAGTGCACACACGTGGTATTGGCCGGTGAAATAAGGACACTCATCGTGGGAGATTTCCCTGTCTTTGAAATAGCACAAGAAGACAGTTAGATCACAGAGGAAGAACTGGAAGGAGGCTGGGGTGCTGTCCCCTCCAATCTTCCTATATTCCAGATGAGGAAACAGGCCCAGGCCACATGGTGAGTTAGTGGTCTAGGCACAGGCCATCATACACTGAGGGCACCTCCTGCTATCCCCAGCTGACCCTGGCCGATGTGTTGGTCCCTAAAGCAAGCATTGGATTAGATGTCACAGGATGGGTGGAGGCTGCCTTGGCCTACTGAATCTCTAGTTGTTCCACAGCAGAGGCCATCTGTTTACTCCCAGAATGTGGAAAACAGCCTTGCTGACAACCAGACCAAAGAAACAAAAGACAGTGCTCAAGACAGCACATTAGAGAAGACTGCTCCAGGGTCACAAAAATGACTGACCAGCCTGTTTGAGTGACCAGTGCTTCTCCACTAGTGACAATCTGGCCCTCTTTTAATCCTCCTACCTCCTATGTAAAAATTAAGTTCCCTATCACCAAATTGGCCCACTTCTTGGAAGCACCCAACCCCAGACTGGCCTCTGCTTCCCCACCCTCTCCCTAAAGTCACCCAGCACCAACCCCAACCCTGGAAGAGGTCCCTTTCATAACTCTCCTTTTGAGATGTTTGGGAAGTTCTCCAGGGTGCATTCTCCCTTGCTACAGCAAGCTAAATAAATCCTATGGTTGTGTTCCTGGTGGTTTTTGGTTGTTGGGCTTTGAACAGTCAACAAATATTTGAACCACACTGTTCCATGCAATGTGGTCATGAAGAAAAGCAACAGTGATCAAAACAATGTGGTCTGGATCAATGGATAGACACAGAGATCAAAGGACTAGAACTGAGAGTCTAGAAATAAAACCATGTGTCTGCTGTCAACTGATTTTCAACAAGGGTGCTAAGACCATTCAGTGGAGAATAGACTTTAACAAATGGTGCTGGGACAGCTGGTTAGCTACAAGCAAAAGAATGAAGTTGGACCCTTACCTCACACCATATACAAAAGTTAACTCAAAATGAATCAAAGCCCTAAATATAAGAACTAAGACTATAAAACTTAAAAGAAAACATAGGGGGAATTTTCATGACCTCAGATTTGGCAACAGATCCATAGATATGACACCAAAATAATGAGGAACAAAAGAAAAAATAAATTTGAATTTATAAAAATTAAAAACTTGTGTATTTCAAAGACATTATCAAGAAAGGAAAAATACAACCCACAGAATGGGAGAAAATAGGCCAGGTGTGGTGGCTTATGCCTGTAACCCCAGCGCTTTGGGAGGCCGAGGCAGGTGGATCACTTGAGGTCAGGAGTTCGAGACCAGCCTGGCCAACATGGTGAAATCCTTTCTTTACTAAAAATACAAAAATTAGCTGGGTGTGGTGGCACACACCTGTAATCCCAGCTATTCAGGAGGCTGAGGCAGGAGAATTGTTTGAACTCAGGAGGTGGTTCAAACAATTGCAATACATTGCAGTGAGTTGAGATTGCGCCACCGTACTCCAGCCTGGGCAACAGAGTGAGAATCGTCTCAAAAAAAAAAAAAAGAAGAAGAAGAAGAAAAAATATTTGCAAATTATATATCTGATAAGAGACTTGTATCTAAAGAACTCTCACAAAGCAATAATAAAAAGGCAAAAAAAAATGGGCAAAAAGTCTGATTAGACATTTCTCTGATGAAGATATACAAATGGCCAATAAGCACATGAAAAGGTGTTTGACATTATTAGTCATCAGGGAAATGCAAATCCAAACAAGGAGACACCACTTTACACCTGCTAGGAAGGCTGGTATCAAAAAGTCATATAACAAGTGTTGGTGAGGATGTGGAAGGATCCGAATCCCCCCGCACTGCCACCTTGGAAAGTAGTCACAGTTCCTCACATGATTAAAGATTAGAGTTACCATATGACCCAACAGTTCCACTCATAGGTATATACCAAGGAGAAATGAAACATGTGCCTACACAGAAACTTGTACATGAATGTTTATAGCAACATCGGTCATAATAGCCAAAAGGTGGAAACAACCCCAATGTGTAACTGACGAATGGATAAAGAAAATGTGGTCATCCACACAATGGAACATCACACACAAGTCTCGTGTGGATGTGTGTTTTCATTTGCCTTCGATAATTTGCTAGGAGTGGAATTGCTGGGTCATATGGTGAATTTATGTTTAACTTTGTAAAAATGACTGTGCCACTCTCCGAAGTCTCACTGTTTTATATTCCCTGGGGAAGTGACATTTGAGCTGAGACCTAACAGATGAGGAGGAGCCAGTCATGCAATGAATGGGGGAGAGTTTCCCGGGGCAGACAGGGAGCAACAGCTGGTGTGAAGGCCTGACGCCAGGAAAGGGGGAAAGCTTTGTTGGCTAGAGGAGCTGACTCTGTTTGAAGAAATTGGTAAGATTTTTTTTTTTTTTTTTTTTTTTTGAGACAGAGTTTCACTCTTGTGCCCAAGCTGGAGTACAGTGGTGAGATCTCGGCTCACTACAACCTCCACTTCCTGGGTTCAAGTGATTCTCTTTCCTCAGCCTCCCGAGTAGCTGGGATTATAGGCACCTGCCACCATGCCCAGCTAATTTTTTGTATTTTTACTAGAGACAGGGTTTCACCATGTAGGCCAGGCTGGTCTTGAACTCCTGACCTCAAGGGATCCACCTACCTCGGCCTCCCAAAGTGCTGGGATTACAGGCATGAGTCACCATGCCCTGCCCTATAAGATTTTTTATATTGAGCCACCTGCAAGAATATGAAAATGAGTCTGTGGAAGAGAATGAGGTCCCCAGGGAAGGGCAGTCTGAGCACTGGGCTGTGTGCTGATGAACATGAGAGACTAGGAATGTGTGTGACCTGGAGGGAGGTTGACCACACTGGGCACAGCTGGAGGAGACAGCACCGACTTCCCAGTGAGGCTGCTCTGCGCTTGAATTCCAGCTCAGCCTCTGGGATGTTGGGCAAGATTCTTAACCTCCCTGACTCTCAGTCTCCTCAGATGTAAAATGGGAACCAATTTCACCCTGTCATGAGACGGTGAAGAACTGAGGACTCGCAATATGTATGTCATATCAAGACTCTGGCCTGAAGGGGCCAGATGCCACAGTCCAGGGCAGCTGGTGTGGGGAGTGAAGGGCAGGTATGAGCCGGTGTGAGGAGGGCAGCAGGCAGCTCATGGGGGCTGCAACTTTACCCTGGAGGCAGTGAGAAGCGGCTGGAGGACTCTTGAGCTAGCCAGGGCTATGGTCAAGGATGGAAGCTACAACTGGGTATCAGGTCGCTGATCATACAGCATTCTCCAGGTGGGTAGAGCAGGGGAGACCAGAGGAGGAGACCAGTCATCTGCCTGATTGCAGTAATCCAGGTGAGGTTACAGGGGCCAGGGAAGCAGAGGGAGAGGGCAGAGCACAGGGAGGAGTGCTAAGGGGTGGAGGGACCGGCTTGAGGGCTGGAGGGTAGCGGGTGAGAGATGGAGTGTAGTGTTTCTCCAGGTGTCTGTCTGGGGCTCAAGAGTGGCTGGCCACACCAGAGAGGTTGAGGACTGGGGACAGCAGGTTTGGAGTGGGGAGAAGCAGGGAAGGAGGTGAGTGCTCTATTTGGATATGCTGGGTCTGAGGCATCTGTGGAGAAACCCCATTGGCCCCACGGCAGACTGTGAGAAGAAAGGCCCTGTCTCTGGGAAGCCCCAGGGTGCTAGACTCAGCTGTCCTCAGGAACAGCTCCCTGGGGCTTCTTGCCACCACTGACCTGAGGAGGGGCCCCTCTCTTTTCTCATCTGTTTGTCCTGAGCATGGGACAGACCCTTCCCTGATGCCCCACCTCCCTGTATGGTCTTAGGTGTGACTTTAACAGGCCTTGAAGGTTTAGGAATGATACTATACTGTGATCATCCCAAAGGGTCTCTTCTGAGACCAGCTCCCAACATCACCCCCAGTCTTGCCCTCCGCGTCTTCCCACATGGCTGTGGGCCTCTGACCCCCACCTCTCTCTACTGTGGTTTCTGGGGCTGATCCCTGAACCTGGAAAGTACGGGTTCCTCTTCCCACAGACTCTTCTGGTGTCCCCCAGTATCCACTCTTCTCTATGAACTCCTGATTTGAAGCTGGGCAGGTACCCATTCAGAACAACAAATTTCCCAACCTTGCTTGCAGTTGGATGTGGTCATGTGACCAATGAGGTATACATGGAAGTGTCATTTCCAACAATTGTCTTTAAAAGAATGAGGGGTGGCCTTCATCATTCTTCCCTCTTGATCGAAAGCAGATGGAATGGCTGGAGCTCCAGCAGTCACCTTGGATCATGGAGTAGGGGTGTGCCCTTGGAATGGAAGCCATGCACAATGGCGCAACAAGATAGAAGACAGAAGCCTGGTGGTGCCCTTTGCTGCCCACCTCCAGGGGGCATCCTTCACATGGCATTCTGTGGTGTGTCCCAGAAGGTGCCAGTCACAGAATACCATGCGAAGGGCACCCCTGAAGCTTGCAAAACGTCAGCCTCCGCTGCCTGCCTCTGAACATCATGCAACTGAGAGAGAATCATACTTTGTTACGAGCATCTGCTCTCTGAGGATTTTCTGTCCTGTATATTTGCAGCTCAATCTAACCCCAGCACCCCTGGTCTAACACCTGGTCCCGAGTCCTCCTTTCCTTTGTCCAGATCTGTCTGTACCCAGGATGAGTGAATGTTGACTAACTTCAGGAGAAACCCATCCTATCCCTGGCAGTGGCCCCACAAGACAACACACAAAAGTCACAGCCAGGATTCTCCAAAGTCCAAGCTGTTCTTAAGTCTCACCTGGGCTCTCCTTGTAGTTGATGATCTACTGTGAACCACCCCAAAACCGAGTGGCTTCACACAATTTTGCATGGGTTTTCTGGGCTTCCCTAGGCATTTCTAATCTAGGGTCTCCCCAGCCTCCAAAGTCACACAGCATCACTTCTAACACATGGCTCGCCTGATCCAGGTTCAAAAGTAGGGAACCACACAGGGCATGGACACCAGGAGGCATGGCTCACTGGATACCCAGCCATCATAAAGATAGGCCACTGTAGCTTGGAGGGCAGCTGGACCAGAGACACAAATTTTGAGTTTTGACTGTTTTTACTCACAATACTTCTGACATCAAATGCGTGGGTTTTTCTTCCACTCAACGGCCAGTTCTCTTATTCTCCAGCCACCCAACCAGATGTTTGTAAACTAAAAATCCTAAGCTCCACACCAATTGAATGGACCCCCTCTTGGCCAAGGGGACCCCAGAGAAACCTTAAAAAATGGAGTTCCTGGTCATGATGGGAAGGGCAGTTGGACACGCCTCAGTATATCCCCTCCCTTTCAGAGTTTAGGCAGAACTGACCAGCATTGATGTTAAGATAGAGATCACGAGACTGACAAAACAGACTCTTTGTGGCAGTAAGATACAAGATTATAAACAGGACCTAAGGCCATGCCAGGCAAGGGTTATGTCACACCCACAGGCCATCAATCTTACTACATGGCATCCTTAAATGAAAACATTCCTTTCTGGCCAGGCACTTTGGGAGGACGAGGCAGGCAGATTGCTTGAACTCAGGAGTTGGAGACAAGCCTGGGCAACATAAGGAGACCCTGTTTCTACAAAAGATACAAACATTAGCCAGGCGTGGTGGTGCACACCTGTGGTCCCAGCTACAGGCTGAGGTGAGAGGATCGCTTGAGCCTGGGAGGTGGAGGCTTCAGTGAGCTGAGATGGCACCGCTGCACTCCACCCTGAGCGACACAGGGAGACTATCTCAAACGAACAAAAGAAAGAACATTCCTTTCTGCTTACTCCAAGTTTAGATAGACAGAGCCTTACACCTTAAACCAATTGTATATTAAGGAATCTCCGAATCTACCTGTAACCTATCAGCCCTGCATCAAGATAGCCAGTCTTTTCGGGCTGAACCAATGTGTACCTCCCATGTACTGATTTATGTCTTTGCCTCCCTAACAGGTATGGAATGAATCTGTGCCCTGATCGCCCCGGTGCACTTTTTCAGGACCCCTTGTGACTGTGTCCTCTGGGCTTCTGTCACTCATATTGGCTCAGAATACACCTCTTTAAAATATTTTACAGTTTGATTTTTCCGGTAACATGTCCTTCAACTCAGTTCAATTCTGACATGAACTCCTTGGAGTTAGTGCAGATCCCACGGGAAGAGCTCAGTCCTGCAAGACTTCTCCCACTTCAGTTGTCAGAGCTGGGGGTCGGGGGGGCCTCATCTGCAAGTCGCAGGTCACCACCTGTACTTCTGACCAACCGGCTCTAAATCAGGGGTTCCCACAACCCCTTCCTCCCTGTGATAATTTGCTGTAACGGCTCACAGAACTCAGGAAAGCGCTTTTACTTACTGTACTGGTTTATTATACAGGATATAACACAGGAACAGCTACACAGAAGAGATGCATAAGGCAAGGTATAGGGGAGATGTGCGAGTTTCCACGCCCTCTCTGGCTGTGTCCCCTCCCAGCACCTCCCTTTGTGTGACAACCCAGAAGTTCCCCAAGTCCCATCACTTAGGAGTCTTTCTGGAGGTTTCATCCTATAGGCATGATTGTTTAAATCATTGGCCACTGGTGACTGAACTCAACCTCCAGCCCTCTCCCCTCCCCAGAGGTATTGGGTGGGGCTGAAAGTCCCAACCCTCTAATCATGCCTTGGTCTTTGGTGACCAGCTCCATCCTGAAGCTACCTAGGGCCACCACTCATCGCATTAGCATACAAAAGACACTTCCCACTTTGGAGATTCCAAGAGTTTTAGGATCTGTGTGCCAGCATACAGGGACAAAGAGCAAATATTTAGTTTTTATTATTACAAGTAAGTGCTGATCAAAACTCCAAGAATGGATGAGTTTGGTGCACACTTGTGTGTCCTTGAGTGTGTGTGGTATGTGCAGGTGTGTGTATACATGGGTGGCATGTGTGTGTGGTACATGCAGTGTGCCTGAAGTGGTAAGGTGGCTGCACATGGGAGGGAGCTGGAGCTTGTCAGAGAAGTGGGATTCAGGGCGGCTGTGTCTTTAAATTAGAATCCTTGAGGCCTGGATTCCCTTCTTTGCTGCCTCCCACTTTTCCTCCTTCAGCAGCTCTGCCACCTTCAAATCCCAGCCAGACACTATCAAGCAGGAAAAGAGCTACCAGAGACCACCTCTGAGGAGGAGTCAAGCTCAGCATCCAGGGGCAGCCGTGCCCCGCTCCCCACTTCCTGACGGCAGCAGGTCCACAAGGAGGCCCCCACCACTGCAGTGAAGCGGGGAGGGCTTGGTGAGCCCCAGCCTCACCAGCAGCTCCCCGGCAGGATCATGCTGCCATTCTCGTTGCCCCTGTGCCCCACCATGGCCTCCATAGAAGGTGTGTGGACATTGTCTGCCTTTTTGGAACTTGGATCTGAGTGGACCTGGGTTCCACTCCTGCGATGTGACAGTAGGTAGGTCACTCGCATTCTCTGAGCCAAATAAAAGGACTGAGTTAGATCCCTTAAGATGCCATTCCAGGTTCCACCTGCCTGCCTGGCTCTCCCTCTCATTCATGCTTTGCTACTTTCACAAATGAAGCCTGGAAGGGCCAGGTGGAGGCAGGAACGTCCCTAACCTCCAGAGGTCATTGCAGGCAGCACCCTGCCTAGGTTCCAGGATCTCTGTCTGAGCCCAGGGCCCTCATCTGTCAGGCAGGGCCCAGTGGCTGCAGGGGCGGGAGCAGAGGGGGAGGTAATCTTCCCTGGAATATTAATGGCCCCGTCAGGAGTGCTGGGGACGAGCTGAGCAGCAATCTGCCTTTATTAACAAGGCGGGCGCCAGCTGGAGCGCGGGGCCCGGGAGAGAGGAGCTGCTGCAGCAGAGGCAGCTGCGGGGAGCTGCCCTCCTGGCCAGGGCAGCAGGTAAACAACAGAGGGCGCCTGGGCCTCAGAGCCCACCCACCCTCAGCCACTGCACCACCGGCCCCCTAGCTTGATCCCCTCATCTCTTCTGTTTCTTCCGTGCTGGAGGTAGGAGGGGCTCCTTCTTGGCTGGATGCAAGTGTGTGGGTATGCAGTGATATATGCAGGTGTACAGGGTGTGTGGGGGGTGTGCACATGTGAGCAGGCATATATGTGTGCAGATCTGTAGGCCTGGGACAAGTGCATGCCTACCTGAAGCCACCTGGGTGCCCAGCCACATACCACCCTGGGTGGCTAAGGGCACCCGCGTGCTTGGGGAACAGTGGGCTGACTACTCAGGCCACTGGTCTTCTAAGAGGGCAGGGGAGGAGGAATAATTTAGTCAGCCTTCACTCCACTTAATTATTTAAGCCACCACGAGTGCAGGGTTATGAAGCTGAGATTAACCACTGGTGCTATGGCTGGGAGCGATACATATTTCCCCTTCATTTTGTCTTTTCTGGTCACCAAATTGAATCAATTTATTAGGGTTGCTCACAATCGATTTGTTCTGATTCCCCAGCAGTAAGGAAGAGAAATGCGGCACCAGCCCCCAGGGCCAAATTTTACTCATTAAAATGATCCCTTTCCAGGCAGGGGGGGACCAGTGCGACCCCCTATTCACCTGGACTGAGCTGCCCTGCCCCAGAAGATAGGGGCACACCCATATCCGCTACACCCCTGAACCCTAGGGCCCCTCTAGGCCCTAACCTCAAACATTTCAAATTGAAACTAAATTCTCGCCCACCTGCCTCCCCGAGGCAAGACACTCATGCTCTGTGAACTGTGCTTTCCAAGGCTGATGCCAGCAGGAAAAGGGGCATAGCACACACCTCACCCCAACACCTGCCACTGTGCCTGTGATGCCACCATTGGAATCACTGATCGCCAGAGTAACAACAAATTATTGTTAAGTGACTTGTCCAAGGTCACACAGGCAGTAAGCGGTTGTGGTACATATAGTGGATGAACTATCCAAAAGCCATTGTCAAGCCCCCTTTTTCTTTCCTTCCTTTACTCAATAGCTAAAAAGCCAAAATGCTCACCTTCCCAGCTTCCCTTGCTGCTGCTAGGAGTAGCCCTGCGACACAATTTTGGCCAACGGGCAAAAAGTGAAAGTCCTTGGAACAGCCATTCCTTTCCAAATAAAAAGACAAAGCCTAGCTAGGGGAAGACCCTTTGCCCTTCCTGTTTCTCACTTCTTCTCCCTTCTGCTTATTTACAGGAAACAGATGTGATGACCAGAGGTGCAGCAGCCACCATGTGACCATGAGGAGGACATGTATAGCTATGACAGAGCAGGAAAACAGAGATCCCACGTCCCCAGGGACATCTTTGAGCTACTGTATCAGCTCAGGACTGCCTTCTCCCAGACTTCTTATTGGACAAGCCAAATAAACTCCTCCTTTGTTTAAGTCTCTCTGCAGGCATTTCCTGTTACTTACTGCCTAATATGTTCCTAGCTGATGAGATTCAACCATAAGCAGTTTGGCTCCAGAGCCCCTGATCTTAGCAATCTTGTCCTCCCTGTCACTGAGTTTGTAGAAGACAAATTTGAAGGCTCTTCATGCCATAACTTATTTTGAAAGACATTTTTTAAGAGTAGTTTTAGGATCACATCGAAAGAAAAAGATACAGAGAGTTCCTATATACCCCTGCCCCCTACATTCACAGCCTCCCCATTATCAACCCCTGCACCAGAGTGGTACATGTGCTACAATCAATGAACCTACATTGACACATCATTATCACCCAAAGTCATAGATTACACTAGGATTCACTCTTGGTAATATACATTTTATGGGTTTGGATGAATGTACAATGACATGTATCTACCACTGTGGTATCATATAGAGTATTTTTGCTACCCTAAAAATCTGCTGTGCTCTGCCTATTCCTCCCTCCCCCTCACCCCCTAAACCCTTGGCAACCCCTGATCTTTTTATCGTGTTCATAGTTTTGCCTCTTCAGGGATGTCACCTAGTTGGAATCATACAGTATGTGGCCCTTTCAGATTGGCTTCTTTCACTTAGTAATATGCATTTAAGGTCCATCCATGTCTTTTTATGTCTTCATAGCTTATTTCTTTTTAGCACAGAATAATATTCCATTGTCTGGATGTACCACAGCTATTTACCCTTCATTTACTTAAGGGTATGTTGGTTGCATCCAAGTTTTGCAACTATGAATAAAGCTGCTATAAATA
Organism: Homo sapiens; assembly: GCF_000001405.40. NCBI lineage: Eukaryota > Metazoa > Chordata > Mammalia > Primates > Hominidae > Homo > Homo sapiens. The sequence goes on from NC_000006.12 coordinate 33,937,981, forward strand.
TCATGTATAAGTTTTTGTGTGGACATAAGTTTTTAACTCCTTTGGGTAAATACCAAGGCGCACAATTGCTAGAATGTGGTAAGAGCATGTTTAGTTTTGTAAGAAACTTCTAGACTGTCTTCTAGAGTTGCTGCACCATTTGCATTCTCACTAGCAAGAATGAGAGTTCCTGTCGCTCCATATCCTCACCAGCCTTGAACATCCCCTCTTTTTGGTCCCCTCCGATCCCTAACTGAAGGGCTGTCTGTCTCACATAACTTGACAGCCTTGGCTTTAGAGTGGACACCTGAACAATAGCGGAGCCAATCAGATTCTTCCTCAAGAAGAGGAACCAGGCCTGGGACTTAGTCTCATGTGGAGGACATTTGATGCACTGCCCAGATCTCCCTGAGGAATGAAGGGCATATTCCCCTAGCTGCTGAAAGTGCTGGGAAACAAGACACTCCCCAGCTGGATTAGTCCATTTTCACATTGCTATAAAGAATTACCTGAGGCTCGGTAATTTATAAAGAAAAGAGGTTTAACTGGCTCACAGTTCTGCATGCTATATAGGAAGCATGGCTGGGGAGGCCTCAGAAAACTTACAATCATGGCAGAAGGCGAAGGGAAAGCAGGCACATCTTACGTGGCCAGGGAAGGAGGAAGACAGCGAAGGCGGAGGTGCTACACACTTTTAAACAACCAGATCTCACAAGAGCTCACTCACTATCACAAGAACAGCAAGGGTGAAATCCACCCCCATGATCCAATCAACTCCCACCAGGCCTCTCCTCCAATACTGGGGGTTACGATTCCAAAAGAGATTTCAGTGGAGACACAAATCCAAACCATATCACCAGCTGTCAGTGCATCAAGGATGGCCTCAGCCAAAGAGAGCTGCTTTGCCCATGGCCGTGCTCTCTTTCCTGGGCAGCCCACATCCGAATGCAGAGGAGCGGTTAAAGGCTCAGTCCCCTCACTATCCCAGGTCCAGGGCTTTCCACGAGATCAGAGGACATTTTGGGGATGGCATCACACCTCAGCTTCCCCCTCTGTCCGCTCCTGCACCTTCCCTTTCCTCCCACAGGGGTTGAGCCTGGGAACACTCCCTAGTAAACATCCTCCACAAGCTCCATGTCAGCGTCTGCCCCTCAGGGAATCCAACCCGGGACACACGAGCTGGAAGGACCTGAGACAAGTGGGCTGAAATGGTCACTACCATCCATGAACAGAGAAGAGGCAGAGACCTGTAGTGCTGTGAGAGGAGCGAGAGGCAGGACCACATGGCCCCAGGAGAAGGAGCAGGATGAACAAGTGTCCACGCTGATTCTAGAATGTTTTCCAGTTCCTGAGTCAGCCCCTAGCACAGCCCTCAGGTTCCATGAGACACCCCTGATTCCTCACAATACCCTCCCTGTTTTGTTGAGCTAGCATAGATGGATTTTGGTTTCCTGCCATCAAACTATCCTCAAACAATAAATACTGCTACCCTGCATTTTAGGAATAAGAAAACTAAAGCCCAGAGGGGAAGGGCCTTCCCTAAGATCACATCAGGTTAGTGAGAGAGCCAGATTTTTATGTTTATTCATGTAACAAATAGCTCCTGAGGATCTACTGTGTGCCATGAATGGTGTCACTTGGGGCTGAGAACTGTGAGCAAAGTAGACATGACCCCTACGATCATCAAGTTCACCATCCAACAAAAGAGAAAGACAAGTCAACAGACGACTACAATATAGTGAGACAAGTGCTATGGCATTGCGTAGGAGGGCACCCATCCCAGGCTTGGATGCTCAAGGAAACTTCCCAGAGGAAGTGACATCTAAGCCAAGGCCTGCAGGGGAGCAGAGCCTTCCAGGAAGAGGGAACAGAATGTGAAAAGGCTCACAGTTGAAAGAAAATGGTGTATGGAATTCACACACTAGTTTTGTCTGTTCAACATCTTTTCATTAGGGGAAACCACAGTTTCCCTGGCCCTGTGTTGGTTCCGTGAGGTGGTGAATCACTGGGCCTATGTCCCTCATGGTAGGGTCAGGTCCATGACCCAGTCTAGCCCAATCAGAACCTCCCTCCAGAACCTGAATCTCTGAGGCAGACACACAGGGTGGAAGGTGGTAAGCACGGAGGCATCTCGTGGCTGTACCCTAGAGAGATTGCCAATGTTACTCAAGACTCCAGAGCTGCCCTGGTTCCTGTTGATCCTGAGACCCGTTGTCTAGCTTCTCCTTCTATTCTGTGACCTCCTTCAGTAACTCCTCAATAAGTCCCCTGTTCTTGTTTCACTTTTTCAGAGTCAACTTTCGGTGCTTGCAGCCGAATAACCGTGGGATTCATGCAAAACCCTTAGGGATATGTGAGCTACTCGGAATTGGTTTTCATAACTCCATGGGGGAAAATCAGTCGGACTCTGGTTCATATTAGTGGATAGGAAAGTGGTTGCCAATGGTACACAGTGGTGAACAACTAATCATGTTATACCCTCCGGTCACCTGGGACCATGTGCCAACCTAAAGTGAAAGACTATAGCAGCTGCCATGGACCAATTTATAAAGGATGATGAGTGCTGGGACCATAGGCTGGATGGTTGTCCCTAAGACTAGATAATTTAAAGCAAGAAAATGACAGGCTCAAGTCAAAATGTTTACCTCGAGGCACAGAATAGAATTCAGAGCCTTATATGACCATGCTGAAATAATCTTTTATTGCATGTAGCCATGGAGCTGAAATTGCTGAAGAATGAACTTAGACATTGATTCCGAAGCTACTGTGAACTACGGTGTCAGTGAATTCACAGCCTCACCAGGTGACTTCTGCGAAGTGGAGGGAATTGGCCAGGAAATATCAATATCCTATTGGAACAGTGATATCTGGGAGGATTATAGGGACTCAGGAGACCCTAAGCATCCAAGTACCTCAGTGCACCACCCTCGGGCTCCCTCATGACTCACTCTTCACTGTTTCTCCCAGAATATTCAGGACCCAGACTAAACATGATCCAGATGATAAAATTCAGAATCAGGATGGGAAATAGTTATACCCAGAAAGGATTGCAGAAATTCAGTAATTTATATTCCTAAGTTATGAGGAATATGTGTAGAAATGGATTTTGAGGGGGCATTTATCAAGGCGGGAGGGATATAAGCACAGGTTTGGCTGCATGTATTGGTATGGGTGCAGTCACCAGAAATTTTGCATTCAGGGTGTTCTCTCAGGCAGTTGGCAGAAGTTCTGACATTTTGCAGAAGTCACTAATGCAAACCTGGACCACATGATGGTCCACACTAATTGGCAAAAAGGGCCCAGAAAATGCTTGGCATGATTAGAGGAACAGAAGTCAAATAGCTAGAGAGAGGAATGCTGACTCGATCTCTCAATTCACATCCATTCCAGGAGCCTCTCCCTTCCTCCTTCCCTTGAGAATGCTCTCAGTGAAAAAGGGTAATAATATTGTCTTTTCATTATCAAAAAATTAATAGCATATTTCAGATTTACAAAAGATATAAAGAATAATGTAACAAACATCTACGAACCTCTTATCCAACTTAAGGTATGAAATGTGTTAGTTTGGGTCCTCCAGGATGCAGACACCAAGAAGGGATTAGAAAATTCCTGCAAAGGAAAATGGGGAGAAAGGCGGAGGCAGTAGGCAGAGCCCTCATGGCACCACAGGTCTGACCACTGGGAAGGACCAAAGGAAGGAAGGAAGGCTGGGTCAGGAGAGTTTCAGGTGGTTGGGCAGCTCTGAGAAAGTTTCCGCAAGGCTGATGGGAAGTCCTTGAGCCACAGTCACCTGTAAGAGGAGCCCCGCATCTCACAGGATTGGGCCTGCCTGGCATCCCTGTAGGGCACAGGTAGGCCTGGGCAGGTGGTGTTGGTACAAACACAGTGGAGGAGTCAGAGTGCAGCCGCTGGGGCCAGCAGTCAATTACATGCACCGCAAAAGGTGATGTGAGAGGCACATTGTCATGGCCATGCATAACCATTTATTGGTGGTCAGTGCCAATAAAACTCCATATCAACCCTTCCCAAATCTGTAAAATGGGCTCAGTTACCCACTCTCAATAGTTAGAAATTATAGCAGAAGTGCTGCTGTTACAATGGGATTTCTAATCTTAGAGTGGGTGGGAGGAGCTTTAGTGGCCTAGCCCAGGTTAAGTAACTATGTGAAAATAGTGGTCATGGCCATCCCCTAAAAAGGAGGCAGGGAATGGGTTCTAAGGGAATCACTCCGAAAGCAGTGATCCCTGGGTATGGGTAATTGATCAAGACATCCCTTGATCAGTGAAGGGATGAAATGAGCAAGTAGCCCATTGAGGTCTTGATTCTATAACCAAAATCTTCCAGGTTTGGTGAATGAAGGGCTTGCTTGAGTACCTGTAACTGAGATGGAATTCCCAGTCCAGGGTTGGTTCAGACCCAGAGCTTCTCAAATGCAGGGGCAGACAGGGCCTTTGAGCTAGAACCTGTTATAGCAGCACACACGGGACATGATAAATCTTCCGTGAGCTTCCTCCAAACACAGCTGCTGCCCTTTACCTGGGTTACTAAGTTGACATGGTTTGGATATTTGTCCTCTCCAAATCTCATGTTGAAATTTCATCCCCAATGTTGGAGGTAGGATCTCGGGAGAGGTGTTTGGGTCATGGAAGTGGACCCCTCATGAAGGTCTTGGTGCCGTCTTCATGGTGAGTGCTTTCTTACTCTATTAGTTCCCAAGAGAACTGATCGTTAAAAGAGCCTGGCACCTCTCTTCCCTCTCTCTGGCTTCCTGACCTGTGATCTCTGCAGCTGGCTCCCCTTTGCCTTCTGTCATACGCAGAAGCTTCCTGAAGCCCTAACCAGGAGCAGATGCTGGCGTCATGCTTCTTCTACAGCCTGTAGAATCATGAGACAAATAAACCTCTTTTCTTTATAAATTACCCAGCCTCGGGTATTCCTTTATAGCAACACAAATGAACTAAGACATGATCACAGGAGGAATGGGTGATTAGGGGATTATCTGAGCTAGCTCTAACTCCTGGGAACAGGAATGCCACTGTGGTCTCTAGGGCAGACTGGCACTTTGGGAGCTCAGGGATAACTGTTCCCACCTGAATCTTCCCTACAGTAGGTCAGTGGGACTTCAACCCCCTCCAGCAATGACTTCTCAAGTTCCTGAAAGGAAATAGAGGTCTTTATAGGAGAGAAAACCCACATCAGCTTCTTGATCAGAAGACTAAGGCCTTAGTGATAGGAAGGGCCAGGAGGAAGTCGCTTGAGCTCCTTCTACCCATGAATACAGTAAACCAAAAGCAACACTGCAACCCCAGGGGACTGCGAGGCTGAGTGTCACCACCCAACACCAGAAAGATGTAGTTGGGACAATACTGACGATATCTCCTTTCTATCCCAGATTGGCTAGTGTCAAAAATAGCCAGGTTTTAGCAAACAGCAGTGGCATGTTGTACACTTAATTGGGTGGCCACTCCATTTGCAGTTGCTGTTCCAGATGTGGGCTCCTTGGTAGAGCAAATTAATTCAGCCCTGTGCTTGGCATTCAGTTGCTGATCTGGAAAATGGAATGTACTCCACCTGACAAACAGAAAACACTTGAAGCAGTTTGCTTGCCCCTGGCAGAGAGAGGAACAGAATGGTACAGCTCTGCCTCAGGAAATTCTGGCTTTCTGGTTCTTCCCACAGCCTGGACCAGCTCCTCATCCCAACGGGCATCATCCTGCCAATGGGCCCGTACTTTGTATTGATCGCACAACACTAATAGTGTCCAACTGGAAGGAAGTCACAGGTGTCCTCGATGTCTTGTTAAGATGCACATGTGACAGAGACTGGGCTGTGACTCAGGCCCTGGCACCTCAGAGAGGATCCTGCAGGTGCAGTGGTCTGAGACATGTTGGAAAGTTCTCTTCAAATGAAGAACTTAAAAGGAGGCACAATGCTCCATGACTTCTTTGGATTTTGAAGGCAGCCTTAAGATCAATTCTTTTTACCAACTTAAAAGGGGTTTCTAAACAACCTGAAAACATCCAGCTTTGAGTGGGGCCCCAAGCAAAGCCAGGCTCTACAGGGGGTCTCAGCTGTGGCCCAGGACCCTTTGTCCTCAGCCTTTCCTAGTGGTGGTGTTTAATGTCCAGGGTGGGGCACAATGCTGTTTGGAGTTCACCAGAGACAAGCCCCCAGTCGCAAATTCCCAGTGGAGTCTCTGGAGCTTCTGAATGAGTAACTCTTCTTTGAGGAAACGGGTCTCACCATGGGCTGTAGGGAGACTGAATGCCTGACCCTGAGTCACGAAGCAGCCGACAGTCTGAGATGTCCATCATGAATCAGATGCCATCATCGATCCGAAGCCCTGCATGGGAAGTGCCCAGCAGCCCTCTGCCATCAGTAACCTTGCCTGTTGCCCTGTGTCGGGGCCCCTTCTTTCTGATCCACATGGGTGTTACCCTCAATACTGGAGCAGAGACCGGCATTGTCAGGAAGGAATATTTCAATTGCAAGTAACAGAAAATACTGCCTTAAACAGTAGACAGGATGTATTGGCTGGCATGTTTTTGTTGTTGTTGTTGTTGTTTTTAATGCAAAGTTAAACTGCTTCAGGTGAGGCTGGCTCCAGCAACCCAGTGGTGTCACTGGAGACCCTACTCCCATCTATCTTCTCTGTCTTCCATGGCGTCAGCATTATCCTAACACTGCCCGCTCCGCCCGCTGATGGCTGTCAGCATTCGTGGAGCTACAGGCATATGCTCCCTCCTTCCAGTCCAGCGGCAGCGAGCACAGCTCTGCCGGTAAAGCTCCGAAAAACAAAGGGGCTCCTTTCCCCCGGAGTCCCCCAACACCAATTTCCTTGTGTCTCATTGGCTTGAATGGGTCCTGTCCCCAATTTGGACCAAATCCTGTGACTGAGGAGCTTCCTTGATTGGCTGCAAATACCCAGGCCCCGCTCCTGGGCTGAGGAGAGCCAATCCTATCCAAACAGTGTGACCAAGAATGGGGGAGGAGCTTCACTGCCGTAAAGTGGGGGCCGGGACGCTGGGCCTCCAGAACCGCAGGCTTCACACAGGGGGAAGGGGCGCTGAGGGGAATCAGATTTGCCCCTCCCCACAAACTTACAGAATAATAGTCCCATATCTCAGCTTGAATCTTATAAACGCTCAGAGTCCAACCACATTCACGGGATTGTTCCCTCTTTAGGGCCTCTGTGAGGGATGAGGAGGGGAAGGGAGCCGTGGCCCGCCCGTGCAGGGCAGTGGGGAAACCCAAGTGCTTCACCCCCAGCTCTGTTTCTCCTGGATTCCCAGAGCAGATACCCTTCCCAACCGTAGGGATCGGCTTGCCCACACCCCCGGTCTGGTGGGCACCAGGGTGGACAGATGTCTATTCCTCCTAACAGGGCTGGGAAGGAGTCCTCCGGTCCTGGGAAAACACAGACCCTTCCTCAGGCTCCCCGGTTGACGACTTTTCACCCTATTGGCTTTCGAAAAGTTACACCACTTTTCTGACAATTCCCCCTCCCACCTTCTTTTTCATTATAAAAACATTTTCACCCCAAAACCCACGAATTAAATAAATTTATCTCTTGGTATCCACAAGGGATTGGTTCCAGGACCCCTGAGGATTCCAGACTCCAAGGATACCCAAGTCTCTGATATAAAATGGCATATGGCAGGGCGAGGTGACTCATGCCTGTAATCCCAGCACTTTTGGAGGCCAAGGCGGGTGGATCACCTGAGGTCAGGAGTTCAAGACCAGCCTGGGCAACATGGCGAAACCCCATCTCTACTGAAAATACAAAAATTAGCCGGGTGTGGTGGTGGGCGCCTGTAATCCCAGCTACTTGGGAGGCTGAGGCACAAGAATCCCTTGAATCTGGGAGGCAGAGGTTGCAGTGAGCCAAGATGCCACCATTGCACTCCAACCTGGGCAATAGAGCAAGACTCAGTCTCAAAAAAATAAAAAATAAAAATAAAATGGCATAGTATTCGCACATAACCTATGCACATCCTCCCGTATGCTTTAATTCGTCCCTAGATTACTTATAATACCTAATACAATTGTTGTTATATGTGTTACGTAGGAAATAATGGCAGGGGAAAAAAGACTGCACATGGTCAGTACAGACACAAGCATCCAAGCCTCACTGCACCTTCAATGGGCAATTGGCAAACCGCAGATGGATGCAGGGCCTGCGGGTGAGGAATCTGCAGGTGCATATTTCAATTGCAAGTAACAGAAAATACTGCCTTAAACAGTAGAGAGGATTTATTGGCTCACATGATTTTTAAAAATACAAAGTTAAACTGCTCCCAGTGAGGCTGGTTTCACCTGGAGGCTGGCATGACACTTCCAGAGAAAAGTCCTAATTGCCACTTGTTTAGTGCGCTCTACGGTGTCTCGGCAGAGGTTAACACACGGAATACATCTGAATTGCGTTCCAAGTTTGGACAGGCCAAACTGCCTTGCTTTATCAGGCACCGAGCCGGAGATGCGAGCAGTGACTTCCAGGGCTCCTCAGGCTGCTGCCTGCACGGCCATTTCCACCTGTTTGGTGGAAGTGCTCTCTGTTAAGCCTTGGTTTTGCCCTGGAGTTACGCTTCTCTGTTCTCTGTTTTTCAATGCAAGATAACCATGACCCCCAACAGCTCCTGCCTGAAAGCAGATCCTCAGAGACACTGAACCCTTTCCCCTCCTATCTTGACATCAGGCACCACCCACTCCTTTCCCAAGAAAGAGAAACCCTCATCACATTACATTTTAGTTACAAACTGTGGTGCTTAATCTCATATTGCTACTTATTACTTATATAAACTTGTTTTCCATGTTCAGTTGCTGTTTTTCTATCTGTGAGAAATTAGATGCCTTGACATTAGTTAGCAACCACAGTAATTTTTTCTCTAAAATTAATGAAAATATGTCTTCATTTAATGGCTTTTCATTTAGGGGCAGGGTTTTTAGAAATCAGTAGAAGTCCTTGAATGAGGGATGAGTATCCTCATCCTGGACTTCCTGAGCTTTACCTCTGCCTGCACCTGAAGCTTGTGACCAAGGGCTTTGAGTTTGCTGAGGCCTCTTGGGAAGGCCAGAGCCGTTCCCAGTGGGGCCCAACAAGGCAGGGTGAGGCAAGCTCTCTGGACCCATCTACTCTCAGGAGGTCCCCAAGATGACAGCTGGATTGGCATCACTCTCTGCAGGAGACAGGACTCACGGCCTCTCTTGCTCAGAGGCAGCCATGCACCAGGCTTTTCCCATGTTCCCAGCCTCCCCTGTTGGGGCGTTCTGCACAGTTCCTCCAGATCACAGCACCCTGCCTGCCTCAGGATGACAGAGTCCATCCCAAACCAGCATGCTTTTAGGATGAGGCCCTGGCAGCTGGGCTGTGAGTGGACGGAGAGAGGGCAGGCCTGCAGGTTGGGAGAGACTGTGAGGGCGCTCACACTGAATTACAGCAGCCCAAGGTGGCAGGAAGTGAAGGACACAGAACTGTAAGGGGTGTCCCTGAGGGGACTGGGCTGGGAGGAGAGGGCAGTGGGCTACAGGGGTGGGGCAGATGAGTTTGGTTTTGGATGTGGCACGTGGGCTGTGTGTGGGCTCTCCCAGCAGACATGTCCAGCGGGTAGCTGAGCATAGCACATAGCTGCAGGGTCCAGAGGGAGGTCTGGGCAGAGACAGAGGAGGCCGGGAGCTGGGGGGAAGCCAGCAAGGGTAATGGAGCCGACAGCGCAGGGCTCACTGGAGAGGGCAGGCCTATTCTCTGCATTTTCATGCACTCCTTTCACTAGCTTCTTCCTTTGGGGTTTCAATGTGTCTCCATCTCAGAGTTTCTTTTACTTAAATCCAAATATCCGCAGAGGGGTGACATTCTAAGCTTTCGTATTAATCAAATTTTACAGAACTATACTCAAATTAAACAAAGAAAAATAAAACGATGGGGGTGGATGTATTGGCCCAGGTCAATACAAAGTTTGGAGCTCCAGATACGGCTGGGTCCCGCTGCTCAAGCCTTGTCAACAGGACTGTTCCGACTCCTCTGTGAGCTGGCTTCACATATGGGGGCAGGGATGGCCCCTGGCAACCCCAGGTGTTCACTCTACTAGCTAGAAAACTCTCACAGAAAGAGGGCACCTCTCCAAAACCCTGACATTAATGAATTTGTGAGGCTGGGGCCAGGAGTCCACCTGGAGCCAGGAGTGAGATCAGCCCTGCTCAATCCACGTGGTCTCAGAAGAGTAGGGAGATCCCCCAGTCAAAAGCCGGGAACTGTGACCTGAGGTGAGGTCTGGGATGGAGGCCATCGTGGGGCCACTAAGAAAAAAAGGGCCTAGCTTGCTGAGGGCTGCACAGGGCAGAGCTGTGGTGCCATCCCTGGGAGACTTTACCTGGACTTTTACATGAGAGAGAAATCCAGTTTCATCTTGTTTAACTCATTCAGAGTTCACACCTGTTGCTCCCAGTCCAGCCTAATCCTATTGAACTCAAGCTCTGTGGGGGCACAATAAGAAGGGTCTGGGGGCAATGGGGCACTGGGGCTTTTCTGAGAAGGGGGTATTGGAGCTCCAAAGCCTGAGGCCAGCCCTAAGGGACACAGCTTCCCCCACCTTCTTACCTCCCCCTCACACCTGCACACAGACCACTCCATCAGGATCCTGTATCTGGAGGGGACCCCAGAGAGCATCACTCGCTCCCTTGGCAAACAGGTACTGTGCACCTGCTCCACACAGGCCTTGCGGACATGAGGCTAATGAGACATGGCCCCTCAGAAGTTCCATGTAGAGGGGACGATGAGAGGCAGGGAGAGCTGCAGTGTGCAGGGTGTGAAGGAAAGTCAGAGAACTGGGTCCTGGAGGCCAAGCGGGATTTGCCAGATAGGAGAGAGTGTTCTAGACGGGGGAAAGGCAAAGATGAGTATGGGAGAGCGGCACGTTCAGGGAACAGCAAGGAATTCCCCGTGACTGGAGTGTGGGGGGCCTGGTGCAGGAAGACGGGGAGCAGGGCCAGGCCCCCAGGGTCTTGCATGCCTACAGATGATGCTCAGCTTCCAATGGAGGCCACTGGGGGATTCTGCAGGTGGGAGGCTATGAGGTCAGATTTAGGATCCCAGCTTGACAGACAAGGAAACAGGAGTTTAAAGTCAGGAAGCCTGGGGCCTGGCCCCTCATTTGTCAGAGGTTCTCAGTACACCAGCCGGCTGGCCCCACGCTGCTCTCTGGGTGGGTGCCTCTCAGAGAGATGCCCCTCAACCTCTCCTCTGTTCTTCCTCCCAGGTGCCTGCCTCAGCCTCTACGCAGATGTGCAGTAATGTTCCCACTTTGCTGGAGCTACAGGAGGTCACCAGAGGAGCTAGAGCCGAGAAAGGGAGACGGTGGCCTCCTGGGGGCAGTCCCATTTTGGGGAAAGGCCTCACCCAGGGGTCAGTGTTGGTTCCCAACCTGCTTGGGTGCCAGGGTAACATGGGTGAGCTGTGGAACCTGCTCTGTCAGCTCCTCTGTGGTGTTAGACCCCAGGACTTTGGCTTGGGACTTGGGAATAAATAAAGCTCAGTCCCTGCCCCCAGGGAGCTTACCACCAGGAGGACAAGTCAGGTCTGCAGACAATTATGATGCAGAAGGAGCTTGGTGGCCATAGCCATTTCTTGGTACAAATATATAGTCACATTGATGAGTAAACCCTCCTGTCGGAATCTGAAAGCCCTCATCTGCTCATGGAGTCCCTCAGCTTCTCACAATCCCTTCACCATCTGGCCCTTGCCTCTCATCAGGTCCAAACCCAATCTAACAGCTGAACAGGAAACAGACCCCATCCTGTATCCACTACTGTCCCACCCACTGTCTTCACTGACCCCTCCCCACAAAGAAAAACCAAATAGGGCCTTGCAGGATGAATGGGAAACATTTGGGTGGGCAGGAGGCAGCACGGGAGCAGCCAGGGGTGGGGTGGCAAAGGCCCGGCTGTGGCTGGAGCTCAGGTGTGTGTTACAGGAGGTGATGGGAACACTGGGAACAGTGGAGAGTTGGTGGAGAGGCGGAGCCCACTCAGCTGTGGCAGGGACTTCAATGTAGTCTGAGATGCTAGTGATGGGGAGCCACTGGCTATTCTTCAGGACAAGGGGCCTGGGCCCTCCTACCAGCACCCAGCAGGCCAGAGCTTCCCGCCGCAGCCCCTCGAACCCGAGGCCATACCTGCAGCTCCAACCCTGCCTGTTGCAAGCTCTCCTGGCTGCCCTGTCTCCAAGCCCAGCAACAGCTCCTCCAGTAACTGCCAGAGTGTGGGTGTGTCAGAGCCTTCTGGGGGTGGTTCTTCACCTACAGACAGAGTCAGGGAGCTTCAGGTGCCTTCGCAGATGGAGTGGGCACTATGCAATATGTTAGGACTCTTCTCGAGGGTGTAGGTTTGCACGGACAACAGAACCTCCCCTCACTCCCTTCCCTGCATCCCAAAAAGAGAGTCCTTGTCCCTCTGGCCCCCACAGCACCCTGTAGAGGCCTCTGTCATTGTCCTCTAGGGTCTGGGTCCCCTGATAAACTGCAGTTTCCTCAGCACCAGGCACATAGTAGGTGCTCAAGAAACGCCTATTAAGTGAGTGAGTGAGTGTGGTCAGGACGGCACAGGAGGTGAGTCTGTGGGTCTGTATGCCTGTGTGTGAGTGTGTGTGTGTGTGTGTGTGTGTGTGTGTGTGCAATGCCTGTCATAGCCTGGCCTGCATCTTACCTCACCCAGGGAAGTTCCTGGCAGGGCCAGGAGGAGGGGCTGGGTTTTCTTTCCTGCTCATTTGCATGACAGGTGTTGGCAGTTTATCTAACTGTGATAATGAAGAGGATGGGGGGTGCTAATTCCTTCTTGCTTTATTGAATCCACCAATTCTTCACAGCCTCAGGGCCCTGAGAGGGGGTGATTAAAAGACACTTCAGCATGCTGGTTATTGCCAATTAACAGACTCCAATATAAACAATTAATAAAGCCACAGTGGGAGGTGAGAGGGAGGGATTCAACCCCCTTGCCTCCACGAGTTCAAGCAGTTCCAGGGCCCCTGGGCCCAGCCACACCCAGATGGCCCTGCCCTGGAGGCTGGTGGTTAGGGCTGATGAATGCCTGAGAGGTGATATGAAGATGCCAGGGAGGAGAGTGCTGGTGAGGGCCACTTGGCCTCAGACTGGGGGAGGTGGGGGCTGCAAGCCCACCCCTGCCGAGTCGCCAATGAGGACACACCCAGGGGAGGGCAGGAACTTGCCCAAGGCCCCTGGGCCGACCAAGACAGTGCTCTTTGGACCATGTGTTCCATGCCCCTTGGGCCGGGCAGTGGCCCACCCTGATGGGTCTCCTCACCCGTCTAAGGTAAGGAGCTATCTCCAGTCACTGGCCTCTTAGGATGAGCCATGTGACTCCATTTCCCTTGCCAGGTTGCCCTCCTCACCTGCCGTGGTCCCTGTAACTTGACTTCTCATGCAGGAGAGGGGCCCACCTGCCTGGGGGCAGCATTGCCTGTTAAGGGCAAGTCTCAGGGGTTGCAGCATGAGCTACCGAAAGGCACCGCTCTGAGCCACTGGGGCCACTCATGGCACAAGCCAATCTCATGAAATCCTCAAACCCTCAGACCGACCTCAGCGGGAAGCAGGATTACAGGTGGGAAAACACTCATGCCTCAAGGGTCTAAGGAACTCACTTCCACAACCCAAGTCACTCTTAGGAGCAGGTGGTGCAGGTGCCACGGGCCGCACGTGCTCTGGGCCAGGCGCCCCCAAGCTTGTGCTACAAAGGGCCGAATAGCACGTGACTGAGCTCTGCCAACCACACCGCCTGCATCACAGCCGCCTAATCTGCGCATGCAGGGCGAATGCAGCCAGAGACAATACGTAACAAATGTGCGGCTGTGTCCCAAGAAAACTTTATTTATGGATGCCGAAATTTGAAATTCATATAATTTCACGTCACAAAATATTATTCTTATCTTGATTCATTTTCACCCATTTAAAGATGTAAACCCATTCTTAGCTCTCAGACCATATAAAAATACGTAGTGGCCCCGATTTGACCCATGGGCCATAGTTTGCCAATCTCTGATCTAGGCCTTAGCACTTTGGGATGTCTTGGGCATTCTAAAGGGAACTTCCTTGGGATATGACTCCTCAGGGGAGGGAGGACTGGGAGCTGAACTCCGTCCAGCTCAAAAAATGGGGGTGCCAGACCCTGTTCCACCAGAGAACCAAATGGCCACAAAGCATGGCCCATAAGGGACAGAGAGCCAGGCTGAGGGGCAGGTGTGGGTGGGTGCGAGCAGAGAGACAGACAAGGGGGGACCACTGGCTGCCCCACGACCCACTTGTGTTGGGGCAGGACAAGGACGACCACCCAAAATGGTGCTGAGCCTCAGCACCTGGACCTGGGACAGTTTCCTGCTCTTATATGGGACCATGGACATGTCTGATATTCTGGAACTTCAAAGCAAATCAAAGAGAAGGGACTCAGAGGGAGCTCAGAAATTGTCTTTCTCTCCTCACCCCTATTCACCTCTTTCATTCAATCAACAAACATTTTTTGAGAATCTGCTAAAGGCGGCTTATTTTTCAGTTTGAGACAAAGCCTCCTGGTCTTGCAGCTGCCTTTGGAAATGCTCCTGGAGGAAAAAGGTTGTGTTTGGGGTTGCCAAGGACATTCTCGAGTCACCCAGGAAGTGAGAGTAACTAGAGGACATCCCAGGTCCACAGAGCAGATAAGTAAATTTCTTGAGGGAATTCCTGTGTTTTTGCAAAGAAAGTCATGTAGCGAAGCCAATACTGTGTTCGAGGCAGCAGGAAGGTTTCCTGGAAGCCTTGGTGTAAAAGACAATAATGACAGATGTGAAAGAGTGCAGTGGCTTTGAAAAGTCAGGAAGTGAGCTTGCCATCTGGTCCCTGTTGGGTGCTCCATAGCTGTCCCTCCTCCTGCCTCAGCTTCCACAGGGCACCTCTCAGGCTGGGGGCAGGTAGCGGAACCAGAGCTCCATTGTCACAGCAGGGACCAGCTGCCCAGAGCCAGCCGCTGGTCCAGGGTTGGAGCAGGACACGTGCCTCTCCTTTCCTCATCCTGCACCTTCGACCCATCAGAAATCCTGCTGGCTCTATCTTTAAAATGTGTCTCATTGTGGTTTTGATGTGCATTTTCCCCATGATTGGTGATGTTGAGCATGATTTCATATACCCGTTGGTCATTTGGATGTCTTCTTTTAAGAAATGTCTATTCAGGTCTTTTGCCTATCAAAACCACAAAGAGATATTACCTTACTCCTGTGAGAACGGCTATTATCAAAAAGACAAAAGATAACAAGTGTTGGCAAGGATGTGGAGAAAAGGAAACCCTAGCACACTGTTGGTGGAAATGTAAATTAGAACAGCCATTATGGAAAGCAGTATGGAGGTTCCTCAACGTATTAAAAATAGAACTACCATATGATCCAGCAATCTCACTACTGGGAACGTACCCAGAGGAAATAAAATCAGCATGCTGAAAAAATATCTGCACTCAAATATTTATTGCAGCACTATTCACAATAGCCAAGACATGGAATCAAACTAAATGTCCTTCATCAGATGAACTGATACAGAAAATTGGTACATACACACTGTGGAGTACTATTCAGCCATAAAAAAGAAGGAAATCTTGTCATTGTGACAGCATGGATGAACCTGGAGAACACTATGTTAAGTGGAATAAACCAGGCACAGAAAGACACGTGATTCTCATGTGTGGAATCTAAAAAGTCATTCTCATAGACATAGAAAGTGGAGTTTGGTTACCAGAGGCTGGGGTGACCTGGGGGAGAGGGAATGGGAGGAGGCTGATCAAAGGATATATAATTACCGTTAGATAAGAGGGGGGAACGTCCAGAATCGGGCAAACGTACAAAGACAGAAAGTATTCAATGATCAGTGATTGCCTGCGGCCAGAGGATGTGAGGGAGAGGAAAGGTTTCAGGGTTGGGGTGGGGAGTAGAAATTGGGAATGACCGCTGATGGTTGTGGGGTTTCTTTCTGATGAAAATGCCCTAAATTTGATTGTGGTGATGCTTGCACTCTGCAAACATACTAAAAACCATTGGATTATACACTTTAAATGGGTGAATTGTAGGCTATGTGATTTATATCTCAATAAAGCCATTTTTTAAAAAGTTCCTCGAATCTGGCTGGGCACGGTGGCTCACGCCTGTAATCCCAGCACTTTAGGAGGCCAAGGTGGGTGGATCACGAGGTCAGGAGATCAAGACCATCCTGACCAACATGTTGAAACCCCATCTCTACCAAAACACACAAAAAAATTAGCCAGGCGTGGTGGTGCGTGCCTATAGTCCCAGCTACTCAGGAGGCTGAGGCAGGGGAATCACTTGAACCTGGGAGGCGGAGGTTGCAGTGAGCTGAGATCGTGCCACCGCACTCCAGCCTGGGGACAGAGCAAGATTCCATCTCAAAAAAAAAAGTGCCCAAAATCTGACCACTTTGCTGCACTGCTGCCATCCTAGCTGGGGCCTGGAGGACAGCAATCACCCCTCACTGGTCCCCTGCCTCCGCCTTTGCCCCACAGGCTGTCCTCTAGGGAGGGACCCTCTGAGATCATCAATCAGACCACATCCCTGCTCTGGTCTCCATGGTCCCAAGGCTGTCATTCCTAGCCTGAATCCACAATTTTAGCATGGCCAGACATTCTGTAAACTCCCAGCCACCACCCTCTCCCCATTCACACGTGCCTGCCATGCTGGCCTCCTCACCTCCCTCCACTGGTTACTCCTCCCCCAGCGCCATGGCCTCCCTCTCTCACTTCCTGTTCAGGGACTGGCCCCTTCCCTGCCCTCCTCTTCCTTTGTCTTCCCCACATCTACACCCCTTGGAGCAGTGGTAGTACCTGGGGTCTGTGGATCCCCTACAGATCCCTGGATAGAATTCCGGGGGCCTGGGAATGTGGACAGGGAAGAATCACATCATTATTTTCACTCCTCTTTATTTGAACGTAGCACCTGTTTCCATTGCATGCATTAGCAACAAACCACAGAGGTGGTCCCAGAATCTGGGACTTTGTCACCCATAGAAAGTGCAGATCGTTTCAATGATATTATAATTGCAGCAGAAAACTTGAAGTCTCACTCATGCTCAACCCTACTTTGAGATGATGTGGTTTTAGATAGCCCCACTACGCAATTTCATTCTTTTAGTGCATTAATAAAGAAGCACATATATTGCTCCAGTACCATTTTTTCCTAATATTTTGATAGCTGTATTTTAATATAATTGGTTTCCTTTGAATCTTAGCTATTTTATTTTGCGGACTTAAAAATGCTATTCTGAGAAGGGGTCCATAGGCTTCCCCGGACACCAGAGGGGAAGAGCCCATGGCAGAGCAACAGGGAGGGTTCCCTGTCTGCAATTATACTGTGTGCAGAGAGGGCCCAACGCAAAGTTGGAGCTCAATCAATGGCAGTGGAAGGAAGGGAAGGTGAAGGAAGCAGGAGGGACTCAGCACAGAACAGACTCAGCTCATCAGTGAGGGCAGAGCCTGTGTCCATCTGCCCTGAGTTTGAACCTGGCTCCATCACATCTTCAATGTGGAGCTTTGGGTGCCTTCTATAACCTCCCAGAGCCGCAGTTTCCTCATCTGCAAGATGGGACACAATCACATCTGCTTCATATGGTTGTTGTGAATATAAAACAGTATGCTTGGTTCATGGCCTGGGACACAGTGAGTGCGCAATAAACTCTACAGATTTGGTCAGAGTGCTGGGCTTTTGTCCATGGCTCTGGCCCCTCAGCCAGGAAGGCAAAGGCGCCCCCGCACAGCTCTCCCTCTACATATGTCTGCGAATGCTAGGGCAACAGGGCCCCCACTGGCTCTGGGCAGGCCGGCCAGGGCTGGACCACAGGAAGGGGCTGCAAATGGGGAGGGAAGCACTGTCCGTCCAGGCTGGGCTGGGGGACACACCTGCATGGACATTCTTTTCTGGGGGGCAGAGGTGGGATTCTAATCATACTCCTGGGAGGAGATGCTTCCAAGACCTTACCTTGTGAGTCCGGAAGCATTTGTGGGGATGGCAATGCCAGGAAGGCCTCTGGGATGATTCGTTAGGAAGGGACCTGAGGGTCTGGGGCAAACCTGGCTCCACTGGCCAAGTTCTGGCCTGCTGCCTGAGTTTCCCTGTTTCTTCACTGAGACCCCATCCCAGGGGGTAGCTTCCTTGCCCTTCCTGCTTGGGGAGTCCTAGGTTGGCCTCTCCGTTCCCCTGGGCACCTTTTGCCCCAGACCCAGCTTGCCAACCTTTTGCCCATCACAGCTAACTCAGAAAATAGAGGACAACCACACGAGAGGCCACCAGCCTTGCCGGCACCCCAGGGCGAAGGACGCGCCTCTTGGCAGCCTCCTTGTCCCAGCACAGGGGGCATGCTCCTGCCTCTGGGCCCTGGCCGGGAATGCTCTACACCCAAATGCCCACAGGGCTTGTCGCCGCCACGTCCTCTCATGTGGGCACAACTTCCAGCCTTCTCCACGTCCCGCCAGGGGGCTGGGGTGGTGGAATGACTTTGGAGCCTGTTTCCTCATCTGTAAATAGGACAGTAGCTCGGCTTCCTGGGGCTGGCTGTGAGGACAAGGGTGCTATCCATGCAGGTACACTGAGACTGGGGCCCTGTGAGGGCCGGTGGCCCTGCCCAGCTCTGCCTGGGCTTCCTGCCTGTTGTTCTGGGGTGGGATCTCCAGCCAGTCAGGGGCCTACCCTCCTGCCTTGCAGCCTCCCAAGCACACCAATGCCCAGCAGCTCATTGGCCCCTCCCACTGTCCTGTTATACCACCTATTTTACAGACAGAGAATCCAAGGCTCCGAGAGGTGAGGTGACATGGCACCCAGGTCTTCTTACTGTGTGTCAGGCTGCATTCCTTCCTGTTGGACCGAGTCATATGACACAGTGTCTGCTTAAACCAACCTGTGGCGGTCCTGAGGTTCTATTGCTTGAGGTTCTATTGAGGTTCTATTGGGGCCAAATTTCTATGCCCAGTGTGATCAGGCTGTGTGAATTTGGGGGCTCTGTGGGGATACCAGCCTTCATTTATTGAGCCTCTACCATGTGCCAAGCATGTGACTCTGTGACTGGTTAATCCCCACAAGTCAAGGAGCAGGCAAGGTTGTCCCATTTTGAGACGGAGAAACTGAGCCTAAGGGACAGCGCCAGGCGTGCAGGATGTGGGTCTGTGCGCCACAGCACCGCCCGGGAGAAGGGGAGCAGGGATGAAGAGGAGGCGTAGACTCCATCCCCCAAAAAAAAAAAAAGTAAAGGGAGTGCTGTCTTGAAGAAACTGCAAGTGTGTAGAGTCTGGGGACTCTGGAGGGAGATGAGGGCGGGTGCTGATTCAGGAGACAGAGCTTTAGCCAGGAAAGCAAGCTGGCAGCCACTTGGGAACCACCAGTAAGCCAAAGCACTGGCTAAAAAAATGTTGGTTGAGGAAGAAGGAAGCTGACAGCCTGGAACTCAGGTGGCTTCAGTGTGCAGACCTGCACCTCTGAGCCCAGCCAGGGTGAGGAAGGGGCTCCTAGGGACACAGGGTTCATACTAGGCCACTGCTCCCCCAACCCTCCCCGACTTACATGGGCCCCCACTGGAGTCCAGAGAAAGGACTCAGCAAAAATTGGATGCAGTGGGTCCAGGGGTGTCACCGCCCAGGCCTGAGCCTCTTCAGGCTGTTTACCAGGGGTTAGGTAGCTGGGGAAGCACCAGGCAAGAGGGCATCTTATTGCCTTTGGTGGCTGTGTGTTTGTATGTGCTTATGCACGTGTGTGCACACGTGCATTGTGTATGCGTGTGCATATGATGCATGTGAATATTCACTTGCACATACATGTGTGTGTGAGTGTGTGTGTGTGAGTGTGTGTGCCTGTGCAAAAGAGCTCTGCAGGGAGAGACCGAGTACTGGGAGGGCAGATTCCCACCGCTCCCATCATCCCCCACTGAAGTTGGCTGGATGAGGAGGAGTACAAGGAACGGAAGGCCTGGGGATTCTTCTTCTCCCAAAGGTGCCACCACCAGCAGGGGAGGAAGGGAGGAGGAAACAGCACCTTATTTAAATGCAAATGATTGCAATACAACTTTCTTTATTAAAATGCAAATTGCACTTCAGTCTCTGACACCTCCTGAGTGCCATAGCCACAGAACACAACCAGGAATGAAAGCCGGAGGACCCCGCGCCTAGGATGGTGAGAGGCCCCATCTGCTGGGTGTACAAAGAAATGGGGAAGAGGGGGGTGGGCCCCAGGTGGGCTTGGGATGCTGAGCCAGGTGCTTATCCTCCCTCCGGGGCTGCTGGGAGACATAAGCGGCGGCCACCGATGCAGGAAATTCTGGCAGGAGGTCCAGACTGTCACCCCATGGGGGACCAGGCTAGAGCTTCACGGGTCGTCGCCTGTGGGCACTCTGCCTGGCTGGGTCAGCACTCTGTGCACTTTCCTAATGAGCCTGGGGTCTGGTTGCCAACATCATTAAACCAGTTGCCACTTGGTGGGTCAGAACCTGGCAGAGCACTGGGGTTGACCTACAGTGGCCCCCAGCCCGGAGATCAGGCCCCAAGGCAGGCTTTTCTTCCTCAGCCACTCTTCCTGCTAGGGCCTTGGGAGCAGGGCTGCCAGGCTGCCAGGTGCAGCAGTGCAGGTCATGACAGGGAGCAGGGGAAACAGGCAGGCCCATGCCCCTCTCCCCAAGCTCCGTGACCTGGCATGAGGCCAAGTCCTCAGGGAAGAAGGGTATCTTTCCTCACACAGAGGCACCCCTGACTTATGCGTTCTTCTAATTCATCAGCCTGCAGAGGGCGCCTTTTCCTAATTTGCACACAGACACTGTTGGAGGGGCGCCCAGACCCCCTGCTCTTCCTTCTGCCCCACTCCTCTGTCTCAGACCTGACCTCCCCTCCTTGCTCATTGGTCCCCTGGGGTTTCCACACTGTTCCCTCCACCCTTTCCTTTTTCCCTGTCTTCCAACCATTGTCCCACCCTCTCTGCCCCCCTTCCTCTGTGGATCCCTCTGGCTTGTCCCCTAGAATCAGCTGGCACTGGGTCCTTACCTAGTAGGGTTGGAGGCAGGTACAGGCAGCCGAGGAAGGGTGAGCCAGGCCCTTGCTAGCTCAAGGTGGCACTGGCACGTGTAGGGAGCTTGGGGCGTGGGGGAAGGTCCCGGCTCCTTCCATCTGCCAAGCTCCTAATATAGGCAGCAGCAGAGAGGGAGCGGGGAAGCAGGAGGTAACTTGGAGCTGGAGGTGACAGGCCTGCTTCCTCCATATAAATAGTCCCGTCTGTCGCCCCGGGGGCGGTGGCTTCCTGGGGCACTTCTGATGTCATCGGCTTCCCAGGAGAGCTTTGCTGGTACCTGTGGGGACCTGGGATGCAGGCTGAAGTGTGGGGGTGAGGGGTGAGGGGGGCTACCTTGATGTGTCTGAGGTCTCAACACTCCCCAGGCAGTTCTGGCCTCTCCCACTCGTCTTGCCATGGGACACACAGATGCCCACTCCCCAGGCTGTGCAGGCCTGGGCTTGAGCCCCACTGAGGCACCTAGAAGGGGACCCTTCTTGGACATCATCCACAAATTGCTCCGCTGGCCCAGGGGCTGTCTGAGCTATGGGGGGGCCTCCCCAAGGGACCATAAGGAGATGGGAGCCTCATTTAGCTTCCCCACTCTGTGAGATGGGCTGTGGAAGGAGCCACAGAGAGGGTTCTGGAGACAGACACAATGGCTCCTGGCTCTGGCCACCTGGACATTCCTCGGCCTGGCCCTACCTGGATGCTCAGACCTGGCTCATCCCCTGCAGGAGGAGAGCACAGAGCTTTCCCTCATGCCCCACGTCAGGTTCCCAGCTCCTGTCTGGTATTCCTGAGGATGGGTGTGGGCTTGTTCCCACTATGCTACCCTGTCAGGAAGGTGGAGAATGCAGAGCTGCCCCTGGCTGGCGCTGTGCCTTCCCCAGCACAGGGAAGCTCCCTGAGGACCAGGTGGCCCATCAGACAGGACATTCTCAAGGGCTCTGCCTCCTCCTCAGCCTGGAGCTCCTGGAGCGGCCTCGGGTTCCATCCCTCCTCCCTCCCAGCATGGAGAAGACTTGGCCTGCTGGTGATGCCCCTGCAGGATTCTGTGAGGGAAGCTGCTGGGGGTTCACCCAGTCCCTGACTAATAACAGGTATGGTGAGGTTAGACCAGGTTGCCTGGCTGCATAGCAGACTCGGGAGTGCCTTGCAGTGGGAGAAAGGCACTGGGCCGTGACCTGAGGCCAGACCCTCCCTCCCCCAGCTACTGGGCTGAGTTGAGCTAGGAGGGGCCCACATGGCACCCCTCACCCCAGAGGTGGGCTCCAGTGTCCCCAAAGGAAGGAACTAGGGTGCTGCAGGGCCTCTGTCGGCTGCTCCCTGTAGACCCTTTTGAGCCAAGTGTGTTTTTAACAGTGTGGCCCTTGCAGGACAGTGGTTAAGAGCACGGGCCCTGGTCCACACGCCTCTGTGCTTGCAAGCTCTGTGACAGTGGGAAAGAACCAACCTCTCTTCCCTCAGACTGAACTCACAACAATGACATGACATCGGGCAACAGCCCCTGGCACCTGGCAAGGACTGGACTGATGACTCAGGCCCCACCTCCACTTCCAGCTTCTCTGGTGGAAGAGTCCCTCATGCCGATGAGCCAGAAATGGGAAGGTGCTTCGTGGTGGAGCAGACCCCATCAGTGCTGCCCATGTCCCCTCCACCCTTCTTCAACTCAGTGCCCACCCACTCGCCTTCCAGGCGCTCAGTCTCACAGAGTGCCACGTCTGGAGTCTGCGCTGCCCTCCTACGCGGCAGCCCCAGCAGTGGGAGCTGGGAGGCCCTGGGCGCGGTAACTGTGGGGCAGGTTCTGGCTGCCTCCCAGCATTCCCAGCAGCATCGCGCTCCACTTGCCCACAGCAGCTGCCTTCCCTCCTGTCTCCCTCCCCACATCCACCAATTAAACTGGAATCCAATTGGATTTGAATCCTTGCCTCAAGGCCCACCTCTGGGGAGGCCCAACTAAGAGTTCTACACAGTTGTGAGCTAGCTCCCTGCAGGACCCAGTGACTACAGTGACTAAGAGGCTGGAGTGGAGGGCGCAGTGGCAAGGTCTGACTTCAGCCGCTCTGATGGCTCTGGGGCCAGGACTTTTGGCAGACACTTTGTTATCAGGCTCTGCAGATTCGGCTGCTGTCGGTGCTGTGACAGGAGCCATCTCCTCTTGTGTTCTCGGTCTACATGTCTTCTTATCAGCCCTTCTAAAAGGGCTGGCAGCTGGTGGGTGGCAGCAAAGTCATGCCCACTTCTCAGGGAAATGGGATCCGAAAACTGTGGAAGATTATTAACGTGCATTGGGTGTTTACCGTATTACATTTTGTTTACTCTCGTAACAACCCTGTAGACGGGGCTGCCATATACAGTCAGGCAGGTTGGTTGTTCACTGCACAAGGGAACCTGGCCAAGAGTGCAGCCTATGTTCTTTCCATATAGTGTGAGCCAGCCACTGCCCTGCTTATGAGCTGTATCATTGTCTCCATTTTAGTGTAGAGGCACAGAGAGTTTAAGTAATTTGTCCAAGATTTCTCAGCACATAGGAGGTTGTGCTGAGCTCTTAATCTAAGAATTTTGGCTGCAGAGCCTGCATTACTAACTATACTGCCTCACACTGCCTTGACAGGGCAGAGCCATCGTGAGAGCTAGAAACCCCAGGAGGGCTCCAACTCCTGGGCACCAGTCAGGCCTGGGACACAGGGACTCCAGAGAAGCAGGGGGAGAGGGTCACCTCCCCTAGCTGACCCGGGGTCTGGGGCCCCAAGTCTGAGCTGCCTGCCTCGGGTGTCCACGGAACCTGGTGCAAACAGAATAACGGCAATGGCTAAGAGGGCTTTACCTGGTGCTAGGTGCTGGGGGTTTATATTTGTTTACTCACTGGATCTTCCTAAGAACCTGAGGGTGTGTGCCAGTGGCTGCTCTTGGCCATTGATGTCCTCTCCCACCCCCTCCCCAGGCACACCACTGGGCCACGTCTCTTGGCCTCCCTTGCAGCTAGGTATACCTGTGTAACCTCCTGTTGCAGTGGGAGCAGGGAGACTGGCTCTGTGATCCTGTCTCTGTGATCCTGAGCAAGTCACCGGCCTTGCTCATGGAGCCTCCGCTTCCCCATCTGTAAAATGGAATCAACACGTCCCACCCTGCCTACCTCCCTGGCCAGGACTAAGCCAGCTGTATGAAGGTTTTAAAAATCACACCTGGAACTGCCTAGGCCAAAGCTTAACACTTACCTGTCATCTGCTTAATACAGCTCCTATTTCCAGTCTAGGTCTGTCTGTGGAAATCCCTTACCTTTCACTGCCCAGGAGCCAGTCCTTCCTCAGGCGGCCTTCCTTCCTTCTCAGACACAGAATAGCAGAGCCCACATGCCAGGGCACCCCCCGCTAATGACTCAGCCTCTATAACGAGTCCAAACATCTGGCTGACAAAGGGCACGGCTCGCTCCTGAAGCAGCTCCTTCTGCACAAATATGTTCTTAATATTCAATTAGTATTTATCCACCACGAACAACAATTACACCATTGACTCTCAATGAAGTGCCTGGTTAATTAATTAACACAGTCTTTTACATGCTGGCAGTATTTCTCAGTGAGTGCAATAGTTAAAATAATAGCACAGTGACGCCACGATGAGCTGGGGGGCTGGCGGGGGTGCCCTGGGTTTCCTGGGCTCCAGATGTGATTCTGGAGCCAATGTTTACCACACAAAGCATCTTCTGGACTTAAAAGGAAAAAAATCACACTGGGATTTTTGGCAGGCCTCTTAACGCCTCCCAGTTTCCTCCTCAGTAGGGGCTGGGCCGGATGCCCACCCCGGTTCCTTGAGTCCTATAAGCATAGGTTCTGTAAGTGACATTCATACCTGTACAGACACCCCCTCAGGTTGCCACACCCAGGGGCCCTCTAGGCTCCACGGGGCCCAGCATCTCGGAGCAGCTGACTCAAGACACCACTCTCGCCTCCCTGGCCCTCACCGACTAATCCAGCACCCCCTCCTCAGGCCTCATTTCTCCTTCCTGCTCCTTCCTGTGGGTGTTTTCAGAGCTCAGGTCTGACTTCAGCTTCGGTTTCTGACCTTGCTCTTCTCTGAGTCTCCTCACCACCTCATTTGCAGCCCACAGGTCCTGACTGTCCCCATCTTTGCTCCTGCCTTTATCAGAGCCTGCTGAGGGTACAGAGCACAGCAGCCATGCTGCCTGGGTCACCTGGCATGGCCACTTACTGGCTGTGTAACCCAGGGCAAGTTACTCAACCCCCACTACCCCTTGCCTTGGTTCCCCTACTTCTAGAATGGGGATAATCCTGTGGGAGATGATTGTAGCCGCCACCTGCACCAGCCAGGGTGGGCTGAGCTGCCGTACCAGGCCCATGGCGCATTGAGTGCATTGGCTCAAGCACAGCTGCACCTTCTTTCCCACTCCTGTTTCAGTGCAGGGCAGCCTACGCCAGCAGACGGGCCCCTGCGGAGCAGTGACCAAAGGGCCCAGGCTCTTTCTGTCTTGTTGCTCCACCTTCCCCAGGGGCCCTGCCCTTGTTGTCCCCATGGTCCCTGTGGTCTCCACGGGCCAGGGCCCTGCTAAAGGCAGATCAGACACTTTTCTGAAGGCCTGGCTGGCATCCCTCCCACCCAGCTTCCTTTGGTGACAAGGGGGTTACACAGGTACTCCTAGCTGCAAGGGTGGCCAGGGGATGTGGTCCAGTGGTGTGCCCTGGGAGAGAGTGGGAGAGGACATCAATGACCAAGAGCAGCTTCTGCCACACACCCTCAGGTCCTTAGGAAGATCCAAAGAGTCAATAAATATAAACCCCCAGCACCTGGCACCGGGTAAAGCCCTTTCAGCCATTGCTGTTATTCTGTGTGCCCACACCATGTTCCATGGGCACCAGAATCAATGAGACACATTCCTGTGTGTAAGAACCCCACTGAGGAGGATGGTAGAGGAGAGACACATATAACTCACCTACCACAATTCAGGAGGTGAACACCCAAGGTACATACAACATGCCATGGGACAGGTGGGAGGAAGTGAGGGGCTGGGAGGGGACTGTGGGCTGATTCTGGAGGAATGGTGGCAGTTGAACAGGTGGGAGGGGACTCGAGGCCTGGATCTGCAGCCAGGTCTGTGCTACAGCCAAGTCAGTCAAATTAAATTTCTCCCAAATATACCATTAGTTGCCCATGCAGGTGGAGAAGCCATTTTTGACTCTGTTAAACATTTTTTTGAGTTCCCCAACTGATTCAAAATGTTGGGAAACAGAAGGGTTTGGCTCTTTGGGAAGTTGGTCCGTGACAGACACCGCTGGTTGCCCACCCAGCAGACAAGATCGCTTCTTCTGGTGGGGAGGCTCAGAGAAGGGAGGCCACACATGATTGTCAAAGCCGGTCATGGCAAGCCCATTGCTCCCTTTTGCCAGTGATTGGCTTAAATGTGTGCATGTGACCCAATTTCAGCCAATAAACAATAAAAATAAGTCAGTTAGAAGGATTCTAGGAAAGATTTTACTCCCTGATAAAAAGAGCCATATGCTAGGAGAGGAGCTCTCCCTTCCTGCTTTTGGATATTATGGTGTGAGCGTGTGATGTGGCAGCCACTTTGTGACCATTAGGAAAAACATGGCTGACATGCTGAGAATAGCAGAGTGGAGGGAGGAGCAAAAATAGGACCCAAGATAATGTACTGAACCGCTGGACCTGCCCTGGACGTATTCAACCTCCTGACATCTTGTTAAGCAAGCCTGTGACCTTAAACCAGCTACTTCAACTTCTTCATCTGTAGAATGCATAACAATAGCACCTACCTCACAGGGCTGTTATGAGAATAAAAGTGATTTATTTGCAAAACCCTTAAAAATATGCCTGCACAGATGTCTGCCACTGTTGGTGTTAAATAACTAGAAGTAATTAAAAAAACTCCTGTTGGTTAAGCCATTTTGAGTGGCTTTCCTGTTACTTGCAGCCAAAAGCATCCTGGCTGATACTCAGGTGGTGAAGAATGAGCACCTTCAGCAGAAGGCAGGGCTGAAAAGCTGGCACGCAGGAGCCTGGGTCAGGGCTGGGGTGGATGTGAGGACCCTGGAAGGACCTGGAGCCTCCAGGAGGATGGTGTGATGTGCTGCTGTCTGATATGCCCCAGGAGGGGACAGCTGGTGTCTGCAGGGGCTGGGTGATCAGGGGACATCCACCCCTTGTCTCTACCAGTTGCATTCCAGCACACAGTCTTGGCTCAAAGGGCCAAACAGATGCCTGCTGCAGAGGGGATTTGAGCCCTGGACAGGATGGCCTTTCAGGTTCACAGGGGTGGCAGGAAGATTTGACTCTGTGTGCCTCAGTCTCACCTCCAAACCATTGAAGAGCCCTTTCTTTCTTTTTCCTTTTTTTCTTTTTTTCTTTCTTTCTTTTCTTTCTTTCTTTCTTTTTCCTTCTTTCCTTCCTTCCTTCCTTCCTTTTCTTTCCTTCCTTCCTTCCTTCCTTTTCTTTCCTTCCTTCCTTCTTCCTTTCTTTCTTCCTTTCCTTCTTTCTTTCTTTCTTAGACGGAGTCTGACTCTGTCTCCCAGGCTGGAGTGCAGTGGCGTGATCTCGGCTCACTGCAACCTCCGCCTCCCAGCTTCAAGAGATTCTCCTACCTCAGCCTCCCGAGTAGCTGGGATTACAGGTGCCTGCCACCACGCCCAGCTAATTTTTTGTATTTTTAGTATAGACAGAGTTTCACTATGTTGGTCAGGCTGGTCTCAAACTCCTGACCTTGTGATCTGCCCGCCTTGGCCTCCCAAAGTACTGGAATTACAGGTGTGAGCCACGGTCTTTCTTTCTTTCTTTCTTTCTTTCTTTTTTTTAAGAGATAAGAGCCTGAGCAACATAGCAATATCCCCATCTCTACTTAAAAAAAAATTAGCCAAGCGTGAACGTGTTGGCACATGCCTGTAGTCCCAGCTACTTGGGAGGCTGAGGTGAGAAGATCGCTTGAGCCCAGGAAGTTGAGGCGGCAGTGAGCTGTAATTGCACCACTGTACTCCAGCCTGGGTGACGTAGAGAGACTTGTCTTAAAGAAAGAAAAGAGAGAGACAAGGTCTTGCTCCATCATCCAGGCTAGAGTGCAGTGGCACAATCATGGCTCACTGTAGCCTCGAACTCCTGGGATCAAGCGATCCTTCCACCTCAGCCTCCCAAGTAGCCAGGACTACAGGCATGCGCCAACATGTCAGGCTACTTTTTAAAACATTATTTGTAGAGACAGGGTCTTGCTATGTTGCCCTGGGCTAGTCTTGAACTCCTGGCCTCAAGCAATTTTCTTGCCTCAACCTCCCAAAGTGCTGAGATTACAGGCCATGAGCCACCACGCCTGGCCAAAAAGCAAATTCTCTAATTAGATATGCCTTCCCCTACTTCTTCTGAAAAGATCTGTGCCTTCCCACTAGGTAAAAACTCACCTCCTCCAGGAAGCTGACCTTCATAAGTGGTCCCCATTGAATTGTGTTTTTTTTTCCTTTTCTCTGGCTCTAAAGGTTGGGATGACAGGATTTGCTCACAAGGAGAGGCAGGGTGTACCATATGGCCCCAAGATTCCCTTCCAGCCCAGACTCGCTGCATTCACAGGGTGCCAGGGAGCACTCACTTCTGAGCCTCATAGAAGGCTCTCTGAGAACTCCCACTCTTCACAGCCCAGCCCCCATATCAGGAGGAGAGGGTCAGGCTAGTTGCTTGGTGGAACTCCAGCCCTGGCTGACCCTAGCTCTTTCTCCAAGCTTCACCTGCTGCAGAGACACAGTCAGGTGGTAAGCTGTCACCACTCAGGGTTCTAGGTCACCAGCCTCAGCTGGCCTCAACCTGACCAAAAATCCACCTGCTTTTATCTGGCCTCTCTCACTCTGCAATGAACAGGTCTGAAACGGCTTGGATTTGTGTCCCAGCCCAAATCTCATGCTGAATTGTAATCCCCAGCGTTGGAGAAGGGGCCTGGTGGGAGATGACTGGATCATGGGGGTGGATTTCCCCCTTGCCGTTCTCTTGATAGTGAGTGAGTTCTCATGAGTTCTGGTTGTTTAAAAGTGTGTAGCACCTCACCCTTCACTCTCTTCCTCCTCTCCCGGCCGTGTAAGACATGCCTGCTTCCCCTTCCCCTTCTGCCATGATTGTAAGTTTCCTGAGGCCTCCCTAGCCATGCTTCCTGTACAGCCTGCAGAACCACGAGCCAATTAAACCTCTTTTCTTTATAAATTCCCAGTCTCAGGTATTTCTTTACAGCAGTGTGAGAATAGACTAACACAAGGTCCATCCTGCACACCTTCTGCCCTCTGCCCCTTGACCTTTCCACCACCTCCCCCTATCCTCAGCAGAGCACCTCCCTCCTTCTACCCAGAGCCAGAGAAGCCAGTAGAAAAGAACCCCCTCAGCTTCCTGACTGTAACAGATGATCTGTGTGTCCTGCTCCTCATCTCATCGGCCCTTCTTAGATTTCAACTGCAGCTGTGCAGACTGTTCTCCTCCTCCAGACTGAAGCATCCCACTCCGGCCCGCCACTCTCTTGGCTGGCAAGGGGCAGGAGCAGGAGTCATGCAGTGCAGACACAAGAGATGCAAGTGGGAGTCAGTACCTCTCCTGTCTTCCTTAGATGAGAGAGTGGGTAGATAAATATCCTTCTGAGGGACAACTCTGTGGTGCCTCAGAGGGTCCCAGTGGGATTGAGCACCAGTTGCCCATAGTGACAGCAACTCCATTTCCCTCTAACTTCTGGAACTAATCTTCCCTATCTCTCCAGAGTATTTGGCACTACTGTCCACTCCCTACACTCGTTCCACCTCCCAACACTCTGCTGGTTTCCCTCTTTCCCCTTGGGATGCCTCTTCTCAGCCTTCTCTGCCAGACCCTTCTGGTGTGGCTACTACGTGTTGATGTTCCTTGGGGAGGGCCTTATGTCCACGTATTCTCATGTGGTGTACTCTCTTCCTAGGAGTTTACCCTTGCTGGTAGCTTCAGGACATCTGCATCTGTGTGTGTCCAACCCAGACCACTCCCTCAAGTAAACACCCGGATATCTGCCACCTGGCTTTCACCTCCATTTGGGTATCTCAAAGCTACCACAGAATCAGTACATCCAAAACCTCCCACTACAGCTTTTACCACTCCTCCTGCATTCCCCATTGCAGCAGGGGTACCAGTCTCCATCCAAAGAGGGCGCAAGTCACACACCACCATGGGATCAACCTGGACTCTTCTCTTTCTCATCCTAACATCCCATCTACACCAAATCCTCTAGATTTTGCTTCCTAAATCTTTCCTGCATCTGTCCACTTTTCCCTATCTTATCGCCACCAAGCCTTGTTCAGCCATCTTCACTCAAAATAGCAACCTAACTGGGATTACCAGATAAAGTACAAGAGGTCCAGTTAAATTTGAATTTCCAATAAACAATGATTTTTTTAAGTATGAGTATGTCCCAACTATTGCACAGGACATATTCACACTAAGCAATTATTCAGGATTTATCTGAAATTTAAATCTAACTGGACATCTGTTTTTAATTTTTTTTTCTAGTTAAAATTCCATGAATTCCTTGAACTATTTCAAGGACCATCCTGTATTTTTATTTGCTAAATCTGGTATTCCTAATCCTAATTGATCTCTCTGCATCCCCACATTGTAGCCTGATGACCTTGTTCAAGCAAAATTTGCTAAGTAGACCATGAAGTTAATTTAAGTATGTATATTGCAATCACTAGATCCATCACTTTTAAAAAGTATACAAGAAGATATAGTTTTTTTAAAAAACTTAATAAGTAAATTAAAATAGAATACAAAAAATAGTCGACCCACAAGAAAGCAGAAAGGAGAAAACAGGGACTAATAACAGAAGGCAGAAATAAAAATCAAATAATGAAACCTCTAAATTCAAAAATATCAATAATTACACTAAATGTAAATAATCTAAACATATCAATTAAAAATCAGAAATTATCAGAATGAAAAAAATAAACAAGACCCAACAATATGCTGTATAATGATATAAATACGATAATAGTAAATGAAATGCCTTTCAAATGTAAATTTTTTTAAAAAGCTAGGGCCAGGAGCTGTGGCTCACACCTGTAATCCCAGCACTTTGGGAGGCCAAGGCAAGTTGATCACCTGAGGTCAGGAGTTCGAAACCAACCTGGCCAACATTGTGAAACCCATCTCTACTAAAACTAGAAAAAATTAGCTGGGCGTGGTGGCGGGTGCCTGCAATCCCAGCTACTCAGGAGGCTGAGGCAGGATAATGAATAGCTTGAACTCGGGAGGCGGAGGTTGCAGTGAACCGAGATCATGCCATTGCACTCCAGCCTGAGCAACAAGAGCGAGATTCTGCCTCACCAAAAAAAAAAAAAAAAAAGCTAGAATGGCAATGTTAATATTAAACAAGTTAGATTTCAGAGTAAGAAAAATTACCAGGGATAAAGAGGAGGGCATTTTACAATGATAAAAGGGTCAAGTCACCAAGAAGACATAACACTCTTAAATGAGAATGCACTTAACAACAGCGCTTCAACATACCTGAAGCAAAAACTGATAGAATTGAATAGAGAAAAAGACAAAATCTGTAATTATAGTTGGAGATTTCAATACTCTTCTTTAAGTAATTGGTAGGAGAAGTTTTCAGATTAGCAAGCATGTAGAAGAACTGAACAACGCTATCAACAAACTGGATCTAATTAGCATTACAGAATGCTCCACATATCAACAGCAGAATACACATTCTTTTCAAGTGCACATAGAACACTCACCAATATAGACCATTTCCTCGGTCATAAGAGAAACTTCAACAAACTTTAAAAATTGAAGTCATACTAAGTATATTCTCTAACCACGACAGAATTAAATTAAAAGACAATAACAAAAATATAACTGGAAAACCTCCAAATACTAGAAATAAAGCAACACACGTAAAAATAATTCATGGTCCAGAGGAAGTCTCAAGGAATATTAGAAGATATTTGAACTGAACAAAGATAAAAGCACAACAAACTGAAATTTGTGAGATGCAGCTAATGTAGTGTTTAAAGAGCATTTTATAACACCAAAACATGTATATTAGAAAAAAAGAAAGGTCTTATCAATCCAAGTTCCATCTTGAGAAACTACAAAAGTAGAAAAAAATAAAAGAGCAAAATGGGCCAGGCACGGTGGCTCATGCCTGTAATCCCAGCACTTTGGGAGGCCAAGGTGGGCAGATTGCTTGAGCTCTGGAGTTTGACACCAGCCTGGGCAACATGGCAAGATCCCGTCTCTACTAAAAATACAAAAAATTAGCCCGGCGTGGTGGCACACACCTGTAGTCCCAGCTACTCAGGAAGCCAAGGCAGGAGAATTGCTTGAACCCAGGAGGTGGAGGCTGCAGTGAGCCAAGATCATGCCACTCTACTCCAGCCTGGGTGACAGAGCGAGACTCCACCAAAAAAAAAAAAAAAAAAAAAAAAAAAGAGCAAAATAAAGCCAAAGCAAAGAGAAGGAGGGAATTAAGAAAAGAGCAGAAAGCAATAAAACTGATAAATCTGTAGCCAAATTGACAAAGGAAAAATGACACAAATGACCAATATTAGGAAGAAAATCGATATATCACTACAGACTCTGGCATTAGAAGGATAATGACAGAATACTATTCCCAACTCTATACACATCAACCCAACAACTTAGATAAAATGGACCAATTCCTTGAAAGCCACAAACTACCAAAACTCACACAAAAAGCAGATAACTTGAAGAGTCCTGTATCTACTCAATAAATTCACTTTGTAATTTAAAACCTTCCAAAAAAGAAATCTCCCAGCCCAGACAGCTTCACTAACAAAAAATATATATGTTATTATTGTTGTTGGTTGTTGTTTTTTTTTTTTTGAGACAAGGTCTTGCTCTGTTGCCCAAGCTGGACTGCAGTAGTGCAATCACAACTCACTGCAGCCTCAACCATCCAGACTCAAGTGATTCTCCCACTTCCCTAGTAGCTAGAACTACAGGCATGTGCTACCATGTCAGGCTAATTCTTTTTATTTTTAATAGAGACAGGGTCTCAGTATGTTGCCCAGGCTGGTCTTGAACTCCTGGGCTCAAGTGATCCTCTTACCTTGGTCTCCCAAAGTACCGAGATGACAGGTGTGAGCCACTGCACCCAACCATTCACTAATAAATTTAATCAAATATTTAAAGAAGAAACAACACCAATCTCTTCCAGAGTACAGAATAAAAGGGAACATTTCCCAATTTATTTTATGAAGCCATCATTACTCTGGTATCAGAACCAGGCATAGAGAGTACAGTCAAAGATAACTGCAGACCAATATCCTTCGTGAATACAGAAAAATCCTCAGCAAAATATTAGCAGACAGAATTTAGTAATATATAAAATGAATAATATACCATGACAGAGTGGGGTTTATTCCAGGAATACAGGCTGATTCAATATTTGAAATTCAATCAATGTAACTCACCATATTAACAGATTAAGGAAGAAAAATCACATGATCATATTGATTGAGGCAGAAAAAAACACTTGACAAACTTCAACATCCATTTATAATAAAAGCTCTCAGTAAATTAAGAATAGAAAGGAACTTCCTTAATTTGATAAAGGGTACCTACCAAAAGAAAAAACGCTACAACGAACATCATACTTAATAGTGAAGGACTGAATGCATTTCTCTAAAATCAGGAACAAGACAAGAAGATCCACTCTTATCTCTCCTGTTACACGTGGTACAGGAAGTCCTAGCCAGTGCAATGAGAGTTTCGAGGAATGACAGTCTCAAGGTATAGGAAGTCCTAGCCAGTGCAATGAGGCAAGAAAAAGAAATAAGAGGCAACACAGATTGGCAAAGAAGAAATAAAATGATCCCTGTTCACAGACAACATGATTGTCTATGTAGAAAACATGGAATCTACCCAAATAGCTCCTAGAATGAATAGGAGTTTAGCAGGGTTACAGAATATAAGGTTAAGACACAAAAGCAATCCTATTTCTACCTACTAGCAATGAACATCTGGAAACCAAAGTGTTTTCAAAAACAATACCTTTTATAATTGTTCCCCAAAACAAAATACATAGGTATTAACATAATAAAACATATACAAGATTTGTATGGGGAGAGCTACAAATGTTGATATAAGAAATCCAAAACCAAATAGAGAGACCTATCTGTTCATGAATTGAGAGACTCAATGAAGTTCAATGTCCTCTCAAAACTCATCTACAGATTTAACCTAATACCAATCAAAATCCCAGTGGAATTTTTTGGCAGAGATAAGTAAGTTTGTGACTGGTGGGGGATCTTGACTATGAGTCCTCCAGGTTCTTGGCGTTTTGAACAAAGAAATGGACAAAATGCACAAACAAAGCAACAAAAGAATGAAGCAACATTCTTTTCATTTATTTAAACAAAATTTAGATTTTGTTTAAACAAATAGATTTATTTAAACAAAAGTACACTCCACAGAGCGGGAGTGGGCTTGAGCAAGGAGCTCAAGAGCCCTTAGTTACAGAATTTTCTGAGGTTTAAATACCCTCCAGAGGTTTCCCGTTGGTTACTTGGTTGCATCCTACGTAAATAGAGGAGTGGCCCATGACCAGTCTGATTGGTTGTGAAAGGCAACCAATTAGAGGCTGAAGTGAAGTTACAAAGTTACACCCTATGCCAATCTGCGACTGGTTTTGGGAGGGGACCAATCAGAGGTACTTTCCATTTTTCATCTGAGATGCAGGGTTGTGGGGGCAGGTTGCAAAGGGAGTAGCCTCTGATCCTTTAGTTACTTGGGCATGAAGAGGTGGGGTTTTCCTTTTCACTCAGTTCTAGGAAGTCAGCCCAAATCGGCCTTAGGTTCTCTGCCTACAGATTCTATTCTCCCGCCTCAAGTTGGTTTTAAAATGTATATATAAAGACAATGAAACTAGAATAGCCAAAACATTTTTGAAAAAGAAAAAATTGAGCCAGGAGCGGTGTCTGGCACCTGTAATCCAGCACTTTAGGAGGCTGAAGTGGGAGGATCAGTTGAGGCCAGGAATTCGAGACCAGCCTGGTTAACATAGTAAGACCCTGTCTCTACAAAAAATAAAAATAAAAAAATAGCCAGTGCAGTGGTGCCTGCCTGTAGTCCTAGCTACTCGGGAGGCTGAAGTGGGAGGATCGCTTGAGCCTAGCCTAGGAGGTCAAGGCTGCAGTAAGCTATGATTATGCCACTGCACTACAACCTGGGCAACAAAGCAAGACTTTGTCTCTTAAAAAAGAAAAAAGTAAAACTATAAAACTTTTAGAAAAAAACACTCAAGAAAATCTTCACGGCCAGGCACAGTGGCTCATGCCTGTAATCCCAGCACTTTAAGAGGCCAAGGTGGATCACTTGAGGTTAGGAGTTCAGGACCAGCCTGGCCAACAAGGTGAAATCCCATATCTACCAAAAATACAAAAATTACCAGAGCGTGATGGCACGTGCCTGTAATCCCAGCTACTTGGGAGGCTGAGGCACGAGAATTGCTTGAACCCAGAAGGCGGAGATCGAGCTTCTGCATTCCAGCCTGGGCAACACAGCAAGACTCAGTCTCAAAAAAAAAAGAAAAGAAAGAAAAAAAAAACTTCACAACCTGGAGTTAGGCAAAGAGTTTTAAGATATGACACAAAAAGCACAATTTATATAATAAAAAAATTAATAAAGTGGATTTCATCAGAATTAAAAACTTTTATGAAAGGCACTATGAAGAGAGTGAAAAGACAAGCTACAGACTAGAAGGAAAATATTTGCAAACCATATACCTGACAAAGGACTTGTATCAACAATATGTAAAGAACTCTCAAAACTCAATAATCAAACACACAACCCAATTTTTTTTAATGGTCAAAAGACTAGATACTTCACCAAACAGGATATATGGATGGCAAATATAAATCAATGGAACAGAATAGAGAGAAAAGAACATGAAAAGAACAAAACATGAAAAGCTACTCTGTGTCATTTTAGGGAAATGCAGATTAAAACCACAATGAGATACCACTACATAACTACAGAACAAATAATATAAAAAAATGCCTGATGCGGGTGAGGATACAGTGCAACCGGAACACTCATACATTGCTGGTGGGAATGCAAAATGATACAGCCACTCGGGAAAACAGTTTGGCAGTTTCTCATAAAGTTAAATATACATGTATCATATGACCCAACAATCCCAATAAAAAGGGACTACTGATCCATGCAACAACTTGGACAAATCTCAAAGGCGCTATGCTGAGTGACAGAAGCCAGTCTTAACAGGATATATGCTATATGATTCCATTCATGTGACATTCTGGAAAAGGCAAAGCTATAGCAACAGAGAACAGGTGAGTGGTTGCCAGGGTTTAGGGGCTGGAGAGAGTGGATTACAAAGGGTGAGTTTTGGGGCTAGTGGAATTGTTCCATATCCTGATTGAGGTAGTGGTTACATGAATCTGTACTTATGTTAAAACTCACATAACTGCCAGCCCCTATGAAAAGCCAATTTTACTATGTTAATTTTTTAAAACAATTTTTTAAAAAAACTTGACCACATCACTTTGCTGCTGAAAACCTTTACTAGCTTCCTAGTGGTCTTGGACAAAAGGCAGTCTTCATGGGCAGAGTCTCCAGCCCACCTGCCGGCCTCACCACCCCCCGCAGCTCTTCACTCTGCATCCCAAACACATTAGCCTTCTCCCTGCTCTGTGAAGGAATCTGCTCTCTCCCACCTCTGGGTCTTTGCCTATGCTGGGTCCCCTTCCTTGTAGCCTTTCCCTTCTGCTCCTCTGCAGCCAGCATTTGTGAGTTTTGGGGAGAAGTGTGTGGAGAGGTGCCCTCTGACCTGTTTGCCCCAGGAGCTAGTGGGCAACTGCCCACCATGCCCACCTCATTCAGCCCTCCCCTCCCCTGCTCCTACTGCCCCTGAACTTGCCATGGTCTTTTTGGTCTTTTTTATTTTATTCTTTTACACGGAGTTTTGCTCCTGTTGCCCAGGCTGGAGTGCAATGGAAAAATCTCGGCTCATGACAACCTCCACCTCCCAGGTTCAAGCGATTCTCCTGCCTCAGCCTCCCGAGTAGCTGGGATTACAGGCATGTGCCACCATGCCCAGCTAATTTTGTATTTTTAGTAGAGACGGGGTTTCTCCATGTTGGTCAGGGTGGTCTTGAACTTCCGGCCTTAGGTGATTCGCTTGCCTCGGCCTCCCAAAGTGCTGCGATTACAGGCGTGAACCACCGCGCCCAGCCGCCATGGTCTTTAAAAACCTAGATTATAAAGTCGGCTCGAAGCAGTGGTTAACGCCTGTAATCCCAGCACTTTGGGAGGCCGAGGTGGGCAAATCACTTGAGGTCGAGAGTTCGAGACCAACCTGGCCAACATGGTGAAACCCCATCTCTGCTAAAAATACAAAAATTAGCCAGGCGTGGTGGCAGGTGCCTGTAATCCCAGCTACTAGGGAGGCTGAGGCAGGAGAATTGCTTGAACCTGGAGGCAGAGGTTGAAGTGAGCTGAGATCGCACCACTGCACTCCAGCCTGGGCTACAGAGTGAGACTCCGTCTCAAAGTAAAATAAAATGAAATAAATGAAATAAAATAAAATAAAAACCTAGATTATAAAGTAAACCTCAGAACACACAGGGTCTGACTAACGCAGGTGTCAGTTTCTAGCAGGAACCGGCCTGGGAATTCCCGGCCGCCTGGGAATCTGTATTTCAACATGATCCCAAAGGCCTGGGGAGGGGAAGGCGGATTGGGACCACCAATCGGGAGGCACCGCCCCATGTCCCCATTCCCCCCTCCCCACGCCCCACCCTTCCCTCTCTCAGGTGGGCGGGTGGGGAGACGCGGGGCCCAGGTGGGACGCCTTGGAACAGCACCCGCGTCTGCGCGGGGAGCGAGGCCGAGCCCTCTATTTAGAAGCAATTTGAAAACCTTTTCATTTATTCCTTTGTGAGGAGAGGGGAAAACAGGGCTGATTTCTCTTCAGATAATTCGCCGGGGCTCAGGAGCGCACAGGAAATGGCAGGCTTGAGCACACCAGGCAATTTGCTGAATTTCAGGGCCGGCGGCGCGATTGTTTGCGGAGCTCAACCCTGACCGCGCAGGCTGGGGAGGGGGAACGTGGGGAAGGCGCACCGCACTCCCCTCCCCGCCCCGCCTGCGCCCCGCTTCTGCAGTCTGGGAGAGGTGTCTCTGGTCTCCCAGCCCAGGCCGCGGGCGGTCAGGATGGGGGTCGCCTCTCCGAAAGGCTGCGCTTCCTCATTCTTGCTGTCATCACCCCTCCTCAGCCTTCAGGGTCTCCCACTCTGGCAGAAATCACGCAGATCCCCTCCTCCAGCTCTGGAGGCCCAGCCTCCGCCCAGCCTCAATGCAGCTTTCAGCACCAGGCGGGCAGCAGGACTGCAAAGGCAGAAGCTGACCAGGGCAGCTAGCGGGGAAGAGTCCCTCTCCACCGTGGGGCTGTTTCCAGAAGGTTCCAGCAAGGAGGAGTCCAACAGAGCCAAGGAGGGGGATGTGCTGCATGGAGGAGCTGAATGCCAGAAGCCTGGTGGCAGGTCTTGGGGAGACCACCCCAGACTCAACCCTGGGTCTCCGCTTCCTGTCCCTTGTACCTTCAAAACATATCCAGAATCCCAGGCTTTCCCACACCTCCACTGTTCCCACCCTAGCCCAGGACCCCATCACCACCTCCCCCTGGACAGTCATAGTCTTCTCACTGGTCCCTGGTTTCCTCGCCTGTGCTCTGCTCTCAGTTTCCCCTCAGAAGTCTCAGAAACCCTGGCAAAAGCATGTCCAATACTGTTGCTGTCCTGCTCAGAACCCTGCCCTGCTGTCCACTTCTGGCAAGTGAAACAGTGTCCATTGAGGCCTGTGCCCCTCCTGCGTCACTGACCCCCTCTCCCGCTCCCCTCCAGCACTGAACTTCCACTTAGCCTCTTTGCTGCTCTTCAAGCAGCTAACCTCACTCCTGCCTCAGGGCCTCTGCACTGGCTGTTCCCTCTACCTGGATGCTCTTCCCCCAGATAGCCACAGGCTCCTTGCCTGCTTCAGGCCTCTGCTCAAAGGTCACCGTCTCACAGAGGCCCTCCTGACCACCCCATCTAAAAAGCTTACCTCCTTCCTGCCACCACCCTGCTCACAGCCCCACTTCCCTGTCCACAGCACTCACTGTCATTTTAGCATTTGTCTAATACCAGCTTCATAAGCTCAACGTAGCCTTGATCTCTCGGGCTCAAGCAATCCTCCCACTTCAGCCTCCTGAGTAGCTGGAACTACAAGTGCATGCCACTACGCCTGGCTAATTTTTTGTGTGTATTTTCTGTAGAGACAGGGTCTTGTTATGTTGCCTAGGCTGGAACTCCTGGACTCAAGTGATCCACCTGCCTCAGCCTCCCAAAGTGCTGGGATTACAGGCGTAAGCCACCACACCTGGCCAGGACAGGATCTTTGTTGTGGTCACTGCTGTGTCCTCAGCACCTGTAGCACCTAGAGCAGTG
Organism: Homo sapiens; assembly: GCF_000001405.40. Lineage (NCBI taxonomy): Eukaryota > Metazoa > Chordata > Mammalia > Primates > Hominidae > Homo > Homo sapiens. Next base: position 33,977,494 of record NC_000006.12, read on the forward strand.
CCTGACATAGGGTAGGTGCTCAGTCCATATTTGTTAGATGAATATGAGATCAAGGTCGGGATTCCCTTGTCACAGATAGCCCCTCTCACCATCTTCATCCTCAAGCCCCCACCAACGAGCAGGAGTTGGATCTGGAGGGGAGGTGGGAGGGAGTCCGAGGAGAGCCACTGCCCTTAGACACAGCCCTTGTCCCCAGAGTCTTGAGACTCACTTCCTTGGTATGTGCCTTACCCTCACCTGGTCTCTCTCCAGCTCACCCAGGCTGCTCCTCTCCCCTGGGGTTGCCCCGCATGAGGGCTGCCTGGCACCCAGTGGGTGACACAGGCAGAACTGTCATGGCACCTACTGCTGTGCCAGGGACTCAGCCGCATCACCTTACCAGACCCCACAATGACCCCGCGAAGTCAGTAGATACTCTGTCCCTGTTTTATAGGCAAGGAAACTGAGGCCCAAGAGGCTAAGAGGCTTGCCCAAGAACACACAGAAAGTGAGATTCTACCCAGGACACCGAACCTCAGCGACCCGTTTTCCTGATGCCACATGCCCAAGGTGCAGGCAGCCCACAGACCCACGAACGCTCAGGCCCACTCCCACCTTCCTCTCCCTGTCCCCCAGCCAGGTGTCCATGACACCAGCACACATCAGCACACAAGCTGTGGTTATTTGTGAAGGAGGAGGAAGGAACTTTTGTGTACTGAGCTCCTGCAATGAGCTGGCTATCACGCCGAGTGCTGTACATACATTGCCTCTGTGAGCCTCTAGTGACCCCATTACACGGATGAGCAGACTGAGGCCAGACAGGTGAAGTAATGTGTCCCACCTGGCTTCGCTAATAAGTGGCAGAATGGGGCTTTCAGGCAGGCCCCTGAGATCATCTGCCAGGTTCCTGAGGCTTTCCTGCCCTCCTCCTACAAACACAGATGCGCCTTGCTCAGGAAACTGATCATGGCAGCCGAGGTAGGCAGGGGAGAGGGAGTGGAGGCAGGCCAGGCCTGGCCACAAGAGGGTGGGGAGAGGCTGCTGTGTTGATTAATTTTCTGCCTCGGTGGGTCTGCAGTGCCAGCCGGAGCCCGCACAGTTGCCATCCAGTCTATTAAATAATTCTATCTGGAAAGAACCTGGCATTTGAGGGTCCGTGCTGATGGGCCTTTAAAATTTAATTGCCGCTCTAAATGAGATTAGACGTGGGGAGGCGGGCGGGGTGAGCCTAGATGAAAGGATGGTTGTGTTTGAGAAGGCGGTGGGGTGGTGCTTGCGGGGGCAGATAAAACAAAATTCTGTCAGCTCCTCTCAGCCCTGGCATCGTACACCTCCCCCACCGCCTGGGGTGGGAGAGAACCCAGGCCTGAGTCCCCAAACCTCCCCACACCTGGTAGAGCTTTGGCTCCCCTGTGGGCCCATGCCCCAGCAGTCTGTCACCTTGGGATGCCATTCTCCCTTCACCAGCTAAAACTCCTCATCCTTCAAGGCCTCACCAACAGCCACAGCTCTAAGGAAACCCTCCCAGGCCCCAGCAGAGCAGGTGGCCCCCTCCTCAGCAGGGTGAGCACCAGCAAGGAAAGACAACATTCCCTTTTGGGTTCTGAGGAATGCGATGTCCACTGGATAATAACGTGGCTGAATCATATTTTGAGATCTTAAAAGATCTTTAAAAATGTGCCTGCATTTCTCTTTCCTGTTTCTTTCGGTTAAGTGAGTGGCAAGCTCCGGGCTCCCCTGCCTTGGGGAGCAGGGCCTGATGATGACCTGCTCAGGCAGCTCCCGAGCCTGGGCGGTCTTCTCCCCCTGTCTGTGCCCTCTGCCCCAGGTTTCTTCTCACATCATTGAGACATGGATGCTTCCACTTGCATCTGGCTTCCCCTCAAATCAGCTATTAGATCTTCACATAGCCCAGAACACCGCCACCCCTAAATACCATGGCCCACCAGCACCTTCCCTCTCTCCCTGAGCCCCTTTCTCTATTTTCTCATTCAAGCCTCCACACTTCTGTGCTTAAAAATAAAGTCACCCATTTCTCAGGAAATGATTCCTGCAAAGCGCACACAGCTTTGAGCCTCTGAGCTCCTTAACTCCACAAACATTGGCTGGGTGCCTACTGTGTGCAGTCATGGTGCTAGGGACAGCAGACACAGGAATGAACAAGACAGCTCCTTGTGGAGCTGACATTCTGCTGCAGAAAAACAAAATACCCTAGAAAAGATGTAAACAAGATAATCGCAGAAAATGCGAGCTGCCATGGAAAAAAGATAATCCAAGTGGATGTGTGAATGGTGACAGAGTAGGGGTAGTTACACTGGAAGAGGTGGTCAGGGGAGGCTGTCTGGGGAGGTGACACCTGAGGTGTGACCTGAGGCTAAGAAGCAGCACACTGTGCAAAGCTCTGAAGGAAAGAAGCTCCAGGAGGACTGAGTAGGTTCAAAGGCCCTGGGGCAGGAGGCGGCTTGGGGGGTTGGAGCAGCAGACTTAAGACCAGGGTTGATCAAGGGTAGGGAGAGGAATGAATTATATGAGATAAGGTTGGTGTTTTGACCCCCAAACTTTGGCTCATCAGGGCCATCCCCGGGGCCTGTGTGGAGAGGAGGCCTTGGGTCTCACTGGTCAGGCCAGGTGGGTTATTTTGGTATGAGGGTCGGAGAGTCGATAGGGGCAGCCACATGTGATAGAAATGAGGCCATAGGCATCATCAGACTGCATAAACAGCCCTGGCAGACTGGCGAGATCCGAAGGGAATTCTAGCAGGGAGATGGTGCAGTGCCCAGGGCAGCACAACTTCTGGGCCTCTTGGTCAGATCCACGGAACAGGAGCGGAGGTGTTTCCCACCCAGGTGGAGACCAGCTCCTGTCCACCGGCCCTTCAACCCTGGCCGAGGACTCACGTCTTCCCATGCTTGCTGTATCTGTGGCTCCTTGCTCCCGCCTCACTCCTGCTTACACGTGGCCTCCCGTGCGCGGCATCACATAGGCCTTCAGGTGGGCTGCTGAGCATCCTCCATCACCACCACTGCCTCTTCCTCACACTGCCCTCCTGGGGAAGAGTCAGCCAGGGGCTCCAGCTACCCCATTCACCCCTGCACCCACAGCAGTGGGGTCAGGCTTGGGGCCCAGGGACAGGCGTCCACCATGGGTGCTGTCATGAGGTGGCGGCCTGAGAGTAAGGAGAGGCAGGGGCTGCAGGCCCCGGTCCCATACCCCCACCCCACCTTGCTTAGAAAGAACTTGGAGTGGCAGCATCAGCCACTTCACCATGGGGGCGTCCCAGTATGTTCAACAGTAAAACTCTTTTCTCAAATGAAGTCTAAGAGGAATCACAATGTGTAAAACAGATAAAAGTCATATTCTATGAATACGAACGCCGGATATGTTCACATGCACGCCTTATTCTTACTGTAATAGAAGACAGCATTATAATAAGATTAGATCAGATGCGAACAAGGCTGTTTTGCTGACTGTGAGACAGAAATAAGGGATTACTGTGACGGTTTCCATGCTGCATCAGGCTCGGCCTACGAGTTCTTTCTGCACTGTGTTGTGTTGTACGCCATCACTTATTCATACAGATAAGGAAGTGCAAGTTAAAAGAGGGGCTTTTGTTTTTCAATATTTTCCCTCCTTGCAAGGCTCTCAATTAAATGCAGATGTAGGAGAATCTTTAGCCCCAGAGCCACCCAAAGCAGCCTTTCTAGTGATTTTATGTGGGTTAAAAATTGTATAACATAATTGCCAGCCTGTATTTGTTTTTAGATACTATTTCATCATAAAAACTGTATTGAAAATGAACTTTTTTTTTTCCTGAGACAGAGTCTTGCTCTGTCACCCAGGCTGGAGTGCAGTGGCGCCATCTCAGCTCACTGCAACCTCCGCCTCCGGGGTTTAAGAAATTCTCCTGCCTCAGCCTCCCAAGTAGTTGGGATTACAGGCATGTGCCACCAGGCCTTCTAATTTTTGTATTTTTAGTAGAGTCGGGGTTTCACCATCTTGGCCAGGCTGGTCTCAAACTCCTGGCCTCAAGTGATCCGCCCACCTTGGCCTCTCAAAGTGCTAGAATTACAGGCGTGACCCACCGCACCCGGCGGAAAGTGAACTTTAAGTCAAACATGTGTGGACTCTGAAGTCCCTGCAGAGTGCCCCAGGGGTCTGCAGCCATGGTTTGGAAGCCACCAGTGTAGTGACCACTCTCACTTAGCCATCCTTCCGCTTGGGGCCTGGGGCCCTGCCCCTGAAATCCAGCTTAGTCCATCTTTCCCAAAGACTCACACAAGCTCAAAGTTGGGAAGGACCCCATGGCCATGTAGTCCAAAGCCCACCTTCTGCAGGATTTCCTCCATAGCCCTTTGACAGCTAGCCCTTCAATCTCTGCTTGAATACCCAGAGTGACAGGGAACTCACCACCTCATGAGGCCACCTGGTCTGGTCCATTGTTGGACAGCTCTAGCTGTTAACCATCTCTTCCTCTCTGAGCCTGTTTCTTTATCTATTGGAATGAACATAATAATATTTATCAAGCCAGATGGCTGTGAACATCGAATAAGATGACAGATACAAAGCCCAAGACACTGAGTCAGCGCATCTTATGTGTTCAACAATATTTAGTCTCTTGTGCCCTTTTCTGCCCTCTAAAGCCCTCATTTTGGAAGGGTAGACAGCTTTACGCCTGCAGGCACAAGCACACAGGGTGAAAAGTGCTTTGTGTGTGAAGGGGGATGGGGGATGCAGGCCCTTCTGGGACGACCCCAAGGGAAGCCTGCCTGGGGAGGTGGCCCACAGGAGAAACAGGGCCTGCGTTTTCAGCGAGCCTCACCAACTTCACACCCCCACTGCCCATCCCTATTCCTGGATCCCACTCCCCCACCACCCCCCACCACCAGCCTCAGAGCCTCATCTGTCTTCCCTCCTGTCACCCAAGCTGGAGCCACATGGAGGAGGCAAGGGGATTAAATCCCAGGGCTGCCAGCGCCCCCGCCAAGGAGCTGGCACTTCATTACCCGCCTGCCCAGCTGTCTGCGGCCATCGATCGGCCCTGGCCTGAGTGACCTCGATCGATGAGCAGCATGTTATTTACTGGCTCCTGTCCCGAGCCAGCTATGGAGAGAGGGGAAAGGCCTGGGCTAGAGTTCACAGCCCACAATCCTTGTCTGAGGGCCTCGTTCCTGAGGCAGAGAAGTCAAGCCCCCAGCAAGCCTGGGGTGGGAAGGAAAGGAAAGTGGGTGGCAGGGGGCACTCTCCCAGGAGTCAGGGGTCCCGGGCCCAGCCCGGTGTGCATGGCTGCAAGACCTTGGATGAGGTCTCTGGGTCTTCCCTCTTGGGGCCTCAGGGCCCTCTATAAAAGGATCTGATGGATCCTACCAGATTCACCAACTCAGCAGCATGCAGAGGATGGAAGGAAACAAAGATGAGGCATGGGGCCAGGGTGGAGGCAGTGCCTGTCCAAAGGGGAGCTGCCAGGCAGGGTGGCTCACGCCTGTAATCCCAACACTTTGGGAGGCCGAGGTGGGAGGACTGCTTGAGGCCAAGATTGGAGATCAGCCTGGGCAACATATTGACACCCTGCCTCTACCAAAAAAAAAATTAAAAATTAAAAAAGAGGGAGCTGCACCTCCACTTCTGCAGGTTCTCCCAGCAGGCACGAGAGCCCAGCGCTGTTCTCACTTCCTGCCTCGGGACTTCTTTCCAAGCCAGCCCTTATGACAGGCATCCAGGAAGTTCAAGGAAGGTAAACACCCTGGACAGCTCTCAACCAATGGAAGACAGAGTTGGTGGACAAGTGCCCCAGTCTCTTCCTTCCTGTGGTCAGTTCTGAGGCGTGGCTTCCAGTTCCACCGGCAGATGGAACCCTGGTGCCCACAGCAGTGCCAGCTCCGTCCTGCACCTTCGCCATTCTTCCTCCTTCCTGCTCACTCCACCACCTCCCTCGCTCCTGCTGCTGGGGCTCGTCTCCCAAACACACAAATCTATCCTCGCCTTGGGCTCTGCTCTGGGGGAACCCGAGCCAGCTTGTGCAAGAGAAACTGTAAATCCAGATTTGGATGGGAAATCTGCCCGTTTTCAATGGGGGCCCAACAAAACCAGTCTGAGAGCTGGTTTTGACACACAAGCCCTGGGTTTGCAACTACATGCTGTCAGTTCCCTGCAGTCAGGCGTTCTGTTCACATCACTTCCCCAACATTTATTGAGTACCTAGTGTATTCACTGCATAGGTGGGTGGGAGGAGGCTCAGAAACCAGCTAGGAAGGTAAACAACTCAGAGATGGCCCCACTGGTGTGCACACTCTTACAAGAAGGTGTCCACAGTGCCTGGGCAGGAGGAACCAAGCTGTGGGGTCCTGGCTCAGCAGTAGGGTAGGTGGTCTAGGGAGGCTTCTGGGAGGAGACTGCATTTGAAGTGGCAGAGCAGAGGTCTTGGAGAGATGGGTACAGGACTGCTGTCTGTCATTGCCCCTACCTCTCTGTGGCACTGCCCCAAGCTCCTTTGGAAGGTCAGCCTGGTGAGAACTACATGATCCCCATGGCTTCGGTTGATGGCACCAAGGCAGGCACCTGACCCAAGACAGCCAATAACTAGTGAAGAGGCTGCCTTGCCCCGTAGCTTGGCCTGGAATCTGCTCAGGAGATTAACCTGTCCACAGCACTGTGCAGGGGCATTCACTAGTGGATCCGCAGAGGAGGGGCAGAGGAAGGACTCGGGGAGGCCATGGGGCATCAGATCCATGTAGGATCAAAACCATAAGGCAGCACATTCTGTGGGTCATGAGTGAGTGGGAAGCTGGCTGGTGACGAGAGGAGAATGAAGTGCAGTCCAGAGGCAGTGGAAGCCCACCTGTGTCCCTGGGGGAGTTCAGAGATGTGGAGGATCTGTATATAGAATACGATAAGAGACCAGAAAGCCTGCTGTGGCCAGATTCCAGGAAGTACTCCGGTCAGATAGGTGTGTGCCCTAGACAGATCTGGCCCAGGGAAGAGGAGGGACTGGAGTCGGGGGATGGTAGTGGCACAGAGATGTCCTGGGCCTGAGCCAGGCCAGGGGCGCTGGGGGAAGCAGGCTCAGGCCCGCCGCTCTGGGGACCACATTGCCCAGGCAGAAGCGCAGCATGCATACAGCGGGTGCAGCAGAGAGAACAGGGGCTGCTGTTTCCAACTCGGGCAACCAGGAGGACGGCAGGGCTATGGACCTAGGAAGAGAGGCTCGTTTGGGTTGGTTGGGTTAGGGCTGTGGTTTTAAGGTAAAACTGAACCAGGCAGTTGGAAGTGCTGAACTGGAGCCCCGGAGAGAGGCTGGTAGTTCAAATCAAGCTAGGAGGCATCCGTGTCGAGGGGGCCAGGGGAGGATTAGTTCTCCAAGAGAAGATCCTGGCTAGTTTTCCCACCGCCCCACATCCACACCATGTGCCCAAGAAACAAACTCGCAACTCACCATCACAGCCTCCCTTGCAGCCAGAGATGACTGTGACATCCCTGGGCAGCTGAGCCAGCCCAGGACCCCCACCTCCAGACTTCTTGTTATGCAAGAAATAAAACGCCACTGTCACTCAAGTCTTCCTGAATTGCAGCTGCTCACTTTCCTAGCGGATTCAGTGGTCAAGGGTGGTCCTGGAGCATTTAGACAGCAAGAGGGTGGGGCTTTCACAAAAGCACTGGAGAGGTGGGGGTTTGGCATGGTGGGTGGAGGCTGGGGAGCACCGCATGGTTAAGTTGAGGGAGTCTAAGTAAGTCAGAACACTGCCAAGGGCAGGCCCTGGGGGCGAGAGGTCGGCAGTCACTGGAGACTCACTAAAGCCACTGGAGTGAGCAGTGGGAGCTGGAGGCCGCGTGGAGGAGGCGAGGAGGGTGGGAAATGAGGAAGTGGAGGCTGTGACTGTGGAGTCCTGGCTCCCAAAGCCGACGGGGGAGGTCGGAGAGAGGTGAGAGCGCACATATTTGACACTGAGGCCTCACCGGATTTCTTCCTGTTGCTGCTCCCTCTTGGGCAGATAACTCAGCTGGCCCCACCGTGAGAGGCAAGGAACCCTGCGACTGTGCCGGGTTTGTATGATGCGGAGTCTGGGGCTGTGAGCAACTTGGAGAGCACAGGGTCTGCCCCCTCATGCTTCAGCTGAAGATGGAGGCCCCAGTGACTCGGAGTGAGGAAAGGCCTGCCTCCTCTCCTGCCACCGAGAATTTCGAATTTCTTCTCCTCCCCCGGCCCCGCCCATTCACACCAGCCCAGGCTAGCTGCAAATTAGAAATGGACAAAGTGTTGGGGAAAGGGGGCCTTGGAAGGAGGAAGGCAAGACCTGTGCTGGCCCTGGTGTGAGGGCCTGGGGGCAGGACTAGGGGAGAGGACATAGTGTCGGTGGATGGCCCCTTCCCTGATTTCAGCCAGGGTGTCCTGCAGGCCTCTTCGCTAGAGGTCAGAGGGAGGGTCCCTGCCACTAGCATCTGGATCTGACCACATTAGGTACATGTGGACATGGGACCCCTAGTCTTATTGGGTCCATGAGTACATTAGTGCCAAGGTATCTTGGCCTGGGGGCAACAGCTCAAATCATTGTTCAGATGGCTGTGGTGTCACCTGCTCATGGGTTTCTGAGGATCTTTCTGCTATTCCAGGGATTCTTCATGCCAGCCTCTCTCTCGGTTCCAGCAACCTGAAAATCTCCTGTCAGCCACATTTAGCTGTGTTATAAGGACACCTCCTCCTGGGAGGCACCCTGGCTTGCCCTTTCACCTTCCTTCTGCCTTGTACAGACCCACATTGACACTCACCCAGCTGCAAATAACTGTTTGCTTGTTTCCACAGTACTAGATCAGTAGTTCTTGAACTTTTTGGTGTCAGGAGCCCTTTACACTCTTAAGTATTATTGAGGACCACAAAGAAGGTTGGTTTATGTGGGTTTATTGATAGTTGCCATATTTGATATTAAAACTGAGAAACTTTTAAATACTCATTTATTAATTCATTTAAAATAAAAACAATATACTCAGTTCATGTTAATATAAGTAATATATGTTTGTGGAAGATAACTGTTTTCAAAATCAAAAGAGAAGAGCAATATTGCTTTACAGATTTGCAAATCTCTTAAGTGTCTGGCTTAATGAAAGACAGCTAGACTCTGTTATCTGCTTCTACATTAAATCTCCTGCAATATGTTGTTTGGGTTGAAGTACATAAAGAAAATCTGGCTTTGCTTAGATATGGAGTTAGAACAGAGGAGAATTCTAATGGCCTTTTCAGTTGTTGTGGACGTTCTTCTTTGATACTACACCAAACCTCATCAAGTAGTAGATTTTTGAGGGTTACCTGCAGTCTGGAATTTAAAGCCTCATCAACAAACTTTTCGTATTCTGCTATATTAAAATCCATCCGTCTGTCTTATACTCTGAATGGATCTTTACCCAAGCATGACTTTATAACATCATGCATGCATTGATCACTTGGAAATAAAACTCTTTAAAATATTGGGAAGCTGTCAAGCTCATAGCAGCAAATAAAAGTTTTCCAAAATTCTAATTTTTGCTTGAAAACTCAAATTTTTGTCATTGGCAACAAATACTGTCAGTTGTTTTCCTTGAAGCAACATGCTCACTTCATTCATTTTTGAGAAAATGTATGCCAAATAACCAAGACTGAATAATTATAGTTGGTCTACGGTTGTTTTTCTCAAGTAAAAATTGTGTTCAATGGGGGTAAAGATGGCAATTTCAGCTCACAGCTCAAACAATCTCATGAATGCTGTTCTTTTAGACAACCATCATTCTTCAGAAATGCTTCACATGTACTTCTCATTTCTCTACACATAATACTAAAAAGACATATACTCATGGATAGAGATTTAATGAAGTTAATTATTTTGATTGGTTCATCAAGGACATTCGTAATATAACTGGCTTTTCTTTCTTGCCTCCAGGCGTGTGATGGTGAAGAACGCCATGGCTACTAGGAGGGTCTGGTGCCACCACCTCGACCCTTGCTAAGCCACAGCACTTTGAAGCAGGTAGCTTTTGCAGCATCAGTGGCAAAGATGAACAAAGTGAAAATGGCAAATAGCATCTTAGCGTTATTAAGAAACAGTTCTGACCTCAAGGCCTCCCCCTGAGAGGGTCTTAGGAACCGCCAGAGGTCCTCTGATTACACCTTGAGAACTGAGCCCCTGAAGGCAGGGACCATATAAACTTGTCCTGTGTCCTGGGGCAGAGGCGATGCCCGATACACATGCATAGAATATGAGTCAACACTGCTGTGCGCATGTCACCCTCACGGCCACTCTGGAGGCAGGCGCTTTTGTCATCAAACCCATTTCACATGTGAGGGCGCTGAAGCCCAAAGAAAGCAGCGCCTCACTCTGCTGCCTCATACTCTGTTAAAAGGAGAATCATGCCAACCTCCAGAAATGAGGCGGGAAAATGACTGCGCTCCGTGACCTGTCAATTACCCCCTGGAGACAGCCAGCAGCTGTCCTCATCCCTAGGCTGCGGTCAGAGAAACATGGACCCCGAGAGGTTAAGGGCTTGCCCAGGTCTGGAGCTCTGGTCTGTCAGGGTCCTGGACACCAGAGCTTCGGGATCAGCTGGAGAACGGCCCAGTGCTCCTGGCAGCAGGGCCCCCTCTGGCCCCGGGTACCTGGTGGCTGAACAGCCCCAGCTACCCCAGCCCCACCCCACCCAGTAATACCTCCCCTCCAAGCTCCTTCTCCTGGTCCTGGGACCCAGGCCCTGTGGACAGGTCCCATTCTGGTTGGGCTGTGTGGCCTCCCCTCCCTGGGCCACCTGGACAGTGGGGTGGTAGGTGGTGGCACAGCTTCTCTGACCCCCGCTGCTCCCTCTGGCTCGCCCATGCTGGGCCTTCCGTGTTGTCCCCAAGGCTCCCTGAGACCTGCTGACAGGCCAGTTGCCTCCGGGAAGCAGCGCAGCCAGCTGACAGAATCAGTTAACACACGAAGGCCTCTCTTCTGTTTGCTGAGGCCCCTAGAGGCCCCATGCTCATTTTTTTCCTCTCCCAGAATCTCAGAAAAGTAAATAACCACCCGAGCTGCTCTAGCGGGTAAACAGCCCAGAGTTTGCTCTCCTAATTGCCACCCCGCCCCCAGGCTGGATGCACCTGAGGGCTGACGGTTCATCTGGAATTCATTTCCCTCCATTCCCCTGCCGCCCACTGCCCACCCCACGCCCCTCCCAGAGTGCCATCAGGGTGGTGGGGGGAAAGGTGTCTGCACGAGCTACCCAGAGCATTAGGGCCAGAACCATGCTGAGAGGTTCCAGAGGCCTGAGAAGGGCAGGGCCCAAGGCTCAGAAGGAGCCAGCAGGACTGAGGGGCAGGGCTGTGGGGGGCAGATGTGACCTAGAGCCAGCCAGGACCAGAGGACCCTCTGCCAAAGGGTGGCTCCCATAGGAGCCGTACTCCATGCCATTGGCCCTGGATCTCGGCATGTTCTCTCACAGTGTGTCACTGGAGGTCACCTCCCTCAGCCTGCCCTGAGCACCTCTGCCCTGCTTTAAAACTTGTTCTGGCTCAGCCCCCAATCTGTGTCCCACCCTCCCCACCGGTGTCCACACCCTCCTTGTTCTTACCTTCCAGTCCCCGTCCCCTGTGACACTTTTCCCACCTTTGGGTCCCTCCGAGGCGTGTCTACCAACAGAAGCACTAGCAGCTCAGACCAACTCTGCTTTGCTAAGGTCTGGGGTGGGGGTGCCAGGCACAGGGCCAGACCATGGGAGCACCCTGCCCTAAGAGCCCAGGAATACAGGGAAGAGAAGCAGTCACACCATGGCTGAGGAAGGGCTCAATATGTCCCTGTGCCCCATATATCATCCTTCCCACTTTACAGGTGAGGAAACTGAGGCTGGCAAGGCTAAGGGCCTGACCTGCAGTGACACAGCCAGTGAGTATCTGGGCCGGACTGAACTCGAGACCTTTTTCATGACCTTGGGAAGGACATAGCTGCAGAGCCTGGGACACTCTGGAGGCAGCCAGGCCTGGACTCCACCCTCGTCTGAGCTATGTGGCCATGGAAGTGTCTGCTAACACCTCTGGGCCTCCGTTTCTCTCTCTCTCTCTCTCTCTCTCGCTTGCTCGCTCTCTCTCTTTTGTTTTATTTTTGAGGCAGGGTTTTGCTGTGTTTCCCAGGCTAGAGTGCAGTGGCCCAGTCAAGGCTCACTGCAGCCTCTACCTCCTCAGCTCAAGTGATCCTCCCACCTCAGCCTCCTGAGTAGCTGAGACTATAGGTGTGCGCCACCATGCCTGGATAATTTTTTGTATTTTTTGTAGAGACAGGGTGTCACTATGTTGCCCAGGCTGGTCTCAATCTCCTGGGCTCGAGCGATCCTCCTGCCTTGGTTTCCCAAAGTACTGAGATTACAGGCGTGAGCCACTGTTCCTGGCCCCCTCATTTGCTTCATCTGTAAAATGGGGACAAACAAGCCCCACCTCAGACAAATATAATGAGAGCATCTGTCATCTGATAGGTATTGAGAAAGCAGTAGCTCTATTATTATTATTATTACTACTACTACGACTAAAGTTATTATTGTTGCCAGTCTAATGACAGCCCCAAATCCAAGGATGGTTTTTAGGGAATGGATTTGCCAGACAAGCAGCCCCTCTGATGGCCCCTGGGCCCCAGAATGAGAGCTATTAGCCAAGGGTCAGACTCCTGCGACTTGGTTGGGAGCACAGAAATGTGACAACTGGGATCTGAGGCACAAGGCTGAGAGGGTGGCAGGTGTGGAATCTAACAGCTGCAAGTGAGGATGGCCTAAGAAGATTAAGATTTGGTGTGTCAACATCACCGGACATCAGCGAGAGGGCAGGAGGCTGGTGGATAGCCTGCTGCAATGCCAGATAAGAGAACTTGCCTCCAAATCCCCAGGTCCAGGGTGGGGGGCCCTGGAGGCCTAGGGGGTTACCTAGAGACACAGATGGCAGCTTGGAGCCAGGGCACAAACATAGGTTGGGGAGCTGGTCCAGTCCTGTGATGCCCGATGCTGGCAGCCCCCCGTGTGTGGGAGGTTCTGTCTTGGGCAGGAGAAGCCCCTGCCCAGATTACAGGCAGGTCTCAGAGGGTTTATTATAGTGTGGACCAGAGAGCTGCCTATGTCTCCTGGAGGGTGCCTGGGTCCCCTGGAGATTTTCAGGCTTTGTGTTCAGAAACCATGGTCATTGAACAGATATGGGATGACCACATATGGGAGGGTGGGAGCTGGGTCACTAATCTGGGATATTGGCTGCTTTGGCTTTTACGTGCAGAGAAATACACTTCTATCTTGTGTAAGCTACTGCTAATTTGAGTCTGTGCCATGTGACATCAATCCTATGTCCTAACTCACAGAACCAGCTGTGACTCCATCCCTCCACTACCGGTTGGGAAGAGCAGGCAGTCTCTGCAGCAGACCCTCTCTTTATTTATTTTACATGTAATTTTGTATTATGATTCACTTTTTTGAATAGGTAATACATGCATATAGTACAACATTTACAAGGTAGGTAAGTTTGTAATTAAAACTAGTTTGACTGGAATGCAGACTATTATTGACAGAGGCTGAAACAAGGTAGATGTTTATTTCTCTCTCACATGAAAATCTGGAGTAAGCGATCCAGACTGTCCACCCACACTTCCCTCCCCCAAGCACCAATATCATAGATCAGTGACCCATGAAGAGTTTAAGGAGTCAGGGACCTTCCAGCTCACTGTTCCACCATACCTGGGTGTGTCCCCTTCTTCATGGTCCAAGACCACAGCCATGGCAATGGGAAGAAGGGAAGATGAAGAAGGGCCAAGAGCACACCAGGTCTTTTAAGGAACGTTTTCAGAAGCTGCCACTTGGTGCATCTGTTTACACTCCGTAGACCAGAACTTAATCACAGAAACACACTGAGCTGCATGGCAGATGGGGAAATGTAGCCTTCACCTGGGCAGCCATCTTACAAAAAATGGACCAAGGATGGCCTCTTGGCAGAGATTGAAGGGGCAAAGGGGAGTTCTCTGAAGCAACGATAATGTTCTGTATCTTGATAGAGATTGAGCCAGATGCGGTGGCTCACGCCTGTAATTCCAGCACTTTGGGAGGCCAAGGTGGGCAGATCACTTGAGGTCAGGAGTTCAAGACCAGCCTGGCCAACATGGTGAAACCCTGTCTCTACTAAAAATACAAAAATAACCAGGCATGGTGGCAGGCGCCTATAATCCCAGCTACTCTGGAGGCTGAGGCAGGAGAATCGCTTGAACCCGGGAAGCAGAGGTTGCAGTGAGCTGAGATTGCACTACTGCACTCCAGCCTGGGGGACAAGATGGAGACTCTGTCTCAAAAAAAAAACAGATTGGATTACACAGGTGCATTTTTAAGAGCTCATGGAATGATCCATTTAAGATTGGTACATTCCGCTTCATGCAAGTATCTCTAAACATCTCTAAACAAACACCAAACACAAAAAAGGAACTGGAAACAAATATTGAGCTCTAGTTAACAGTGCACATGCTGAATGTTTAGGGGTGAAGTGCACTGATGTCTGCAACTTACTTTGAAATGCTTCAAAAAATAAGATGGATGGGTGGATGAGATACGTGGAACAAAGTAAATCTCATGAACTGTTCATTGTAGAATTGAGGTGATGGACAAATGGATGTGTTCTTTGTTCAACTCTTCCAACTTTTCCATTATGTTTAGAAATTTTCATAACAAAATGTTTATGGAAAATGTGTCCCCTGCCTCCATCCTATTCTCTGGCCACCCAAATCCTCCTACCAGCTTCTCGCGTGTCCCGTTGGCAATAGTCTAGTTGGCAAAGGACACACAACAGTCTTTGTCTTACCCAAACGCCAGACTGTTCCATGCTCTGTTTGTTCCTTGATTAAGAGAAACCCCTCAATTGGGTCGGGCGCAGTGCCTCACGCCTATAATCCCAGAACTTTGGGAGGCCAAGGCGGGTGGATCAACTGAGGTCAGGAGTTCGAGAAGAGCCTGGCCAACATGGTGAAAGCCCGTCTTTACTAAAAATACAAAAAACTAGCCGAGCATGATGGTGCACACTGTAATCCCAGCTACTTGGGAGGCCAAGGCAGGAGAATCGCTTGAACCCAGGAGGCGGAGTTTAGAGTGAGCCAAGATAGTGCCATTGCACTCCAGCCTGGGCAACGAGAATGAAACTCCTTCTCAAAAAAAAAAAAAAAAAAGGAAACCTCTCAGTTGAAATGCTGCCCCCTGAGCTGCCCCAAGCAATCAAAGGAGGAAGCCCCTCTGTAGACCTCCCAGCTGCCCATCAGCCCCAGACCCTCACCCTCCTGCTCATTGAGCCCCATTGAATCTAATCCCTCATCCTCCACAATCTGAGCCACATGGCAGACAGGGAAATGTAGTCTTTACCTGGGTGGCCGTCTTAGAAAAAATGGACCATGGATGGTCTCTTGGCAGAGATTCTCCAGGAAGGGGCCAGGGGAAGCTCTCCGAAGCAATGATAATTTTCTGTATCTTGATAGAGGTTGGGGCCCCCCTCCCCCGCAATCCCCTCTTCTAAGCACCTTCCTGCCACCTGAGGGCCTTATGAAACCTTGCTGGTTCCTTCCCAGTAAAGCTGTTAACCCATCTCCTGTTAATCCCTTATCCTTCCCCCTGCTTCAGGATAAATGCGCGGGAGGAATCCTCCCGTGCGCCGCCTGGGCTCTTGGTCCTCTTGGTTTCTTCTAGGTCTTGGTGCATGGGCTTCCTTGCCACCCTTTCTAGTTGGGCCTCCTGGTGACCCACTCCAGAGGAGGGAGCCATGGACTCGGACGGGGTCTGGGAGGGAGTCCTCAGGGAGGGGATGGCTTGGTGAGGTCTTAAAAGATAGGCAGGCTCTCCAGTGGAGACAGGAACTGCGTTCCAGGCTGAGTGAGTGGGAAGTGGAAGGGAGCAGCCTCCTTCGGGAAACGGTGACTGGGCTGGCGTGGCTGCAGTGTCTGCAGGGTGGGGGCCACGGGGGAAGCCAGGCTTATTAGGAGGGGTGTCAGAGTGAGGCTGGAGAGGATTGGGTCAGCCTCAGGCGCCCAGGCCTTGGTGCCTCTCTCCTCAGCGCCCAGGCATGTTGGATGCCAGAGCCAAGAGAAACAGATATTTTTAATTCTGAAAGGTGTGGCCAAATCGCCCCCCCACCCCGTCCCCCACCCCCGCCCCGCCATGGGGGCTGTGGCAGCTTCACCCTCCCTGCACAGCGAGGTTCCTGAGGCCTGCTTTGTTCACGGAGCTTCTGAACACGGCACTCAGGCGTGATGCTGGAGACCCAACCAGGTATCGATTTTTCCTCCATTGAGTTTGCAGAGAAGCTTCGCTCAATCCTCCGGTCGCTAAGGGCACCGCTCCGAAGCTCAGTCCCCCTGCCTCCTCTTCCCTTCCGCCCTTCCTCCTGCAGCACCTTCCTCTCTAGAGGCTGCAGCTTCCCCACCCCTCACAGCCTTACAGCTCTATCCTTCAAGGTTCAGCCCAGGCACCGCCTTCTCCAGGAAGCCCTACCTGGCCCTCCCGCCGTGGGCTCCATCCCCACACCTACCCTGTCATTGTTGCAGCGTGGTTTACTCGTGGGGCCCCATAATCGTGAGCTTGTTCACAGAGGAAGGAGGGATTCTCCCTGCTCCTGCATGGCCCATCTTTCCTAATTAAGTGCTGAGTTCACTGATAACTATTCAGCCAATAAACCAGTTTGCATCCTGCTGGTAAACCATTATGTCTCTATGCTTTCTTTCAAAAGAGGACACAGCTGTCACAAGCCAGAATCTAAAGCCTATGGGTGGGACAAGAAGCCAGAGTTGTTTCTAAGTACCAGATCGAGGCGAGGGGGCAGGGCAAATCCAGGGACTCACAACCTATAGATGTGACTGGCCTTACCTCTCTTATCACAAGGAGAGGAAAGAGGCAGGGAAGTCAGCACAGCACTGAGGTTCTGGGGTTGTTTGTTTCCGCAGCATAACACAGCCTATCCTGACATCCTTGGTCAGATAGGAGAACAGCCACTGTCTCGTCTTTACATAGACGAGGAGGCTCGAGGGTAGAGACACAAGGCAGCACATCCAGCCTCGCAGCACTCACCAATCAGTCATTCAACAAGTATTTATCAAGCACATACTGCGTCAGGCACGTTCTAGGCACTGAGAATACAACGATGAACAAGGCCAAAAGTCCCTGTCCTCAGGCAGCGTATAGCCTCCTGGGGGAGAGCGAGACAGGAAGCAAAAAAGCAACAGACACAGAGAATGTTTTCATACCACTTATGAAGAAAATGCAGTCAGGGGCTAGAGGCCTAGAGAGTGTGTACTATTTTAGACAGGATAGTCAGGGGAGGCCTCTCTGAGGAGGTGACATTTGTACAGAAATTAGAAGGAAGTAAAAGGGTGAGCCATGTTGGTTTCTGGAGAAAGTGGTCCAGGCAGCAGTGACAGCAAGTGCAAAGGCCCTGAGGTGGGAATCTACTTGTATCCTGAATGCTGAGGCTGGAACCAAGACCTGGGGGTCTCTCTCTCTCAATCTCCAGCAGCTAGAAAGAAGGACTATGTTGAACCAGCCTCAAGGGAAACAAGGCAGGCAGGCTGCCCTGGGGCCTCCTCCCTTTGAGTCCCCCCGACCTGCAGCCCCAGAGCTCCTATGCCAGTCCTGGCCGCGCCCCCTGGCTAACTGGTAGCCACACTGCTGCTGCCTGCCAGGAATCCATAACACTGCCTTATTTGCAGGCCAAGTCCCCTGATATGATGTGGGAGGGAGGAGAGGACTTTGAAGCTAGGTGCTCCACCCCCGGGCCCTGGGAGGTGCTGGTTAATGAGGTCTCTGCAGCAAGCTGGGAGCATGGCCAAAGGCGCTGCAGAGGGCTACAGGAGGGGAAGCCCCAGGGACTTCTAAAATGATGTCCCTCGGAGGCCAGCCATCTGAGAAAGACCTTTCCCAAGCAGGCCACCAGGGCCAGGTTAATCACAAGGCCACAGAGCCAGGCTGCCTGGGTTGAATTCTGGCTCTGTCGCCCACTAACTGCCCACCATGAGCAAGTGAGTTACCCTGTAGGTGATAAGATGGTGATGATAATAACAGGTTAGTGTGAGGATTAAATGGGATTAGATCTGCAAGGTGCTTAGCCCATGACAAGTGCTATAAAAGTGTTTTTTAAATAAAAAGGAAAGTGCTTAGTAAAGTGTATTTTAAAATCACTCTCTCCCACGAAATTGTATTTAAAATGTTCAGTAGGAAAAGGGTTTGCCCCCTTTAAGAATAATCTGGCAAGAAACTGCTTCTGTCAGCAAAAATCAATGATTGGGAAACAAAGCAGGAGTCGCCAGGGGTTTAATTAGTTCCTTTTAGCACTTAGAGCTCATCCGGAAGTCTGTGCAAATAGGAAGAGTGATCAGCCTGGGACCGGACAGCCCCTCTGGTCTGGGGCACCAACCACTTGTCTAGTCCAGTTTTTTGGACACACATCACCTTTCTTTTCTCGTCTCTTTGTTACTAAGGCGCACTTTCAGTTTGCCCTTAAAAGGGACAAAAGTGTGCCTGGCACAGAGGGCCTCATGGGTCTGGCCCTCTCTGGTTCTGTGTCCACATTGGTGAGATCAGTCTTCCCTTCAGGGCAAAACAAATGCCACTTTTATTTATTGAGCGCCTAATAGGTGCCCTGCAATGTACATTCTTCATTCCTGACATGTGTTCTTCATGCTGAGACCACACTCCCATTGCACAACTAGGAAAACTGAAGCTCAGGGAGGTTAGATGACTGCTCTGCACAACTGCTGGCTTAGAGGTCTCCTCCCACCAAGCAGGCTTTCCTCAGAAGGGGCGCTGGGGGTAGGACTGCGGCTGGGGGCCTCGTTGACCCCTTGCCTTCTTAGCTCCTCAGATCTCTCTACCTGCCCCCTCCCTCTCTCGTGCCTTGTGCCTGAGTTTCCCCCTGAAGTGCTGCAGCTGGATAGTGAACTCCCTACAGCAGTCAAAGGAATGGAAGTTAATGCCTACCCAGTCCCGGAGTGCAGTATGGTTTAGAAGATGAGCCAAGATGCCAGGAGAAATTAGGGATGGACTTCGTAGATGAAGAGATGTACTGTGTTCCTGGACTGGAAGACTCAGTATTGGTAGGATGTCAATTCTCCCCAAAATGATCTGTAGATTCAACACAATCCCAATCACAATGCCAGTAGGTTTCTGTGGAAATTGACAAGCCTATTTATTCTAAGATTTATGTAAAAATGGGAAGAACCTAAAATAGCCCAGACAATCAGGAAGAACAAAGATGAACGACTTAAATTATCTGATTTTAAAACTTTCTATAAACTACAGCAATTAAGACACTGTGATATTGGCTTAAGGGTAGACAAATGGACCAATAAGAGAGGTTATAGAGAATCCAAAAATAGACCCGTATATGTGGGTCAATTGATTTGCAACAAAGACACCACTGCAACTTTTCCATCCATGATGCTGGGTCAGCTGGATGAATTGGATCATAGAGAAAAAAAAGAAGCTTGAGACCACCTCATAGCATAAATAACAATTCTAAGTAGATCATAGATCTAAATATGAATGGTAAAACAATAAGGCATCTAGACAAAGATTATAAGAGAATATTTTCATGAACTTGGGGTAGGGAAACATTTTTGAAACACAGAAAATACTACAGAGGAAACAATTGATAAATTGGGGTTCATTGAAATGTAAAGCATCTATTCATCAAAAGATACCACGAAGAGAGCAAAAAGACAAGCCACAGAGTGGGAGAAGATATCTACCTACATGTGGATCTGACAAAAACTCATATCCAGAATATATAAAGAGTTTCTACAAATCAAAAAGGAAAAGACAACTCACTCAAAAATGACCAAAAGACTTTAGGAGGCACACCATAAAGGAAGGTATCCAAATTTTCAATAAGCTATGAAAAAATGCTCAACATCATTGATCACAAATGATGGAAAAAGCAAACTAAGGCCAAAATAAGAGACCACAATACAGCCATTAGATTGACTAAAAAGAGAAAGACTGACAACACCAAGTACTGGTGATGATGTAGAGCAAGTAGAACTCTTTTACACTGCTAGGGGAATATAAATTGATGCAACCACCTGGGCTACTTGCCTCTGTCTAGTAAACCTAAACATATGTCAAATACATGGCCCAGCAATTCCATTCCTAGACATTACTCAAGAGAATTTGAAACATACGTTTACAAAAAGACATATGAAAGAATGTTCACCACAACTTTACTCAGAACAGGCCAAAACTGGGAACCTAAATCTGTATCAAAGGGAGATGAAATAATCATACAATGGAGTACTACTCAGCAATAAAAATAAACAAACTACTCATATATATAATGACATGGATGCATCTCACAAATATTATAATGAAGCAATCCAGACACAAAATCATACATACTGTATGTACCGTATGGCTCAATTCATGTTAAGTTCAAAAACAGGCAAAAATAATCTGTGGTGATAGAAGTCAGAATGGTGGTTACCTCTTAAGGAGGTTAGGGTTTTGTTGTTGTTATTGTTTTTGTTTTCTGAGATGATCTCATTCTGTTGACCAGGGTAAAGTGCAATAGCATGATTCTAGCTCACACTGCAGCCTCTACCTCCCAGGCTCAAGGGACCCTCCTGCCTCAGCCTCCCGAATAGCTGTGACTACAGGTGTGTTACATCCAGGTTCTTGGCATTTTGAACAAATAATTGGACAACATGCACAAACAAAGCAAGGAAAGAATGAAGCAAGGAAAGCAGAGATTTACTAAAACAAAAGTACACTCCACAGTGTACTCGAGTGGGACTGGGCTCGAGCAGGCAGCTCAAGAGTGCTGATTACAGAATTATCTGGGGTTTAAATACCCTCTAGAGGTTTCCCATTGGTTACTTGGTGTACACCCTATGTAAATAAAGTAGTGGCCCACAACCAGTCTGATTAAAGTAAAGTTACAAAGTTATACTCCTATGCATATGAAGACTAGGCCCACGACCACTCTGACTGGGTGTGGGAGGGGACCAATCAGAGGTACTTTCCATTTTTCATCTGCCATGCAGAAAAGGATGGGCGGTTGCAAAGGGAAGTAGCCTCTGGTCCTTTTGTTACTTGGGTGTGGAAAGTTGGAGTTTTCCTTATGATTTAGTTCTAGGATATCAGCATGAATTGGCCTTAGGTTTCCTGCCTCCAGACCCTACTCTCCTGCCTCAGGTGCATGCCATGATTCCCCACTAATGTTTTAATTTTTTTGTAGAGACAAGGTCTCACTATGTTGCCCAGGCTAGTTTTGAACTCCTGGGCTCAAACAATCCTCCTAACTCAGCCTCCCAACATGCTAGGTTTACAGATGTGAGCCACCGCACCCAACCAGGGAGATTAATTATTGACTAGGCGGGGGCATGAGGAAACTTTCTGAAATTCTGGAAATGTTCTATACTGTGATTTGAATAATGGTTACATGGGTGTATACATGTGTAAAAATTCATGAGGCGGTAGACTTTATATTTGTGCACTTTACTGTAATTCATGAGGCGGTAGACTTTATATTTGTGCACTTTACTGTAAAATGTGTATAACTTTTTTTTTTTTTTTGAAACAGTGTCTTGCTCTGGAGTGCAGCGGTGTGATCATGGCTCAGTGCAGCGTTGACTTCCTGACTTCAGCCTCCCAAGTAGCTGGGACTGCAGGCGTGCACCATCATGACACTAATTTTTGTATTTTTGGTAGAGATGGGGTTTTGCCATGTTGCTCAGGCTGGTTTCAAACTCCTGAGCTCAATCGATTTGCCTGGCTTGGCCTCCCACAGTGGTGGGATTACAGGTGTGAGCCACTGTGCCTGGTCGATACGTTACAATTTGATTTTTTAAAATAATAATTAAAAAGAAAGGAGAGAAGCTATAGATGCTAAGGCAACCGGGGCTCAGGTTCTCTTCTTCAAAGCTCAGGGAAGCCCAGGCAAACCTGAGAGCA